>NC_000017.11:16551717-16854747 GCF_000001405.40 Homo sapiens | reverse complement strand
TAAACAGGAAGGGGGACCTAAGAAAACTGAGATGGCAAAACAAATCTAGGCTCCAGAAGCAACATGAGGTCGTGCAGATCCCACTAGGCAGCCTCATTATATGTAAGAGAAATGCCAGGAAAAGGGGTTACCGCAGGAGGCACCTCGGATCTGATGACAGGCAGGATCTTGCATCAAAATGATTTTTCTTTAGAACAAAAGAGAGGGGGAGAAAAGAAAAAAATCAAAGAAAGGGGTTCCACGAGCTTCATGAGATAAGACACAGCAGTGTTCTAAGGGAAGCAGGAAGGTGGGGGCTGTGGACGCAGGGTGGCGGGTGCTGCCTCTCATGGATTCTTTTCTCCCTGGTGGGCTGGTGGGTTGGTAGCTGAGGCCTGAGGGCCCCTTCCCCGGGGAGCAGACAGATGACTTTGGCAAGGGGCAGTGGGGAAGCTGGGGTTACTCCATCTGGGCGTTGTAATTGATTCCCCCAGTCTTCTTCAGTTCGCTTTTCATTAAATCTCCCTCCAGCTCCTTCTGATCACTGATCACAAACTCCTTAGCGAAATCCTGTATGACCTCCTTCACCAAGGTATTGACGTTCTTGCCGATCCACCTGATGAGGGTGGCATCCCTCGTGGTGACGCACACGAAGGCAAGCAACCAGATCTCGTCTGTGCACTGGGGGATGAAGTGCTGGTATTCTGCTCCTTGCCCAACAGGGACGATGATGGAGCCGTCATATTTAAAAGTCACCCAGATGATGGCCAAGCCATCGTCTCGCGCCAGGTTGTAGGCCTCCCCGCAAGCCTCTTTGTCAACCTTGGTGGCCATCGCAACAGGGCCACAGCGGGGACACTGCCCGGGGTGACTGAGCATGCCCCTGGCTGCGGCGGGGATGGGAGCGAGGTAGTGGTGACAGTGATGTGGCGTCTGCAAGCTCCAAGCACGGCTGCAGCTCTGCTAAAGTCTTTTTTTTTTTGAAATGGAGTCTCACTCTGTTCCCCAGGCTGGAGTGCAGCGGCGTGATCTCGTCTCACTGCAAGCTCCGCCTGCCGGGTTCACTCCGTTCTCTTGCCTCGGCCTCCTGAGTAGCTGGGATTACAGGTGCCCACCACCACCCCCAGCTAATTTTTTTGTATTTTTAGTAGAGATGGAGTTTCATCGTGTTAGCCAGGATGGTCTCGATCTCCTGATCTCGTGATCCGCCCGCCTCGGCCTCCCAAAGTGCTAGGATTACAGGCGTGAGCCACCATTGCCCGGCCGCTAAACTCTTTAATTTTCAATTACTCCAATTGCTTGAAACTCAAATAGCCATATGGGGCTAGTGGCCACCATTTGGACAGAGTGACTCCAACATTCCATGTGGTGTAATTTTATTTGCTAGCCTTTAGCATCATGTAATGTGATCTTCTTCACTTCTTTTCTGTCTCTGTGACCAGAGCATCAGCTCCTTGAGGTGGGAATTGGTTTGTCTTGTCCACTGCTGTATGCTGGGGCTAGAAGTGGGCCTGGCATATAGTAGATGCTCAATATGTAATTGCCGAATGAATGCATGAGTAAATGAATGACTCCTGGGGACCATGAACTCTGAATTTCTCCAAAAGGAATGCTAGTTCTGCCAGGGCTTGCTGCTGTGTGACCTCAAGTCAGGATCTTGCCCTCTCTGGGCTCAGCATCCTGGCCAAGGGGCACTGGGGCCCCTCTGGTCCTAAGGCTCTGAGACTTACTGCTGCTTACTCTGTCCTGTTGGGAGAAAAGCTGAGTGTTGGGAGAGAAGCTGAGGCAGAGCTTGCATGTCTGCTAGACTTGCTGGCTCCTTGCTTCTAGCACTCCCATTATCTCAAGTAGCCACATGTTTCAAAGAAAATGCTACACCATCGCAGCTGTAGCTCACTCACTTGATACATTGCTTCCTTTAAACCCCCACAGCCTCACCACCTGTTTCTTTTTTTGAGCACAAATAAATAGCCTGGGCTCCCTGTGTACCCATTGTTCTCACTTAATACATGAGAAAATGCAATATTTGGCTGTTTTTGCGTTAATTCACGTAGGATAATGACCTTCAGCTGCATCTGTGTTGCTGCAAAGGACATGATTTTGTTCTTTTTTATGACTGCCTAGTACTTTGTGGTGTATATGCACCACATTTTCTTTATTTAATGAACCGTTGGTGGATACTTACCTTGGTTCCATGACCTTGCTGTTGTAAGTTATGCTGTGATAAACATGGGAGTGCAGTGCCTTTTTATATAATGATTTCTTTCCCTTTGGGTAGATACCCAGTAGTGGGATTGCTGGGTCGAAAGGTAGTTGTACTTTTAGTTCTTTGAGATACCTCCCTACTTTTTCCATAGAAGTTGAACTAATTGACACCTACCACCGCTTGCTGGAGGTTGAGGACGCCCAGTGAGTGTGCACCCGGGCTGGAGAAGGGAGGAGGTATGGCCCGGAAAAGAGACACAGAAAGGTAATCCAAGAGGGCTTTCTGGAGGAGGTGGCAGCTGAGCCTAGAGGTGAATTTCATTGGGGAAGAGGGAGTGAGGCCTAGGCAGCTTAGGCCATGACCCCCATGGTGGGAGACGGCTGCATAAGGGTCTCTCTCCTGGCATCCATCTTTACCCATGCCTGGGCATCCTACCCCCATCACCCTTTAACCCCCGAGGGCCTTGGCTGGGTCCCAGAAATTCCCAGGAGGGTGCTCAGAGAAGACCACGGGGACTCTCATCACCCCCACCCTGGCTCACTTCCAAAAAGGCTGCAAGAAGGGTGTTGGAGGGTCTCCTGGAGGCTGCCAAGGGCATTTTCTCATGGAGCCCACGTCTCTCCCCGATCGTGGTGGCTGTGATCGGTAATTCCAGCTTCATACTGGCTACAGGTGGATGATGCCCACCTGGCTGCTGATGACTTCTGCACCAAGTGAGGCTGGGTCTCTGGAGCTGCCCCAGGGGCTGGACAAGCTGACCCTGCCTGGAGCCAACCTGGAGATGCAGCCTGAGAACCTCAAGGAGGACCTGGTCTACCTGAAGAAGAACCATGAGGAGGTGAGTTCAGCTCAGGGAATGCAGCAGAAATTCACCTGGAAGCAAGCGAGGCTGGGGCCCAGAACCTCCCTGGGTTGGGCCATGCTTCCAGTCCAGTTCCCATCCTTTATGGATGCCTAGCTCTGACCCTCAGAGGACCCTGGGTGAGGCCTGGAGGAGCCCTTTTCTCAAATAGACTTCATTTGTCCCTTGAGGCTCAGCTCACTGCAGTTAACTAACTAATGAGTAACTCAGTGTAAGAACACACAATGCCAATTATTATAATTAATTATAATAGTGATAGTCATTAAAACAAGGAACTTCTGCCCAGCACTACAAGTGACTCACAGCCATTATCTCAACTGATACAAAAACTGGGAGAAAGATACTCTTTCTTCCTTTTGACCTGTGAAGAAACTGAGGCTCAGAGAGGTTAAGGGATATATCTACGGCTGCACAGGGACCCTCCTTCAGGTCTGTCGGACTCGTATCCACCCCACCTCTCTGCCCCTCTCCTGCCTCTCCTTTCCAGAAGGTTCTAGGTCCCAGGGACTCCAAGGCTGAACCCAAGGATAGAGATCCAAGGTCCTGCCGGGGCGGTCAGGAGGTCTTACATGCCCTGTCCTGTGGCTTCCTTCTCAGCCGAGCTCTGTGCTGCTCTAAGCTGGGGGAGCCTACTCCCCGAGAAGCAGGACACCCGGAAGGTGTTTCCCCCTGGCGTTGAGGCTGGTTATACAATTGCTTTCCTCCAGCAGATTAACATTTGCTAACGGGGCCTGGTGCGGTGACACCAGCGTAAGGTTGCTTTTTGCATGCCTGTGCTTTGGGGTTGGTGGTGGGGGCAAGGCGGTGGTAGGGGCGAGGTCAGGGCAGTGAGTGAGGTCGCCCATGGTCATTCTCTGCCGTGCTGGGGGGTTGTCATCTCTCGGGGCTTAGCACTTGTTGGGGATGGGTGAAGTCCAGTCCCGAGTCACAGTGTGTGTTGGGGGAGGTTGCTGATATTCATAGCCCTGTATGTTTGAGTAATGACAACATCCATCTCCACCTTCAGGGTGAGGAGCTGTTGGCCTATCTGTGTCTGTCTGTCTGTCTGTCTGTCATCCGTACCTGTCTCTCCGAGGGAGAGAAGGCAGGCCCCAGGGTCTTTCCCCAGGATGGCCTTGGGTGAGTTCCTGCTGTCCTCTCTGCCCAGGAAATGAACGCCCTTTGAGGTCAGGTGGACGAGGATGTCAGTGTGAAGATGGACACTGTGCCTGGAGTGAACCTGAGCTGCATCCTGAATGAGATGCGTGACCAGGACAAGAAACTGGTGGAGAAGAGCTGCAAGGATGCCCAGGGCTGGTTCTTCAGCGTGGTGGGTGGCCGTGTGTAAGCAGGTGTGCACACGTGTGGGCACATACGCCGTGTGCTGGTGCAGTTGGAACACCGGCAGATTCACAGGCTGTCCCAGTTGGAAGGACTTTTGGAAACCAGTCGGACCAGCCCTTCATGTCTTCGATGTAAAATGTGAGGCTCAGAGAGGACTCAAGCTCACACAGCCCTTCACTGTGGCCTGCAAAATAGATCCAGTTCTCTGCAAGTCTGGTCTTGGGTTTCCACCACAGCTGTTTACAGGATGTGTGTATTTGAGTACATACACATACCCTTGGCAAGCACAGGCTGAGTGTGTCCGGTGTCCTAGGGACAGCAACAGGTGCAAAAGAATAACACCCAGTGCCTGTCTTTGAGGTGCTGTAGTTCGGTAGGAGTAAGAAATGCAAACGACCGCAGAGTAGGCTGAATTCCTCCAAGGTCCAACGTGGGTGCAGAGGGTCTTTGTGTGCAGGTGCCTTTGGGGCCCCATAGAGGCCAGGGAGGGTTTAGGGGATGGTTCTGGGAGGCGAGGGCTCAGGAACAGCCCCTTTCCTGTGCCCCACTTGTGAAAGTCTCCATAAACCCCTGTGGCCCACTCTGCCTTCCAGAGAGAGAGGCTGAACTGCGAGGTGGCCACCAACACAGAGGCCCTGCAGAGCGGCAGGATGGAGATATGGAGCTCTACATCTCTGTGCAGAACCTGAGCCGTCCCAGCTCAGCAAGGTAGGGCCTCTGTCCCCTCCCCACCCTGTACCTGTCACCCCAGGGTGAGCGCAGCCTTATAGACCCCTGCTTGGAGAACCAGAGTCCCCACCCAGCCTGTCCCTTCACACTCAGTGGCTGGGTGCACTACCACCCAACTGTGCCGGCAGCACCCACAGCTCCATACAGGAGGGGCTCCTCTCTAGTGCTCTGCCATGGGGAAGGGTCCCACGTCCATCTCATCGCACCACCTATCTCTTGGCCCACAGAAAGCATCGCTGGAGGGCAGCCTGGTGGAGACGGAGGTGTGTTACAGGACCCAGCTGGCCCAGCTGCAGGGGCTCATCAGAAGCATGGAACAGCAGCTGTGCGAGCTCTGCTGTGATGCAGAG
This sequence comes from Homo sapiens, assembly GCF_000001405.40. NCBI lineage: Eukaryota > Metazoa > Chordata > Mammalia > Primates > Hominidae > Homo > Homo sapiens. Next base: position 16,849,298 of record NC_000017.11, on the reverse strand, counting down.
CACCAGGACCACGAGCACCAGGTCCTTCTGGACGTGAAGACGCGGCTGGAGCAGGAGATCGCCACCTACAGCCGCTTGCTAGAGGTTGAGGACGCCCGGTGAGTGTGCACCCAGGTACCTGCTGGGGCGGGCTGGGGGCCCACTTCACCCAGGGAGAAGTTGGTGTCTGAGCACCAGCAAAGTTCAGGAGGTGTGAATGTGGGAACCTGTGGGGTTTGCAGGAGGTGAAACTGACGATGCAGGCTGGAGTCTGACTGAGGAGCCTTGACTGCCAAGTTAAAGCGTCTGGACTAGATCACGTAGGCAATGGGGAGCCATGGAGGGATTTGGAGCAGAAGAGGGGAATGAACATCAAGATATTTTAGAACATTCACTCTGGCTACAGAGGGAGAAATGGATCAGAGGGGTCAGGGTGGGGCCAGAGAGACGCGTCAGGGGGCTAGAGCAGGGAGTCTGGCCAGAGAAGTCTTGCGGGGTGGAGGCTGGGTGGGGGGGCAGGGGAAGGAAGGTGGTGCACGCAGAAGAGAGGTTATAGCTCAAAACAGCAGGACTGGATGCCTGGATCTCAGGGTAAGCGTGGCTCACGGTCAGGACTCAGTAAGCGTTGGGTGAACACATATGAAGGAGTGGGCATTGATGGCCCTGGGTTTCTGGTTCCGATGACTGTGTGAGTCCATCAGCCACAGGGTGAAGAGCATGGTGGGTGGTGGTCGGGTTTGCAGTTGGGAAGGGTGATCAGGCCTTCAGCTGAGTGTGTCCTGGAGTCTCCATGCTTAGTCACACGTTGCAGCTTTTTGCTCCCCGAAAATGGTGAAGTCCATCTATAGTCTAACAACAGTCTCTCCTGCTTTAATTGGGTCTATTGGTTGGGTCCTCTGGGACATGGAAAAACCACTTGCTCAGCTTCTCCTTGTAAATTCCTGGTGAGTGCCTCCAGGCCTACTGCTGTGCTGTTTCTTTTTCTTCTTCCTGCTGCACTGAACCCCTGCCCTTTCATTCTTGGGCCTGTGCTAATTTCTGTGCATTCCCAACTGTGATTTTTCACCAATTTAGGGGAACCTCCTCTGCCAGGGCCTGCTTCTCCCCAGCAGTGCTTACAGGGGCCTGGGCTGGCTGGCATCCCTGGGTCGATGGGTGCTCCTCTCCCTGCAGGCTGGCCACTCAGTACTCCTTGTCCCTGGCCTCGCAGCCCACCCGGGAAGGTAAGAAGCTGCCCTGTCCTGCTGTGTGGACCCCAAGGCGGGGGAGAGGCTGAGGACCCTTCTGTGTGGGAGACTGGGGGGACCACAGACTCAGGGGCAGGTGGGGGGAAGAGCTCCTGCCTGATGTTCCCTGTGCCTCCCTCCTCCATCGCCTGCAGCCACGGTGACCAGCCACCAGGTGTGCCATCGTGGAGGAAGTCCAGGTTGGAGAGGTGGTCTTCTGTAAGCAGGTCCATCTCTCCACCCACTGAGGCCCCTTTCTGCCTGTGACAGCCCCACCTCGAGGGTCACGGCACAGCCATCAGCTCCAGCTCCCAGCATGCTACTGCCACGCCCCGAGTGTCCGTCTGGGCACTGGTCCATGACCTGTTGTCTTTCTGTATCTACTTTCTGCAGCCCCTCACTGAGGAGGCCTCCTGGGTTTGTCCAGTGCCTGCTATTAAAGCTTTGCTCCAAGTTCAATGCCTCGTGTGATCTGGTCTGTTCATTGGTTTGGGGCAGTGTGGGCTGAGGGACTGGGATAGGTGGAGAGTTTATTGAGTGTTTGGGTATCGGCTTGTCACCTGCCAATCTGTTCTGCCCACTCCATCCAGGCCTGGGGCTCCTGGAAAGACCAGAGGGGAGGAGGAAGGATTAAGGGTGGAGGGAAGGGACAGCCCCTTGTATTGGGAAAAGTTTCTAAGAATCAGCCCCTGAGTCCCTGTCAACCTGTGGCTGGTCCCTGGGAGGGCCACACAGACTTTCCAAGGACCACACCTGTTGGGGAGCACTCCCTGCCTCAGCCCAGGGCGGGTTCAAGAGCAGAAGGAGAGGGGCTCGGTGGGGAGGGGCTTCTGAAGGAGTGGTCCAGGGCACTGATGAGTGAGGGGGTGAGAGCGAGGCAGCTAGCCCAGGAAAGCAGACCGGCTCTGCCCAGCTCGGGGTGTGTGTGGGGCAGGGTGGCCGCTGTGCGTGTACGCATGGGGGGTGTCCTGTTTGCTTTGGTGGCTTGGCAGCCACTGGGCTATTGAGGAATCTCTCTCCGCTGCTGGTGGGGCTACCTGGGCCTGTCTGGGAAGTGGAAACCATTGGCAGTCTGAAACATGACCACCTTCCACCCAGCGGGCCTGGCGGGACCCTGGGATCCAGGGCGGGGCTTGGGGTGGTGGGCAGGGCAGGGTGGGGCTGTGGAGTGGGGCACTTGGCCCGCCCAAGGAGCCACATCTTGGGGAGCCTGGAGTGGGGAGGGGGCTGGCTGGCTGGGGTCTCTGTAAGAGCCTCTTCTTGGGCAATGTCCTTTAGGTTTCCTGTGGGCTGAGACCTGAGAGAAATGCCCCTCCCCTGACCCTGAGGTCTCTTGGGGTACAGAAGGGTGAGAGGAGTGGAAGGGGGCATTCCCCTCTCAGTTGGTTTAGATCCTCTCTTAGCACGGCCCACCTTTCCCCCATCCTATAGCTGAGCCCCTGTTTGCCCACCCCAGCCTGGAGTGTAAACCTGGGGAAAGGTTTACACGAGGAGACTGGGTTAGCAAGGGCTTCTAGGGATGGGGCAGGGTCAGAAGCTGACTGGATGGAACTGTAGCCCCTAGAGTGCATTCCTGGGTGTCAGACTCTGCAGAAGGGGCCACTGCACCCCTCTGGAGCCCCAATTTCTTTATCTGCGATGTGGGTTGGTCTCCGAGCCTTGATGGCATTTCTATGCTGTGAGGTGGGCCTGGTGGGTTTGGGCTCAGTTTCCAAGGCAGGATAGGCTCTCGGTCCCCTCTTTCTCTTCAGCACCCAGCCCCGGGCCAGCACCTTGGGTGGAGCAGTGTGGGGTGAAAGACAGCAACTTCAGGGGGGTGGTCACCTGACACTGCAACCCATTTCCCCACCAGACAGGGTTGAGGTGGGCCGGGCTGGGGTGGTGGCTGCCTGGGAGGGCCTGGGGACGGTGAAGTCCTGTATTCTCCTCTTCTCCATATTAGGTCATGGGAAAGCATAGCTGGAGGGCCCGCCCAAATCACAGGTGACGGGCCTCAGAGCAGTGGCACGCACACGCGTGGCACCCAGCACGAGGATTTGGAGAAATGAGGCAAATTCCTGATGATGGGTGGGGAGGGGGTCCCCAGCCACCTGGGAGCTGGCAGGTGGCCCGTGGTGATGAAAGCCCAGGGGAAGGGAAACAGAGGAGCCTGTTGTAATCGCTACGCCCACTTGGTGGCCTATAAAGGAAGCCTGTGAACCCCGGCAGCCCTACACTACTTGGGGCCCCTCTTCTTTCCAGCCCTTCTCCTGTGTGCCTGCCTCCTGCCGCCGCCACCATGACCACCTCCATCCGCCAGTTCACCTCCTCCAGCTCCATCAAGGGCTCCTCTGGCCTGGGGGGCGGCTCGTCCCGCACCTCCTGCCAGCTGTCTGGCGGCCTGGGTGCCGGCTCCTGCAGGCCGGGATCTGCTGGTGGCCTGGGCAGCGCCCTCGGGGGTAGCAGCTACTCCAGCTGCTACAGCTTTGGCTCTGGCGGTGGCTATGGCAGCAGCAGCTTTGAGGGCGTTGATGGGCTGCTGGTCGGAGGTGAGAAGGCCACCATGCAGAACCTCAATGACCGCCTGGCCTCCTACCTGGACAAGGTGCGTGCCCTGGAGGAGGCCGACACTGAGCTGGAGGTAAAGATCCGTGACTGGTACCAGAGGCAGGCCCCGGGGCCCGCCCGTGACTACAGCCAGTACTACAGGATAATCGAGGAGCTGCAGAACAAGGTAGGGCCTGCTGGTGGGAGGGGTCTCCAGGGGGCATCACTTCTTCCCCCCAACTCCTGCCCTGGCCAAAGGCCTGGAGTCCAGCCATAGGGTCTCGGGGAGCCAAGGGTGGTTTGGCTGTGGCTTAGCTTCTGGGAACCTGCCTTGGGGCCCCTGTGTGGCCCACATCCCCCTTTTCTGGGGGCAGTAGGCTGAGTCAGGAACAAACAGGCCTCGTGGAGCCCCTTGGAGACTCAGTTTCTCCCTCGTGGAGCTCCTCCACCTGGAGAGGTTGTAGGATGAGGCAGGAGGATGCAGATGGAGGGCTGGGCCCATGGGCCACTGGATGCGTGGTGTCTTGCTCCTTTGGAGCAGGGGTCAGCAGGAAGGGGTTTTGGGAGTTGTGGAGTGGGGGTGTCTGAGTGAGCTCCCGATAGCACCTGCTGCGGGTGGGAGGCAGAAAGGAGGGGGTGGGACCTCAGGGTGGGGAAGGCCTCTGATGTGCCTTATTTGGGGATTTTTCTGGCTTCTCCTTTCCTCCTGCTGTCCCTTAAGACAGGCTCAACAAACCGCAGGGGGCGGGGCTGCTGGCTGGAGCCCAGGGTTAGGGATTAGGAAGGGTCCTGACTTCTGATTTGGGACCACTCTTTGGTGAGGGCTCCTTTAGCCTCCTTTTGGGGGAGCCTGTCAGGGGCACCCTCTAGCTGACTGTAAAACGAGGGGGTTGCCCACATCCCCTCCCTTGTTCTAGAATTCTGGGACAGTTTCTGCCCTGGGGACATTTTCCCTTTCTTTTCTGGTTGTCTCATACTCCCAGCCAGCTGCCTCCTCTCCTTTAAGGCTGAGCCTGGCATGGGGGTCTGGTGGGGTACTGAGTAGCGGGGGAAGAAGAGGCACCTTTGAACCCTTCAGACTCCTGCTTGCCCCTCCTCTGCCAATAATACAGCACGGGGCAAGGGAGGGGCTGGGCGGGAAGAGAGGCCCCCAGGCAGGAAGATCTGTTCAGAACTCTGGTGTGGGCTCAGCCACCCCCATCCGATGACCTGACTACTCTCCCATCTCCGCAGATCCTCACAGCCACCGTGGACAATGCCAACATCCTGCTACATATTGACAATGCCCATCTGGCTGCTGCTGACTTCCGCACCAAGTGAGTCCTAGCTGTGGGCTTGGGCAGCCTGGGTCAGCTGGGGGAGGATCTCAGGGTACCCCTCCTGACCCCAGGACTCCTTGGTTGCTTGTGGCAAGGCCCAGGAGCTCAGGGTGGGGCAGTCCTAGGAGCCCCACTACTTAGTCCAGGATGCAGTGAAGGCAGCCAGTTGTGAAGGTTGCTGGGCTTAGGCAGGGAATAGAAGAGAGGGAGGGGAGGCGGGAGGCAGAGAGAAGTAAGGAAGCTGGTGGGCGTAGGATCTGGCCCTGTGATGGTCCCAAGGCCCCGGGGCTGGAATTCGTTTCCACTCGACCCTCTCATCAGCCCTTCCAACCCCTTAGAGTCCTGGCAAAATGAAGGCAGGTGAGCAGCCAGGACCTGGACCTGCAATTCCAAGCAGCCTGGGCTGAAGTCCCTGATTCCCATGGCAGGTTTGAGACAGAGCAGGCCCTGTGCCTGAGTGTGGAGGCCGACATCAATGGCCCGTGCAGGGTGCTGGATGAGCTGACCCTGGCCAGAGCCGACCTGGAGATGCACATTGAGAACCTCAAGGAGGAGCTGGCCTACCTGAAGAAGAACCACGAGGTGAGGTGGCTGGGGCAGAAGGTCAAAGATGCTGAGGAGTGGGTGGCAGAGCCCTGGGGCTGGGCCATGGCTGAGGCCGTGGGAGAGAGCAGAGCAGGCGCACTGGGATTAGTCACCTTAGAGGGCTTCCCTGTCTGCGGAGCCCTGATCCTTGGGGTCCAGCGTGCAGGGCAGACTCCTCTTTGTACCACACTGCTTCTCTGTACCCAAGGAACCTCCCAGGGGCCCGCAGAGGCTCCCTCTACCTGCCCTGGCCTCCCTCACGAGGGCAGGGGATAAGTAAGGAAGTCTCCTTCTTGTCCCATTTCAAACTCTCAAAGCTGAACATCTACACAGAAGCTTGGAAATTAGAGGGGAAATTTTTGGGGCATAGGCCTAATAATTAGATTTTATTTTGGAGAGCCGTTGGTCTAATGGGGGAGATAGAGTCTGATGGTGGAGGCAATACTGAGCAGATGAATAAAAATCATTTAGAGGGTCAGATAGAGCAGAGGAAGAACAAAGGAGGGGTCCTTGTGGGGAGTGGGGTCACCTCGTGGGGGAAGGCTTGGGAGTGAGAGATCAGGATGGGTCCAGATGCGCACATCCACATCCCCTTTTTCCATAGGAGATGAACGCCCCGCGAGGCCAGGTGGGCGGTGAGATCAATGTGGAGATGGGCGCTGCCCCAGGTGTGGACCTGAGCCGCATCCTGAATGAGATGCGTGAGCAGTATGAGAAGATGGCAGAGAAGAACCGCAAGGATGCCGAGGATTGGTTCTTCAGCAAGGTGGGGGCTGCTGCAGGCCAGAGGTCTCTCTTCGGGGCTGGGGCTCAGGGGCCTTAGCACTGACAGTAAGCCCACGGCCAGGTGTCTTGGAGATGCTCCCTCCTCAGAAAGCTGCATGGACCACAGGGTCACCCACTGCATCAAGAGACCTGGAGCTGAGCTCAAGCTGGGATCTGGGGGGTGGGTGGGGAGGTAGGGAGCCCCCACAGAATAAAGGCAGAGGGTAAAGATCTTGGGAGTCCCCACCTCTCTCTCAAGAAGTCAGAAACTAGCACCAAGAGCCAGGCTAATGTTCTGGCTGGTTCTCAAGTTTCCGGTCTGTGCCTCCCACACGCAGGGATTAACCATAAAAAGTTAACATTTCAAATGGCATGTTTCTGGGCTTTGGGACGTGGGAAGCTGGTGAGAACGCATCACTCTGTCCACAGTTAGATTTGGGAGGAGGCCTGACTGAGGAGAGGGATCCAGGCTCACACAACCCTGTCCTGTGTTCTGTCTGCAGACAGAGGAGCTGAACCGCGAGGTGGCTACCAACAGTGAGCTGGTCCAGAGCGGCAAGAGCGAGATTTCGGAGCTCCGGTGCACCATGCAGGCCTTGGAGATCGAGCTGCAGTCCCAGCTCAGCATGGTAGGAACAGTCCTGTGCATGGGGATGGGCCCAGAAGAGGACACTGACAACCCTCACTGACCCCTGGTCTTCCTGCCCTCCTGCAGAAAGCATCCCTGGAGGGCAACCTGGCGGAGACAGAGAACCGCTACTGCATGCAGCTGTCCCAGATCCAGGGGCTGATCGGCAGTGTGGAGGAGCGGCTGGCCCAGCTTCTCTGCGAGATGGAGCAGCAGAACCAGGAGTACAAGATCCTCCTGGACATGAAGATGCGGCTGGAGCTGGAGATCACCACCTACCACCGCCTGCTGGAGGGCGAGGATGCCCAGTGAGTGGGGGAGCCTGGGGTCAGGGCTGGGGGCCTCTTGGCGGGGGGGGGCTCTCAGACTCACATCTAATTTCCTCTCTGTTTTTTTTTTTCTTTCAGCCTGACTCAGTACAAGAAAGAACATAAGCATCTTGGTGGCTGAGGCCTTGGGGATTGGGTGCAAGGGACAGGCAGCCCACCTGCACGTTGCTGGGGCTGAGTCCCCAGGAGTTCTAGGAGTTGATGGCTGTCCCTCAGCAGGGGTGGGAGAAGTGACCCATTAGCACTGAGGATTGATACTCAGGAAAAGATCAAATGAGAGAGATGCTGTCTGCTCTGATGGGGTGGGCCAGGGAACTGGTCCTTACCTTGGAGATCCTAGTCTGATGGAGGAGACATGTCCCAGCTCTGGAGATTGTCATCTGATGGGAAGATAGGAACATGGTCTCATGATCTTTGCTCTTGACAGCTTTCGGATGAGCGAAAGCAGTCCTGTCTCTGGGGTCTCTAGCCTGATGGGAAATAGGGACCTGGTCCTTGTCCTCCAAATTCCAGTCTGATGGAGAAGATATGATTCTAGCCCCAGGGTTCCTAGTCTAATGGAGGAGATAGGGGCCTGGTTTTTGTCTTGGCGATCCCAGTCTGATGGGGGAGATGGGAGCAAATCTATGTCCTGGAGACTGCAGAGAAATGGAGATGGATTTCATGGAGTCTACATGGCTCCTCCCTGGCAGGACACACTGGGTCAGAATCAAATAACCCATCTGCGGAGGCAAGACTCACACAGGGCCACCGGCAGAGGGATGGGATGGAAGGGAGGCGGTGGCAGGGACAGGAGGGATGTGTGTGCAGTGTGATGTTGAGGTGCCAGTGGAGGCACTCACAGCACCTGGGGGAGGACGAGGGAGAGAGCCGGCTCCTGTCCATGAGGGCTAGGGGGCAAGCGAGGGCCTCCTGGCCCCTACCCACTTTAAATTGCCTGCTTCTCCTGCAGCGGTGACCACCTGTCAGGTGCCTACCATTGTGGAAGAGGTCCAGGATGGTAAGGTCATCTCCTCCCGCGAGCAGGTCCGCCAGACCACCCGCTGAGCACTCAGCTTTCCTGGCCGGCCCCCCAGGAGGCAGGGAGGCAGCGGTCCCATCTGCCCCGCGGTCTCCGGCCTCTCCACCCTCAGCCCCCTGCTTCAGTCCCTTCCCCATGCTTCCCTGCGTGATGACAATAAAGCTCGTTGACTCAGCTATGAAATGTGTCCTTGTTCTGGCCGCTGAAGTGGGCACTGGGGACAAAAGGGTGAAATGGGAAGGAGTGAGGGTGAGGGGAGATGGTGCGTGGAGACCCCGTTGTTGACTGGCAGGTCAGAGGTCAGCTTAGACCAGCATAAAGAGTAAGTCTGGGGAGAGTTTGGAGGGGGGTGCTCGCATCTCCCAAGGGCTGGAGATTTTCAGGGGGTGGTCCAGGCTGCGCTAGACCCGGGGTGGAGGCGGTGTATCAGGTGTGGTCCTAGGTCGCCACTGCTTGCCCCGTGAGTAACTCTGTGACCTCGGGAAGTTAGGCAGTCACTTCCCCTGACTGAGCCTTGCTTTTCCATCCGTAAATGGATGGGAAGATCTCAGGTGTGGGAGCCCGAATCCTCAGAGATGACTCACTCAATCAGTTGCTCCTTCCTGTCCTGTGGGCTGTGCCCTCCCCCTAGATGGGGCAGGAGGTGGGCAAGGGCTGGGATAAGCACAAAGGGAGGGTGGGTGGGGGAGGCAGGCTGGGTGATTGGGGCCCCGACTCCTGTGTGAGTCTCAGGAAATCCCCAAGAGGGGCTCCCATTGCCTCTGCCCTGGGAATGTGAGCGGGAGGGTGGTGTTTTCAGGGAAGGCTGCGGACCCCAGGCAGGTATGGGAGAAAGGGTGGGGCCTCTCTCAAGGATGTTTCCTCACATGGTCAGCTGTTGCTCAGGATGCGGACAGGGCAGAGTGGGGGGCACTGCAGATGGGGTGGCTGTGCCCAGGGAGCAGTGCCACTCTCCCTGGCGGTCTGGATCCTCTTTGGTTCCCCACTAGGGACAGGGGTGGTGTGAGGGAGGGTAGAAACTGCCTCCTAGGAAAATGAGAAGGAACAGTCCTGCTCCAGCCACTCCCGGCACCCTCTATGAGCTGACCAACCCCAGCTCTTGCTGGTGGCAGCAAACGTGGCTGTGGGGAGCAGTCTGTGGGAGGTGAGCCTGACACCTGGAAATCTTCCTTGTAGTAAATCTGGAAACTGCCAGGTGGGTTGGCCTGCTTTCCTGGTTTTCTTCAAGCAGGGGGTTAGTGGGAGGAGGGTGCCGCCACGTCATCACTGCTGCACCTGTGGTGTCTCTGCTGCTGCGGAATCAGACCAAGGCCCCCAAACACCCTCTCTCTCCTGGTGCCTGGAGGCTGGGGGTGGGGCCCAGGTCCGAGGAGAATGGGAGTGACCAGAGCCCTCTGAGCCTGGGTTGGTGGGGGTTTGGGACTGGCAGAGGCCAGGGATGGGGGTGGGTACTGACCACTGGGGTATGGGTGACTTTGGGCTGGTCACAAGCCCTCCCTGGACCTTGGAGCTATGACATCCCGGGAGAGTGTTTCTCTCTGCAGGGTAGATGGCTGCCTGGAGTCGGGGACTTGCACCTGCAGCGGCATCTGCACGACTCAAAGCAAGGGCAAGCTCTGCTCCGTTGGAGGCTGACGTCTCCCTGCTCTCTGGCAGCAAATGTGGGGCCATGGAGGGCAGGAGGGAGGCACTGTTTGCACCAGGCCCCCACCATACACCCCGCCACAACCAGAAGAACAGCCCTGGGCTGCAGATGGCTCATTCTGGAGGGTGACTTCATTTGTCTGAATAGTCCCCGGAAGCAGGGAGGGTCTAGGGGAAGGCGCCTTGTTGTGTGGATGGGGACACTGAGGCTCCAAGGAGCAGTGACTCAGCCCTTGTCCCACAGCCTGAGGGGTCAGTAGTGGAGACGGGCATGGGAGGGGAGTGGGCCCCGCTTCCGTGCTGGGAAGAGGAGCCAAGCCCCAGCTCCTCCCCCACCTCAGGCTCCAGGCAGGGCTATCTCTCCCTCCTGTAGAGCCTGGGGTCCACAATTACTGATGGCGTGAGTGAGGAGGGGTCAGAGTGTGGGAAGGACCAGAGACAGCCCCAGACTGTGCCCCTCTGCTGGGGAAGAAGCCCTTCTCCACAAAGTGAGTGGGTGGGAGGCTCAGGAGGCCAGAATGGGGGAGCCCCCCGGTGTGCCCAGAGAGCTGAGCCAGTAGAGGCAGTGGTTGCCAGGGGCTGGTGGGGAGACTTGAGTGACTTTGTCCAAGGACCCCAAGTGGGCCCAGGATGCTGGGGACATGTGCCTGGGCTGGATTGGGGACCCAGCTATGGGACTCAAGGAGGGACTCACAGTTCGTCCACACACTCCCTGCCCACTGCACAGAATGTCCTCAAGGCAGAAGCTGCGGATCTGTGGTTGCCCTGTAGAGCTGCCACACCTGGTCTCGTGTGATGGACACACATATAGGACTCTCAGGCCAGGCCCATGCCAGTGGTAGCTGCCTCCGGACCCCCCTTGCAGGGGTTGACCTGGCAGCATGTCTTCTACGGAGACGGATGTGGTGGGGGACACTCATCCATGGCATGACATCGCTCTGCGTCTGGTTTGCACTGAGTCCAGGGAAAGGAGGAGACACCGGTCCTGACCCCAAGAGACAGTGCCTGCCCCAAGGGGACCTGAGGGACTGACAACAGTCCCTCAGCCCTTATGCAGTGTGGGTCTATTGCGGCAACCAAGGTTTTGGGGAGATGAGGGGAACAGAGGGAGCAGAGCCAGGCAGGTCTCCCCACATGCACAGAGCCGAGGGGATAACTGAGCTTAACAGAGACCCGTCCTCACCCTGAGCTGTAGTGACCATTTGAAGAAACATCCCTGAGAGAGGCCCACTCTTTCTCCCACAACCCCCTGGGGTCTGCAGCCTTCCCTGGAGGCACCAGCTTCCCGCTCACACTCCTGGGGTGGGGGCAATGGGAGCCCCTCTTGGGGGTTTCCTGAGACTCATACAGGAGTCCGGGCCCCTTGTTTGTGCAGAACAGGCACCCCAAGTGGGTCCAGGCTGCTGAGGACATGTGCCTGGGCTGGACTGGGGACCCAGCTATGGGACTCATGGAAGGACTCACAGTTCGTCCACAGCCACCCTGCCCACTGCACAGAATGTTTCACCCCGTCATCAAGGCAGAAGCTGCAGATCTGTGGTTGGATTGTGAAGGGCTATGACAGCCCCACCTTCAGAAGGGGGGCGTCAAACTTGCAGGAGGGGAGAGGACCCCCGATGGTGGGCCTGGCACTCACAGATTTCCCCAGATCCCTGGAGCCATCACAGGGGCAGAGCCTGGGCCTGGACATTCGTTCTCCCCCAGGAACCCTGCTCCCTCTGTTTCTCTGCAGGGCCCCAGCACCCCATCGTGGCCTGACTTTAGTGTATTAGGATTGTCTTTACCACCTTCTCCCCCAGAAGACTATGTCTCCAGGGCTTCTCTGTCTTGTTCTTTGAGTCTGAGTGCCCAGCACAGTGCCAGGCACACAGTAGGTGCTTTATAAACACCTGCTCATAAACATAACGCTAGCCACCAGCCTTTGCCAGGTGCTTTATTTATTTGGCCTCAAATCCCCTAATATGCCTGTGACACAGGGCTGTTATTCCCATTTCCCAGACAAGGAAACTGAGGCTCAGAGAGGCTGAATATCCTGCCCAAGGTTTCGCCCCTGCTTGCCCCGATTCCAGGCTGCTCTGTCCTGGCTCAGTGGGGCTCTACTTTTCCTTCCTCCTGCCCTGAAGCCTGTGGCTCTGGCTTGTCCACCCAGGGCTGGGGGCCCTGCAGCAGCCCCCTCTCTCCCCTCAGCTTCTCTGCCCCACTCCTCAGCCCCCTAAGCTGCCTCCTGCCTTCCCAGTCTGAGTTGGCTGGGGAGCTTGTAAAACAGCCCCACCAGCAGGCTTGTCCTGAGTGGTGCTGATGCAGGAGTTGGAGCAGGGCTGCGAATCTTCTTGGGGACTCTGATGATCTGTCTGGTTGGAGAATCACTGCAAGCCAAGGCATGGCATTGGCCAATGGTGATTCCCGGCCTCCTCAGGTATGCTATGATCTCCTGCCTCATGCTTGACATGGGCAGGACGAAGGAGGGAGGAAGGAGGCAGGGTGCGGGGAGGAATCCTCTGCCTGGAGGATGCCCATTGGGCTTCTCTATGCTCACCAGGCTTAGTGGTCCTGGCTCTTGGCCACCTTGGGGCAGGTGTGCATCACTGATGCAGAGGAAACGCCTCCTCCTCCTCTGTCAACTCAGATCCTCTGAGGCCCTGCTGGTGCCTCCCTCTGCTGGGACCCTTTCAGGGATCAAGGCCAGGAGGGCAGCCCCCTCCTCTACTGCTGAGGCTCAGCGGGGTAATGCTTACCCCAGCTGCCTCCTGTGGTGTGGGCGTGGCAGGCAAGCCCAGTACCCTAGGGTTTCTAGCCAGGTTCTGCATTTTCCAGCGTTAGTTTTCCCTCCAGGGTCAAATGATAAGTTCTTCTAAGGTCAGAGACTATGTCATCATTTCCCTCTTCACCCCCAGCCCCCGAGAGCTGTGCACACGGCAGGTGCGTGATCTATGGAGTTGGCTGAGCAGTTTGGCGCGTTGGTCAGCAACTTCCTGCAGCTTCTCAGCCCACGCAGATCCTCAGGTCTGCAGTGCTGGGCTTGTGTATAATCCCACCCTGACACCTCCTGGAATGGGGAACTTGGCGGGGGGCAGTGAGCCAATGAGAAAGGGGTGTGTGTGCACGCACACACGGTGGGGGCAGAGAGTGAAGAGTTCTCGGAGACTCCACTGTGAGAGTCGGTGTGAATCCTGGCTTGGGAGTTGGAGCTGGCTCCGGTCTGTGCTCTCTCACTTTTGTGCTGCTTAACCTGGATAAGGCTTTCGCCCTCTCCGGTTGGGGTATTGATAGGCTTTGGTGACCTTGAAGACCATTTTCAGTTCTGAGGGTGATGGGTCTGTGGTTGGACTGGAACTCCAGGCCCACCCTGACACCTGAACGCTGAGGTTTTTGTCCAAGATTCCGGGGTCCCCTTTGTCCCTCTTTGGGGTGGGGGTGGGTGTGGGGAAGAGAAAGAGAGATCAGTGTCTCTTTCTATACGGACTGTGTCTATATAGAAAGAAGTAGACATGAGAGACTCCATTTTGTTCTGTACTAAGAAAAATTCTTCTGCCTTGAGATGCTGTTAATCTGTAACCCTACCCCAACCCTGTGCTCGCAGAAACATGCCCTGTGTCGACTCAAGGTTTAATGGATTTAGGGCTATGCAGGATGTGCTTTGTTAAACAAATGCTTGAAGGCAGCTAGCTTGTTAAAAGTCATCACCACTCCCTAATCTCAAGTACCCAGGGACACAAAACACTGCGGAAGGAAGGCCGCAGGGACCTCTGCCTAGGAAAGCCAGGTTTCTCCCCATGTGATAGTCTGAAATATGGCCTCATGGGAAGTGAAAGACCTGACCGTCCCCCAGCCCGACACCCGTAAAGGGTCTGTGCTGAGGAGGATTAGTAAAAGAGGAAGGCCTCTTTGCAGTTGAGATAAGAGGAAGGCATCTGTCTCCTGCTCATCCCTGGGCAATGGAATGTCTCGGTGTAAAACCCGATTGTATATTCCATCTACTGAGATAGGAGAAAACCGCCTTAGGGCTGGAGGTGAGACATGCTGGCGGTAACACTGCTCTTTAATGCACCGAGATGTTTATGTATGTGCACATCAAAGCACAGCACCTTTTCCTTAACCTTGTTTATGACACAGAGACATTTGTTCACATTTTCCTGCTGGCCCTCTCCCCACTATTACCCTATTGTCCTGCCACATCCCCCTCTGGGAGATGGTAGAGATGGTAGAGATAATGATCAATAAATACTGAGGGAACTCGGAGACTGGGGCCAGCGTGGGTCCTCTGTATGCTGAGCGCCAGTCCCCTGGGCCCATTTTTCTTTCTCTATACTTTGTCTCTGTGTCTCTTTCTTTTCTCAGTCTCTCATCCCACCCCACGAGAAACACCCACAGTTGTGGAGGGGCAGGCCACCCCTTCAGGTGGGGAGTGTCGGGTTCCCTCTCTGAGGTTTGGCTCTGAATGCATGTGCATCCATTCTGCTCTTACCTCTGATCCCAGAGTGACCAGGGGAGATGTAGCAGCGACAAAACCCTGGTTCTGCTGAGACAAGGAATTGCCTGCCCCAGTGGAGCCCAGGCAGAGGCAGGCTGTCTCTGGGCTCCTCACCTCAACAGAGGCACTGCAGAGCAAGGCCAGTGGCCAGCACCAAGGGATGCCCCACGGCACCCTGAGGAGGCCCCGTCTTGGTGCCCAGATCCCTCCTCCTCCCTCCAGTCCTCGGTGCTGCACCAGCCTCTCAGGCCAAGGCCACGCCCACCCTGGGCAGACCTCATGCCAGTGATCGTGGGGAGGTGGGTGAGAGTTGGGTATACTGGCCTCACCTGCAGGCATGGTGGGAGCCTGGAGAGGGCTGAGGTCTGGGTTCTAGTTGCAGCTCTGCAGCTTAAAGCAGAGTGACTTTGAGTGAATCTCCACCTGTCTCTGGTTACCCCTCTGTCCCCTCTGATCAAGAAAATGATATAAATTTGAGATGCACAGAGAGAGGGCTCAGGATGACAGAACAGGCTTAGGCAAGGAGAACAGGCAGGCAGGTTCACATCTCAGCTTCCAGTGCCTGGTGTCTTGGGAAGCCCACTTATCCTCCCTGGATCCCAGCTCCCTCACCTGAGGACTGGTGGCAGGAATAACGCCCCCGTCATCCCTGCTCACAGAACCGTACAACACACACCAGGCTCTCCATGCGTGCCTGAGTGGGCCCATGACCGGTGCTCTCCCCCAGCTCAGCTGGATGAATGGAGCTGCCAGGCCCAGCGTGGGATCTGTGGACACAGGAGAGAGAACTGCTGGGAACGGATCCCCAGCCAGTCCTGTTTCTACAGGGTAGGGGGGAACTCTGAGGCCCACGGCGGGGTCAGGGGTCACACCTGGCTGCAGTGGCAGGACGGGGCTCCCTCCCACCGGCCTGCAGGTAGGGTGCCTGTGATTAGGAGAGGGCGGTAGAGGAGTGGAGGAGCTAGGTGTGGGGCTGTGGTGTTCTTCAGCTGGGAGTGTGGGGGACGCAGGGCCCCGCGTAGCGGTTCGGGAGGGTGCCAGTGTGTAGAGGTGAGTGTGAGGAGCAGGTGGCTGGAGGGGGAGGATGAGGAGGATGAGGGGCAGGGCTGGCCCTTGGGGAAGGGCCGGTGGGGTGCTTCGCGCATGTTTCTTTGTGGCTAGTGGTGTGTCATCCCCTTTTACAGATGAGAAAACTGAGGACCAAGGGGCTGTAAGACCAGCCTGTGCTGTACAGCTGGTAAGGGCAGAGCAGGGACTCAGTGCCGCCTGTCTGGCTCCATGGCCAGTGCTGTTTGTATGGTGCACACACTTCTGGAGATCCCGGGGGCTCAAGGCAGCCTCCGGAACTGGAATTAGATCCAAGAGGGGAAAGAGAGTCATAGGATTTTTAGAACCAGAAGGGACTCTGCAATCACCCAGTCCAGCCTGGTCACCACTGAGGGGAAACAGGCCCAGAGGTGGGAGGTGGGGAGCCTCAGGCCACACAGCAAGCAGAGTGAAGACACGAACTCTGCCCCTGCCCAGAGTGGGACATGTAGGATCCCCGCAACTGCTCCCCAAGACAGCCCAGGATGGCATCACTGAGGTCTCTTTCAGCCAAGGCTGTCACTGTGGGGCAGGGAGTTCTTCTGAAGGGCTGACTCACTGCCTGGGGACGCAGTTGCCACAAAGCCACCTGTGCCAAGGCCCCACTGGCCCCAAGTGCTCCAGGAACGGGAGCCTGATTCCCGGCCACCTAGCCTGAGTCACCACCGACTCGCATTTGTGTGTTTTTCTCTCAGCTCCACACTCTCAAAGCTGGGTGGGAACTCTGAGCCAGCACACAGCGGAGTTGATCCTGGGCTGAATAATCCAGAGTGAGGAGTTGGACGGGACTGGGAGTGATGAAATCCAGAGGGGAACCTGGAGTCAGCAGTTAGGAGGGCCCCGCCTTCCCCAGGTGCATATAAAGGTCTCTGGGGTTGGAGGCAGCCACAGCATGCTCTTAGCCTTCCTGAGCACCTTCCCTTTTTTCAGCCAACTGCTCGCTCGCTCACCTCCCTCCTTGGCACGATGAGCACCTGCAGCCACCAGTTCACCTCCTCCAGATCCATGAAGGGCTCCTGCAGCATCGGGGGCAGCATCAGGGGCGGCTCCAGCCGCATCTCCTCTGTCCTGGCCGGAGGGTCCTGCCATGCCCCCAGCACCTACGGGGGGGCCTGTGTGTCTCCTTCTCTCGCTTCTCCTTTGGGGGAGCCTGCGGGCTGGGGGGCGGCTATGGCGGTGGCTTCGGCAGCAGCAGCAGCTTTGCTAGTGGCTTTGGGGGAGGATATGGTGGTGGCCTTGGTGCTGGCGTCGGTGGTGGCTTGGGTGCTGGCTTGGGTGGTGGCTTTGCTGGTGGTGATGGGCTTCTGGTGGGCAGTGAGAAGGTGACCATGCAGCACCTCAGTGACCGCCTGGCCTCCTACCTGGACAAGGTGCGTGCTCTGGAGGAGGCCAACGCCGACCTGGAAGTGAAGATCCGTGACTGGTACCAGAGGCAGCGGCCCAGTGAGATCAAAGACTGCAGTCCCTACTTCAAGACCATCGAGGACCTGAGGCACAAGGTAGGTGACTTTGGTGTATGGAGCACTGAGAGAGGCTGGGGCTATAGTGGCCCTCGGGATACCTCTTTTTAGCAATTACACTTTACAAACAGGGAGACTGGGCACCTTTGGGGAGTGGCCAGGATCATCCAGGGAAGTGGTGGCAGAGGGTCCCTTTTCAGCATCTCTGTGCCCGGACTGGGGCTGTTACCCTGAATCTCTTATTTCCTGCAAGGGTTCAGCTGCAAGTTCCGCTTCCCTGCCTTGGGCCCAGGAAGGGGGTGATCGGGATGGAGTGCATCCCTGCATACCCTGAGCTGGTGGAGAAGGCATGCCAGCCCTGCCAGCCAGAAGACTTCCAGATTTGGGGAGGTTCCTTTTGCCCCTTTCTGCCTTTCACGCTCAAGTAGTAAGGTCCTTGCCTGACCAGGGCTCCTGTTCTCCATTCCCACTCCAGATCATTGCGGCCACCATTGAGAATGCGCAGCCCATTTTGCAGATTGACAATGCCAGGCTGGCAGCTGATGACTTCAGGACCAAGTGAGCAGCCAGCATGGTGGGCTGGGGGCAGAGGGCAAGGGACATAGAGTGGAGCTGTCCACCCAGCAGGGCCAGCAGACCCCGAGCCTCAGAATCCTCAGGGCTGCAGCCTAAGGACCTGACCTCTGTCCTGCCAGTTACGAGCATGAGCTGGCCCTGCGGCAGACTGTGGAGGCTGGCGTCAATGGCCTGTGCCGGGTGTTGGATGAGCTGACCCTGGCCAGGACTGACCTGGAGATGCAGATGGAAGGCCTGAAGGAGGAGCTGGCCTACCTGAGGAAGAACCACGAGGAGGTGTGGTTGCTGCTGGCTTCCGGGATGGGAGGCTGGTTTGGTGGGGTTGCCAGATGCACCCAGGGCCAGGAGAGGAGTCTGCTGAGCTGACCGCCTCCTGCCATCCCTTCCCAGGAGATGCTTGCTCTGCGAGGTCAGACCGGTGGAGAAGTGAACGTGGAGATGGATGCCGCACCTGGCGTGGACCTGAGCTGCATCCTGAATGAGATGCGCAACCAGTACGAGCAGATGGCAAAGCACAACCACAGAGATGCTGGGCCTGGTTCCTGAGCAAGGTGGGGCTCGGGCCCTCAGTGGGCCTGCAGCACTTCCCAGCTGGGGGCTTTGGGAGAGCCTCACCTTTCACTCTGCTTTCCCGTCTCAGACCAAGGAGCTGAACAAAAAAGTGGCCTCCAGCAGTGAACTGGTACAGAGCAGCCGCAGTGAGGTGACGTTGCTCCAGAGGGTGTTCCAGGGCCTGGAGATGGAGCTGCAGTCCCAGCTTAGCATAGTATGAAGGACCCGGCACAGCAGCAGCCCCCAGGTCACCAGTAATGGCCACCACCCCCTCAACAAGCCGCAATTTAGTTCCACCTTTCTTTTCTCAGGGTGGGACCAGAGGACTCATGGGACCTGTTATATAGATAGAGAAACTAACCCTAGAATAGTGGGCTAGCATTTCTCTATATTGTCTGGCCCATCAGTACCCCAACTGGGATCAAAATCCAGGCACCTCTCAAAAAACATGCCCAGAGACCTGGAGGGACAGGAGTGACCACCTCCATTGACTCTTTTTCTCTCTCTCACTTGCAGAAAGCGTCCCTGGAGAACAGCCTGGAGGAGACCAAAGGCTGCTACTGCATGCAGCCGTCCCAGATCCAGGGACTGATTGGCAGTGTGGAGGAGCAGCTGGCCCAGCTATGCTGTGAGATGGAGCAGCAGAGCCGGGAGTACCAGATCTTGCTGGACATGAAGACACGGCTGGAGCAGGAGATCGCCACCTACCGCCGCCTGCTGGAGGGCGAGGACGCCCAGTGAGTCCCAGGCCCCTCAGTTCTGCCTCCCAGACCCTTTAGCCCCCCTGCTGCTCTCAGCACAACTGACTGCCCTGCCTTTTCTCACCCACAGCCTTTCCTCCCCACACGCATCTGGCCAATCCTGTTCTTCCCGAGTGGGTAAGGCTCCTGAGGCTCCCCGGCACTGCAACCCCTCTGCCTGTTTCCATGGAGTGGGGGCCAGGCCCTTCTCCTGAGAGCTCCCAGCTCTCCCTTCTCCCTGCCCTGGAGTTGGCTTAGCTCTCAGACCCCTTCTCACCTCCTCTTCTCTCTCCCACAGTCTTCACCTCCTCTTCGTCCTCTTCGAACCGTCAGACCTGGCCCATCCTCAAGGAGCAGGGCTCATCCAGCTTCAGCCAGGGCCAGTGCTCCTAGAACTGAGCTGCCTCTACCACAGCCTCATGCCCACCAGCTGGCCTCACCTCCTGAAGGCCTGGGTCAGGACCCTGCTCTCCCAGCGCAGTTCCCAGCTGTCTCCCTGCTCCTCTACTGGTGATGGGCTAATAAAGCTGACTTTCTGGTTGATGCAAACCTGTGTGATCTCTGTTCTTGAACTGATGGGAGGGGAGTTGCAGGTGCTTTCCAGAAACCTCCTGGAGCCTCACAGCCTGAGAGATGTGGGAAATGGGACAAATCTCAGAAGATCTTGAAGGCTCTTCCTGGAAGACCTCCACGCTCTATGGAAGTGGGAGGTGGGACACAGGATGGGGGAGTGTCCACACGTGCTGACTGACACCATGGAGGCATTCTACAGAGGTTATTTTACGAGGTTGCCCTTGCAACCCTGTGAGGTGGGTGTGGTCAGGCCCATTTTGGAATTTGACAACCCCCAGAATTCAGAGTTTCAGTAACTTGCGTAAAATCATGCAGATAGTAAGTGGCACGGCTGGAGCTCAAACTCAGTTCTGTCTGTCTGCAAAGTCCATGCCTTTCTTTTAACACCACTCTACCTTTTCAGGTATTTTAACCCGAAGACTCCCACGCTTGAATCTTAACTCTACCCATGGGCTCCCCCACATCTGCACACAGTTTCTACATTGGAGGGTGGAAGGGAGTGGTATCTGCCTTGAGAACGATGTCCTCGTCAGACCTGAAATCCTCCTTCTCCCAGCCTGCTTCTCCTCACACCCCATCAACTCCTCCTTCCTCATTCCCCTCAGCTGGTGAATTGCGTGCTGATGAGCACCCTAGGAAACACCTGCTGCCCCATGGCCATTGCCATGTTCAGATCTTCTTCCTCTCTCCCTAGACCTGGGCACAGCCTAACTGGGTCCCCTTGAGAGTCAATCTCATCCACATTCAATTTCCACTGAATGATTTCCACCAGAATGTGGTCAGGATCAAGAACAAGGGTGAGATCAGGACTCCCCTGCTTAACAGCCGGCGATGGATCCCATTCCCCTCCAGCACTCAGCCTTCAGTCTCAACCCAGCTTGGTGTCCTCCTGTCCCTCCCAGCTCCAAACCCCCGAGTCACCCCTACCTGACTGAGATATGACCCATACCTCTCAGTTGCCATTCCTTCTTCCTGGATGCCTTCCATATTTTAAATATTTAAATTTAAAAAAGTTATGTATGTATAACATCATAAGCCTTTTTTTTTTTTGAGACAGAGTCTTGCTGTGTCGCCCAGGCTGGAGTGCAGTGGTGCGATCTCAGTTCACTGCAAGCTCCACCTCCCAGGTTCACACCATTCTCCTGCCTCAGCCTCCCAAGTAGCTGGGACTACAGTCACCCACCACCATGCCCGGCTAATTTTCTTTTGTATTTTTAGCAGAGACAGGGTTTCACCGTATTAGCCAGGATGGTCTCGATCTTCTGACCTCGTGATCTGCCTGTCTTGGCCTCCCAAAGTGCTGGGATTATAGGCGTGAGCCATGGCACCCGGCCAAGACTTTTTTTTTTATTATTATGCTTTAAGTTATAGGGTACACATGCACAACATGCATGTTTGTTACATAGGTATACATGTGCCATGTTGGTTTGCTGCACCCATCAACTCATCATTTACATTAAGTATTTCTCCAAATGCTATCCCTCCCTCCCACAGTCCCCCACCCCCTGACAGGCTCCGATGTGTGATGTTCCCTGCCCTGTGCCCATGTGTTCTCATTGTTCAACTCCCACCTATGAGTGAGAACATGTGGTGTTTGGTTTTCTGTCCTTGTGATAGTTTGCTTAGAATGATGGTTTCCAGCTTCATCCATGTCCCTGCAAAGGACATGAACTCATCCTTTTTTATGGTTGCATAGTATTCCAAGGTGCACATGTGCCACATTTTCTTAATCCAGTCTATCATTGATGGACATTTGGGTTGGTTCCAAGTCTTTGCTATTGTGAATAAGACTTTTTTTTTTTTTTAATGAAAAAGCCATCCCTAGACTGGATACCACAGCTCTGTTCCCGCCTCCCCTTTTCAACTTCAGCTGTTTCTTTTGGGATTTGTCTCCTTACTTCTAAATAACAGGCTTTACCTTGTTACTGTTTGGTTTTTCTGTTTCAGTTTTTAATCGCTTGACTTCTGGCTGTGAAGGATGAGGATGTGGATCTGTTATACAGCATTGCCCCTCCCCACTTCTTTTTAAAATATCTTCTTCCCACCTTCTCAATATATTCATATTTTTGTTAAATAAATGTTTACATTATCATGACTATTTAAATGTTATTCATAGTCAAATCATATATTATACTATATTACATTTTATACTATATTAGATTTCCTTGGAATAAATATCTCTTTTTCAATTTGCCTAAACTTTCTATGTATTGATCATTAATTTGTTTCCTGATTCACTGCTGGAAGCATAAATCTCCTCAGTATTTTAGAACCCTGGGTGTTCCTTCAATTTCATCCTCATGAAGATGTGTCTCCTAGGGCCTTCTGTCCTGCTCTTGTCTGTTCTGGGTGCTGTTTGGGTCTCCTGCTCAGCTGTGATCCTGGAATCTCTCTTCACCATCATCCTGAAATCCTTCTTTTTCCTGGGTTGCTTTCCTTGTTTTCTGGATCCAATGTCTTCCTCCTTCCTGTTTTTATTTTTCCCTTTGTTTTAGTGAAGCACATCCTCAAGTAGTTTCCTGGGAAGGGAGTTATCAGGGTTAAATTTTTTTAGACTGTTTGTGTCAAAAAGATCTTTAGTTGATCCTCACTCTTGACTGATAGTTTGGCTGGGTATGGAATTCTAGCTTGGAAATCATTTGCACTCAGCATTTGAAGGTACAGTTTCACTGTTTCTTGGCTTCTGGTGTTGCTGTTGAGAAGTCTTATGCCATATTGATTCTAGATCACGTCTTATTATCCTATTCCCACACTCTTCCCTAGAAGCTTTTCAGTTCTTCTCTTTCTCTCCAGCAGGCTGAAATACCATGTGTTGAATTGATGCAGCTGTGACTTCATCCACTGGCTGGACACTAGCAGAAACTTCCAATGTGGGAGCTCATGTTGTTCAATTCTGGCAAATTTTCGTGTTTCATGATTTCCTCCCTCCATTTTCTCTCTTTCTGAAATGGCTCTTTTTCCTACATATTCTGTTTTATTTTCCGTCTTGTCTTTTTTTCTTTGTTGCTGTTTTCTGAGAAATTTCTTTAACTTTGACCTCTAACTCCATTATTCAGAGTTTTAAAAAATCTGCTGCATTTGGCCGGGCACAGCATCTCATGCCTGTAATCCCAGCACTTTGGGAGGCCAAGGTGGGTGGATTGCTTGAGCCCAGGAGTTCAAGACCAGCCTGGGCAACATGGTAAGACCCTGCCTCTACAAAATATATAAAAATTAGCTGGATGTGGTGGCCTGGGCCTGTAGCCCCAGCTGCTAGGGAGGCTGAGGTGGGACAATCACTTGAGCCTGGGAAGTCAAGGCTGCAGTGAGCTGAGATCACACCATCGCATTCTAGCCTGGGCAACAGAGTGAGATCCTGTCTTAAAAACAACAATAATCTTTTATATTTTTCATCTCTCATAGCTCTGCATGTTTTTTCAACAGTCTCTTGTTCTTGTTTCAAGATGCAATGGTTTCTCTGATCTCTTTGAGCCTATTAGTCCTGGCTCCAGCAGTGCTTCTATTTCTGTCATCAGCTCAGTTTCCTCAGTTCCTTTCTTGCTGTTTGTCTTGCCTCCATCTTTCATGCCAGAGGCTTTTCTCAGATGTCTGGTGGTCCTTGGTAGTTGTTCATATTTAAGAGTAAGTCACTGAGAAACTGATTGGAATATGTGTATATGTGTGTGGATAGCATGGGAGCTTGCCACTGGTAGGTCTCAGTATAGAGTAATCTGGTGGAGAATAGGCTGTTTCGTTGGGGGACAGTTATCTGTAGGACTTTTCTTGGGGAGGGTCTTCCTCAGAAGGAATACCTCTAATTCCCTGTCTGGATTGTAAAAGCTACCAGCTTTCTGGAAGCTGAGTGCGGGAAGGGGGCAGAGAAGGTCTCAGTCTCAGCTACTCTGCTACTAGTTGATTGCAGTTTATTGGCCCTGCTTGGTGTCTCAGGATTCAGAGTCCCTTTGGGGAAATTCTCAAGCATAAACATCTAGTTTCTCCTGGAGTAATCGTGGAGTGGTTGGGTTCAGACAAGGAAGGGAGAGAGGAGCTATAGCGGCCTCTGCTTTTTTTTTTCTTTTCCCGAGATGGTGTCTCGCTCTGTTGCCCAGGCTGGAGTGCAGTAGCACCATCTCGGCTCACTGCAAGCTCTGTCTCCCGGGTTCACACCATTCTCCTGCCTCAGCCTCCCGAATAGCTGAGACTACAGGCGCCCGCCACCACGCCTGGCTAATTTTCTTGTATTTTTAGCAGAGACGGGGTTTCACCGTGTTAGCCAAGACGGTCTCGATCTCCTGACCTCATGATCCACCCGCCTTGGTCTCCCAAAGTGCTGGGATTACAGGCATGAGCCACCGTGCCCGGCCGCCTCTCTGCTTTTTATATAGATCTCTAGCTCACCCTCCCATTTCTAGTTCACTTGTTCCTCACTGTCAGAGGTACCTGGTGCCCCCTATTCCAGAGACTTTCCAGAGTTCTTAAAAATTCAGAGTTAAAAAGTTCCAGAGTGTAAATATGCTTTGCCTCTTGGCTTCTCTCTGGGCAAGCACTGGGCTTTCTTTGTCTTTGTTTTCCAGATTCCAAAATTTGATTGCTATAATCTACTTTCCTGATCTCTTTGACCCCATGGATTTTATCCATTTACAATAATTTTAGTATTGGCACGGGGCTCCCCCATGTAGGGTGGTGCAGGGAGACTCACTAACCACAGGAGGTCCTGCCCGGGGCTCCTCCTTTACCCCCCTCCTTTTGGGGCAGGCTGGAGGGAGGGTCAGGTAATGCTGCTCACACAAAGCCTGCCTAGAAGTCCAGAGGTGGGGGGTACTCTGGGCCTCAGCTGTCAAGACTGGCAACCCTTTAACCCCTGATGACCCAGAAAATACCCTCCCTTAAAATGTCTGAGTACCACGCTTCTTTGGCATCAGGGAGGGGACGGGAGTGTGGTGTCCTCTAAGTCTGCTCCCTGCTTGGCCGGGCTGTTTGCAGCTCCTTGGTCACTGAGTCCTTGACTGCAGGGGAAGAGAGGTTGGCCTCAGGCTCCAGGTTAGGCCACGGTTCTGAGAACGGGTGTGGGGGATCAGGCTTATATTCCATGCTAGAGCTCTGGAGTTGGTGCGTGGGGTTGGGATGGGGCTGCAGAAGTGCCTTTTAAGATTATGTGCATGGACTGATCTGTCATTGGTTCCCTGCCATCCTTATCTTTTGGATTCCCCTCGGAGCAGGGGGAGGAAGGAGTTTCTTTTGGGTTCCACTGAATCAAATGAAAGGGAAAGTAAAGCTGTTCCTATGTCCTGGGCTCTGGAGCTTCTATTCCTGATCCCTGCAGAAGAAGGAGACGGTGGTGGTGGTGGGTGGGGGTGGCGGGGCACAGAGGAAGCAGGTACCGGGCCCTGCACCCCATTCCCACTCCCAGATCCCTCTGGACACAGCATTTTTCTCCAGTGAGCACAGCCTTCCCTTGCCCCACAGCCAACAGCAACATGCCTCCCAACAAAAGCATCTGCCCCTCAGCCAAAACCCCTGTTGCCTCTCTCTGGGGAAATTGTAGGACTGGGTCAGGGTGGGGGGACCATTCTCTGCAGGGAGATTAGGAGTGTCTGTCAGGGGTGGGTGGAGCGGGGTGGGGCCCTGGCTTACTCACATCCTCGAGAGTCCTTTGCTGGCAGATTTGGGGAGCCCACAGCACAGGTGTCTGTCTCAGTATTGTCTTCCAAGCTCCTAGGCCACAGTAGTGGGGGGCTCCCCTCTCTGGCTTCTTCTTTGGTGACAGTCAAGGTTGGGGGTGGGGTGAGAGAGGTCCTGCTTCTCTTCTAGGAACAGTTGATCCCAGGAAGAGCAGTGGAGCCTCCAGCAGGGGCTGTTGGGGCCTGTCTGAGGAGATAGGACGTGTCAGGCAGCCCCAGACACGACCACATTCCTCCCAACATGCCTGCTGGGGTCTGTGGAGCCCAGGGGCTGATGGGAGGGTGGGGTGGGGGCCGGAAGGGTTTGCTTTGGGAGGTTGTCTGGGAGATTGCTGAACTTTTGATATACACACCTCCAAAGCAGGACCAAGTGGACTCCTAAAAATGTCCCCTGACCCTTGGGGCTTCAGGAGTCAGGGACCCTCGTGTCCACTTCAGCCTTGCCCTTGGCACAGCCTGGCACCACTCCAGCCTCTACTCCTCCCCAGAACATCTCCTGGGCCAGTTCCACAAGGGGCTCAAACGAGGGCACCTGAGCCAGACTTCTGCCTACACTAGGGATGTTCTGGGGGTCTGAGAGGATATCTGGGGCTGGAAGAAAAAAAGGCCCCCCTAGGCCTGTTCCTGGATGCAGCTCCATCCACTCTGGGGCTAAGCCTGGGCTACAACAATGCCAACCAGGCTTCTTGCCATACTCGGTTTACAAAAGCCTTTCACATACGCTGTCGCATTGGCTTCTCACAGCTGACTGCAGTAGGCAGAGTAGATGGTATGACTCCCACTTTGCAGATGAGAACACTGAGGCTCAGAGAAGCGCCAAGCCCTGGGTCACGGGGCCGTAAATGGCAGAGCCAGGACCCACCTGACTCCAGGCTGTTTCCTGGCCTCCATGAGGCCACCCGCCCTATGGTGTGGTGGATGTCAGATCCTCACCGTAGGGAGGAAATTAGGGTCTGTGCCCAGGGCTGGGGAGAGCTGCCTGGATTTCTCTTTGATGGGGGTGTTGGGGTGGGAATCACCATACACCTGACTGGCTGAGTGTATTTCAGGGATGGGACAGGCTTCTCAGCACAGCATGGCAGGTCAGGCCTGGGAGGGCCCCCCAGACCTCCTTGTCTCTAACAGCGGGTCATGGTGAGGGAGGCCTCTCTGTGCCCAAGGTGACCTTGCCATGCCGGTGCTCTCCAGCTGGGTATCTGTCCCCTGCAGTGGTGGGCTTCCTCTAAGTGGATGTTAAAGGCCCATCCAGTTCATGGAGAGCTAGCAGGTCACCAGGTTTAAGGTGCAGAGGCCCTGCTCTCTGTCACCCTGGCTGAGCCCAGTGTGCGGGTTCCTGAGGGCTGGGACTCCCGGGGCCCCATGGGAAAGTGTAGCCTGCAGGCCCATACCTCCCCCTGTGAATCACGCCTGGCGGGACAAGAAAGCCCAAAACACCCCAAACAATGAGTTTCCAGTAAAATATGACAGACATGATGAGGTGGAGGAGAGGAGGGACCTGGCTGGGAGTTGGCGCTAGCCTGTGGGTGATGAAAGCCAAGGGGAATGGAAAGTGCCAGGCCCGCCCCCTACCCATGAGTATAAAGCACTCGCATCCCTTTCCAATTTACCTGAGCACCTTCTCTTCACTCAGCCAACTGCTCGCTCACTCACCTCCCTCCTCGGCACCATGAGCACCTGCAGCCGCCAGTTCACCTCCTCCAGCTCCATGAAGGGCTCCTGCGGCATCGGGGGCGGCATCGGGGGCGGCTCCAGCCACATCTCCTCCGTCCTGGCCGGAGGGTCGTGCCGCGCCCCCAGCACCTACAGGGGTGGCCTGTCTGTCTCCTCCTCCTGCTTCTCCTCTGGGGGAGCCTACAGGCTGGGGGGCGGCTATGGCGGTGGCTTCAGCAGCAGCAGCAGCTTCGGTAGTGGCTTTGGAGGAGGATATGGTGGTGGCCTTGGTGCTGGCTTCGGTGGTGGCTTGGGTGGTGGCTTTGCTGGTGGTGATGGCCTTCTGGTGGGCAGTGAGAAGGTGACCATGCAGAACCTCAACGACAGCCTGGTCTCCTACCTGGACAAGGTGCGTGCCCTGGAGGAGGCCAACGCTGACCTGGAGGTGAAGATCCATGACTGGTACCAGTGGCAGCGGCCTGCTAAGATCAAAGACTACAGTCCCTACTTCAAGACCATCGAGGATCTGAGGAACAAGGTGGGTGAATGGGCAGCAGAAGGTGCCATTCCAGCTAGCTCCTTCTGGGAACAATAGATGCCCCAGGACACTGACACCTTAAGATTTCTCCATAGGACAGAGCCCACCCCAGATCCCTTCTTTCGAGGTCTTGGATGCCCTAAGAGCTGATCAGTGAGAGGATGCTCTCTCCTTCTCCAGCCTGCTCATCCCCTTCTGATGTCAAATCCTCAGATCAAGTGAGATCAGTGATTCCTGTCCTTACATTTTACAGAGGAAGCAGTTGAAGCTTTGAGAGGTGCTGTGACCAGCTGCAGGTCACATAGCAAATTAATGGCAGAGCCAAGGCTGGGTCCCTTGTGTCCTACCTTCCAGCACAGGGGAGGAGCGAGGCTCTAACGGGACCAGGCAAGACATCCAAACCGCTCATTAGCTCACTAGTCTGGGCTGTGGCTGCCGCCGCCCATAAGCCTTGGTACAGTCTGGTCCCTCCCCACAGCCAGGCAGGCATGGAGAGCCTGCAGAGACAATCAGTGTGGCCCCTTGACGTGCCCTGCACAAAGGGAGCCTGGCAGGCTTGTGCCCTGTCTCCAGCCCCCTCCCCCCTGCTCCCACATCACCTGGGAGCCCTCCCTGCGGGAGTCTGCTGGGCTCTAATGCCTTGCATGGATTAGGGAAATTCAATGATGATGTGGGGAACTCCAGTCAGACTCAGGGGCCAATATATCTTCTTATTCTTCCCCCGAGTCCTCTTTTCTAATCCCCTGTGTCAGTTGGGTTTTATCTCTTGAGAAAGTTCCATTTGAAGTCCCATGGCCCGTGAGCTTGAAAAGGAATGTGCATCTCTGCAGAGGACTGGCAGGGCTGGCTGTTGCAGAGAGAAGAGAGGCCAGCTCAGGAAGGAGGGCTAGGGAGCCTCAGATTATTCTCCTCACTTGGAGGTGGGGAACTTGAAGCCCCAAGACCCATTAGGTTTTGCAGCAAGTCAGTGGCAGAATTGCGACCAGAACTCCTGGGCTTTTGATTCTAAGCCCGGGGCTGCATCTACCCCCTCTGTTGACCATGAGTTAGCAAAGTCTTAGGACAGGCCTGGGGCATCTGTTTTCCTTTAGGCTGCTATGGTCAAGTTTTGTGGGGGGAAAGGGGAATTCAGGCAAGAACATGAAGCAAGAGCTTAATGTAGGTTACAGTGAAGTCCAGCTTGTGAAGTCCATTTGACAAATTACCTGTGCCCTTTCCATCCTGCAGATCCTCACGGCCACAGTGGACAATGCCAATGTCCTTCTGCAGATTGACAACGCCCGTCTGGCCGCAGATGACTTCCGCACCAAGCGAGTTTGCAGTGGTGGGCCAGAACATCCAGTGTCCCCAAAGTAGGGCATTTTTTGAGCAGTGTTTCCCAAATAGAACTAGCCAGTGCCAGAATAGCTGCATGAAAACTCCCTGGGGTGCTTATAAAAGAATAAGACTCTTGGGCCCCACCCTTGGAGTTTTGATTCAGCTATTTATAGCAGGTTAGCTGGGAGATTCTGGTCCACAGCCAGGTTTCAGAACTGCTGCTTTAGGGAGAGGCACTTTCCACTTCCCCAGCTGCCCTTGAAGTATAGGAGGGAATCATAGTTGGAGGACTTATGCATTATTTGTTGGCTGAAGCTAGAAGCGCAACCCCCTCCTGAATTCTGCAGCAAGATGAACTGCCTCATCCCCAGGCCCCAGGAATGTTCATATCTGAGCAATCAATGGGCACTGTGTTCAACCATGCCATTTTCAAGATTGGCTCCTTAAACCACCCACAAGGCACCAGCTCTGGGAGAAGCTGCAGGGAGAAGAGAACAAAGCCCTCACTGTGGTCAGGATGGGTGTATCATTCCTTTTCTCTGGGGTCATTCCAGGTATGAGACAGAGTTGAACCTGCGCATGAGTGTGGGGGCCGACATCAATGGCATGCGCCAGGTGCTGGGGTGCTGGACGAACTGACCCTGGCCAGAGCTGACCTGGAGATGCAGATTGAGAGCCTGAAGGAGGAGCTGGCCTAACTGAAGAAGAACCATGAGGAGGTGAGAACTATATGGAAAAGCCAGCTTAAAAGAAGCGCAGGGAGACTGGGTACGGTGGTGCATGCCCATAGTCCCAGCTACTTGGGAGGCTGAGATGGGAGGATCACTTGAACACAGGAGTTTGAGTCCAGCCTGGGCAACAAGGCTAGACCCTGTCAAAAAAAAAAAAAAAAAGAGAGAGAGAGAGGGAAGGGAGAGTCAAGATAGAATTGTGATTCTGGGAGGGCAGTATTCAGGCCTGACTAAGGAACCCCAATCTGCTGCCGTGGTGGAACTCCTGACTGTGGACTGTCCCTGGCAGTGCAGGAGATGAATGCCCTGAGAGGCCAGGTGGGTGGAGATGTCAATGTGGAGATGGACGATGCACCTGGTGTGGACCTGAGCCACATTCTGAACGAGATGCGTGACCAGTACGAGAAGATGGCAGAGAAGAACCACAAGGACGCAGAGGAACGGTTCTTCACTAAGGTGGGTGTCATTTGAGGTGGAAGGAACCCAGACCACCTGCCTTCTGGGGACTTCTGGTGTGAATGGTGTTCTCTTTTTTGCAGACAGAGAAGCTGAACCACGAGGTGGCCACCAACAGCGAGCTGGTGCAGAGCGGCAAGAGCGAGATTTCGGAGCTCTGGCACACCATGCAGAACCTGGAGATTGAGCTGCAGTCCCAGCTCAGCATGTTAGGAATGGTGCCAGGCCCGGTGGTGCACCCAGAACTGGCAGGGAGAGAATGGCCACACTCACTAATCCTTGATTCCCTTTCCCTCCCTCACAGAAAGCATCCCTGGAGAACAGCCTGGAGGAGACCAAAGGCCGCTACTGTGTGCAGCTGGCCCAAATCCAGGAGATGATTGGCAGTGTGGAGGAGCAGCTGGCCCAGCTCTGCTGCGAGATGGAGCAGCAGAACCAGGAGTACAAGATCCTGCTGGACGTGAAGATGCGGCTGGAACAGGAGATCGCCACCTACCGCCGCCTGCTGGAGGGCGAGGATGCCCAATGAGTCTTGGCCCTCCCCTTAATCCGCCCCACCATGGCACTCTCACGGCCCCACCATGTATCTAATGACCCTGCCCTTTTCTGTCTTCACAGCCTCTCCTCCTCCCAGTTCTCCTCTGGATCGCAGTCATCCAGAGACCGGTAAGACCTTCATCCTCTGCAGGCCTGGGCTCCAGGCCGCCCTCTGTACCCCAAGCAGGTCTAGGCATTGGCTAGGGGCTCCGTGAGGGGCTGAGCTCTAGTGATGTCACCCAGTTTCCCTTGGGAACCTCCTTGGGTGGAAGAAGCTATTTTCTAAACCCTCCTTAGGGCTAGGAGAGGCAGCCCCCACCTCTTACTTCTACCGGGTGTCTGTGGCAGATCCTATTGCTGTGGTGCTCAGCACCATGAACAGGGCCCTGCAGGGCTCCTCCCACCGAGACCACTCCATTGGGTGAATATGGACGGAACCAGCTGGGTGTGAGCTCTTAGGAAGCTCTAATCTGAAGACAAAGACTCTGTCTCTGACCTTTGGGAGCCCTAGTCTGAAAGAAATGTGTTGACGGTATCAGTGCTTGGGCAACAGCAGGGAGTGAAGCAGTAATCAGGGGAGAGGGCAACTGGGAGACAGTTTGAGTTTCCTCACCTTCTTGGCCTCCTTACTCCTGATTAGTCCATTGTCTGTCCACCTCTGGTAATGTCCTCTTTCCGCCTCTTCCCCAGTGACCTCCTCCAGCCACCAAATCCACACCAAGATCATGGATGTGCACGATGGCAAGGTGGTGTCCACCCACGAGCAGGTCCTTCGCACCAAGAACTGAGGCTGCCCAGCCCCGCTCAGGCCCAGGAGGCCCCCTGTGTGGACACGGATCCCACTAGAAGATCCCCTCTCCTGCCGCCTAAGCACTTCACACCTGGACCCTGCTTCACCCTCACCCCCTCCTGGCAATCAATACAGCTTCATTATCTGAGTTGCATAATTCTCACCTCTGTCTGGTCATTGTTAGGAGTGGGGATGGGGAGAAAGTGGGAGAAGCATCTCTTTGGAGCTTGTCATAGCACCTGGCTATGGCCCCTGGGACTGGGAAAAAGGTCCTGTGGGTGGGTTGGGCTCAGGTCCCAGGATATCTTTCGCCATCTCAGAAGACAAAGATAGATGTGTGTACCAGGTCATATGTGGCGTCTCCTAGGGTACAGAGAGATATTCATTCATTTCCTCACTCATTTTCATGTGTGTCCATTCATTCACCAGATATTGAGTGCCGCTATGTCAGGCACTATGTTAGGTTAAGGATTCCTAATGTTTTTGTGATCAGGGATTCCTTGGAGAATATTGAAAGCTATAGATCTTTCCTTCTGCCCCTACCTTCAAATAAGCACACATACATTTTCATATAGTTTCATGGGGTTCAGGGGTCTCCTAGAGCTCCTGGAGGTCCATGAACTGAAGGTAGGAACTCAAGCTCTCCTGACAGTCTTGTCAGGCAAAGCAACGACAGTGCAGGCAAAGCAACGAGGGTCTTGCCTGCAACACTGGAGGTTCCTTGATGGAAGGAACTATGATCCTCCAAACATCCAGTGTCCTCCCCAGGCCCCACAGGCACAGGTCTTTGATCTTAATGGGGGCTCAATAGGCCAGAGGGATGGGCAAATAATAAGCAACGGAGCTGAGAACCCAAGTTGCCCAGATGGTCCATGGGGAAGTTGGGTGCAGCCACAGTGCCACCGACAGTCAGGACGATGTCCCACTACGTGCCGGACCCACACCAGCAGTTTTACAATATGAGCTCTTTTAAGCCTCACAACAACCTCATGAGGCCAGAACTTTTTGTTGTTGTTGTTGAGACCAAGTCTCGCTCTGTCACGCAGGCTGGAGTGCAATGGCACAATCTGGGCTCACTACAACCTCAGCCTCCCAGGTTCAAGCAATTCTCCTGCCTCAGCTTCCCAAGTAACTGGGATTACAGATGCCCATCACCATGCCCAGCTAATTTTTGTATTTTTAGTAGAGATGGGGTTTCACCATTTTGGCCAGGCTGGTCTCGAACTCCTGACCTCAGGTGATCCGACCACCTTGGCCTCCCAAAGTGCTGGGATTACAGGTGTGAGCCACTGTGCCTGGCCAAGGTCAGAACTATTTTTTTTTCTCCCACCGAAATCCTTTGCTTGACTTAACCCACTGCCCTTTAGCCACACAGGACTCCTGCCCTGGCAGTCACTTTGCTTGTTTCCACCTCAGGACATTTGCACATGCTGTATGCCCCTCCCCTTTTTCCTTCTCCTGGCTCACTTCTCCTCCCCCTTCACTCAAGTGTCTCTTTCTCAGGGAGAAGGTCACTGATGCCCCCAACCATGCCACACCCTTTATTATGTGCTCTCCATTCCCCCACCAACCGTGCTCACCTCAGTTGTGAATTGCGTGTTTATTTTTGCAGGTCTATTTTATTCCGTAACTGTTCATCAAGATAAGGGCTTGCTCATTACTTTATCCCCAGCACTCAACCCAATGCCTGGCACATAGTAGGTGCTCAATAAAGGATGAATCTGAATTTACAGTGAGGAAACAGGTTCAGAGAGGGGAAGCAACTTTCCCCAAATAAGTGGAAGAATCCAGCTTTACACTATGACCTGCCTGGCTCCGAAGCCGGTGCTCTCAGCCTCCCTGCTAGGTGTGTCCCAGCAGACACAAGCCTGGGGTGCCTAGACTCAGGTGGAGGCACCTATGCGGGCCCACTCCATCCCCTCACTGTGGTCTGATAGGGTCTGGCTGGGCAGAGTGTTGGCAAGTGCCTGTTGTATGAGAAAGAATCAGTGTTGACAGACAGGTGCAGGTACCCACAGCCCTGCACCAGTGGGCAGTGCACACCTGCCTAGATGGCTCATGGAGGCTCCAGGGGAGGAGCCGTGACTCAGCGGGTTCTCCCTCTCCCAGCAGCCAGCCACATGCTGACTCAGGTCCCTCACTTGCCCCACCTGGGGATCAATGACAGACAGCAATGGGGAGTAAGTTGAGGGTGTGGGAAGCAAGAGGGCTCCCACGACCAGAGCAAAGCTGTCCTTGTGCTGCCTCCAGGTCCCCATGTCCCCAGTGGACGATACCTTTGCCTCTGGGGACAACTTGCAAGTAGGATCTTTGGTTCCCTCTCTGTCCCTCTGTCTGCCTATCTGGGTCCTTGCAGCCCTTCTCTCCTACTCCATCCACTCCCCAAATGGAGGGCCTGCATTTGGGATGCTGGCACTGGGTCCAGGCTGCAGCCTTGCATGTTGGCTGGAGAGGCAGTGTTGATTCTCATTGGGTCTCAGGTGCCGGGGTGCCGTGGGCTCTATGGTTTCCATTCCTGGTTCATTCTTTGGAGGGTTCCCATGGGAGGTGTTGAAGTTGGGGCTCAGAGGGCAGACCCTGAGCCCTGAGAAGCTGGAAGAGTGAGCCATGTCACATGACCTAGAAGAAATCATTCACTCAGGCCACGGCTGTTGGCCTTCCTCATCCCTGGCCCCATCTCGCCCAGTCTGCTTCCCATGCCAGGCAGAGAGCTTGGGAGAAGGGAAGAGATGGTGCCCTGCTGCAGCTGGAGCAAGACTTCCTATCTGGACCGTAGGAGCTGCAGGCACAGCAAGCTCCTCTTTGTATTGGAACAAGGCCAGATGTAGGGGGACGAGGGCCAATGTGGCAGGGGTGACATGTGGGCAGCAGTTGGGCATTCATCTAGGGAGCCCTCTGTCTTTTTTTTTTTTCTTTTTTTTTTTTGAGACAGAGTCTCACTCTGTCACCCAGGCTGGAGTGCAGTGGCACGATCTCTGCTCACTGCAAGCTCCGCCTCCCGGGTTCACGCCATTCTCCTGCCTCAGCCTCCCAAGTAGCTGGGACTACAGGTGCCCGCCACCACACCCAGCTACTTTTTTGTATTTTTAGTAGAGACGGGGTTTCACTGTGTTAGCCAGGATGGTCTCGATCTCCCAACCTCGTGATCTGCCCGCCTCGGCCTCCCAAAATGCTGGGATTACAGGCGGAAGCCCTCTGCCTTTATGGCCCTTGGCAACAGTGCACGAAGGGGCTTCTCATGAGGAAACTGAGGCCAACTTTGAGGACCACAGGGGGAGGGAGGATGAAACTGGCAGGTGGCCCAGCCCTGCCTGGCTGGGGAGCTACTGCGCTCTCCACCCCACAGTGGTCCTCATGCACAGCTCACTTTCCCTGGCAGCTGGGAGGAATTCTGAGGGATGAAGCCTGCTGCCTCGGGCTGAGTGAGGCTTCGGACAGGGCTAGAGGGTGGGAAGTGGAGAAGCGGGGTGAGGACAGGGGTTGGAGTTTGGCACCAGGGCTGGAAACCAGGGCCATCTGTCAAGAGGCTTAGCTGGCCAGGGGTGCCCCAGCTGGGAGCTTCTGCTCAGTCAGGCGGGTCTCAGCTATTCTTAGTATCTCCCAACACAGATACATTTGCAGATGACAGAGCAGGGTTCTGGAAGTGCCACTGTGCTAGCTCTCTCCAGCGTGGCCCATCCATAGCACCACCGACTTCCCCATCCAGCTCAGGGACCTGGGACCTGGGGCTTACATCCCGACCAGAGTGGCGGCATCAGCATGGGCATGGGGAAGAGGGTAACTTCCCAGGCCTTGGAACACATTGCGGCAGATTCTGGGCTTCCCAGCAGAGCTTGGCAAAGACGTTGAATGGTTTAAAACCATTTAAGAAAGTAGAAAGGGAATCAATTATACCCACTAGCCTTGATCTAAGAGTCTTCCATGTATTAACCATTCATAAAATGCCTTCAGTATTCTCTGAATATTGAATAAAAGAGAATGATATTCTCTTAATTTTCAAAACTTAAACTACCTGTTCAATTTTTAATTTAACATATTTTGTACCACCCATTTAAATATTTATTTAACACATTTTGGTAAATTAACTCACCTTTCATTTCAATAAATATATTTATAAAGGAAATCTTACATTACTACCAAAAAAGGAAAATCATAATCACTTGCCAGAAGCAGAAGGAAATGACATACAGAAATACTTAACTTCTAACTAGATGCTGTTACTTTCTAAAGGTGCTGAGCCCAAAGCTGGCTCTCTTTTTTTGAACAGGGTGATTGACAAGTGTCGTGGGGCGTTACAGAGGCCATAGTGTCCAAATGAGATTTCATCCTTGACTAATCAGAAGATTGAAAAATAGAAAAAGAGGCCAGGTGCAGTGGCTCATGCCTGTAATCCCAGCACTTTGGAGGCTGGGACAGGAGGATCATTTGAGCCCAGGAGTTCAAGATCAACCTGGGCAACATAGGCCTGGCTTGTAGAAACCCAGGAGGTTTCTCTGGGTTGCATTTCTTTTACAATGGCCCAGCACTTGCAGGAGGCCTCCAACCAACTGCAGAGGTCCCCCTGGTTTTCCTCGGGATTAAAGTTTGCTCTCACAGGACATGTCTGCCTCTCCTCTCCTGGTCTGGGTGGGTGTTCTCTAGCAGGACAAACAGAGTCTCTGGCCAGTTTTTAGAAACTGTGTTTTTGTTTCCTAGAGGACAGAGGGCTCAGAAGTGTAGGCAGCTCCCAGCTTTGCCAAACCAAGCAACACTCAGTTACAGAGGGCAGGGCGGGGGGCAGAGGCCAGTGGTGGAGCCAAGACCACCTGAAAGAGATGTT
This sequence comes from Homo sapiens, assembly GCF_000001405.40. Lineage (NCBI taxonomy): Eukaryota > Metazoa > Chordata > Mammalia > Primates > Hominidae > Homo > Homo sapiens. The sequence continues at coordinate 16,813,320 of NC_000017.11, read as the reverse complement.
GGCCTACCACTCTATGGCAGCGTCACCCCCTCTTCACTGTCCTCAGTGACGCTGACCTTTCCTTCTTGGCTTCTGCACAATGAGAATCATCTAATTATTTCTACACTCATCTCTCCACTGCTGCCTCTAGATGCTCCCTGAGGGCAGGGCTGATGTCTGTTGTATTTCCACACCTGCCCCAGTGCTGAGCACGGAGAGATGTGAAATAAACCATCACTGAATGAGCTCAGTGAGTGAGTGAACAGCCAGTGCAGAATCTCCCCTGCGTTCAGGCTGCACAATCAGGAAGACTAAGGACCACTGGGCTCTCACCAAGGGTTGGGTGCTCTCCAAGTCTGATCTCATTAAATTGTCTCAAGAGTAGTGGGACAGTGGAGTGGTGGAAGACTTGGACTCAGCAGTTAGACCATCCAGGTCCAAATCTCAGCTCTCCACTTAAGTGTGACTTTCTGTGCCACATGTAAAATGCACACAGTACCTACCCTACATGGTAACTGATCATATACATACAGAAGGCTTGGTTTACTGTCTGGTTCATAGAGCTCTCTCCCACATGCCTCCTATTACCATTAACAAGTCTGGGCTGTAGGTGTTCCCTCCCTCCTTGAACTGATGAGGGAACTGAAGGGGCGGAGCATGACTGCTCCACAGCCTCTGCCCCAGGCTCACCTCGAGTGTGGTACATGAGCACGGCCACAGTCAGGTGGATCGCTGTGGGCGTGTGATCCTGGGAGGAGCTGATGGAGTAAAACCTGGGCTTCAGAATGGGGAGCAGGGAGAGCAGGAAGCCAGCAGACACCTGCAGGGATGGGAACTCCTCCAGCAGCTCCAGGAACGTGGGGCTGTTGGTGAACTTCCACTTGCTGTACTCTGAGGACTGAAAGCCAAGGGTGATGTGAGCGACTCAGGGCGCCTGCCCCGCTTTGGGGAAAAGGCTGTCACAACCCAGTATTCATTCATTTCTTCACTCACTCAACAAACAAGTCCATGCGCCAGGCACTGTCCAGGGTGCTGAGACTACCAAGCTTGAGAAGAAATAGTTCCTGTCCTGGAGGAACTCAGTCCGGTACACTTATCTAACTTATGTGACCTCCACTGTCAGCAACTCATGGGCTGGGGTCAAATCTTTGTTGAATGGCACTTTCCCCAGCTGTCGTATCCTAGGCAGTTTGGGTGGTAGGTGGGCAAATCATTAAAAACAAATCAAAATCTCTAGTGAGAAAATCTTTTTCACTGTCTTTCAATCTTGCCGAATCCTTTGAGGGGTCTGGTGCTAGGCTAGGCTTACTCTCAAACCCTTGTAAATCCGTCCCTCCTGCCTGAAAACACTCTCCCTCAGCCCCTGCTTTTATCAAACAGAGCAAAAGCAGCTCTCAAGCTCAGAAGGTTTACCACTGTAGAATTTAATGATATTGTTTTGTTTTATTGCATTTATTTTTGTGATTACTTTCCATTAATGGCAAGTGGCATTATTTTTCCATTTAGAGTGATTTAAAATTTTTCTTAAAACACAGGTAATCAAATTTTAAAAACTGAGTTGATTTCTATGAAAATATTAAGTAATGGTGTAGGTTCTACACAGATATGACACTATGGAACAGATGGTTCCTGGAATTTGGGAAATGTTGATGGGAGGTGTTCCCTAACCTGACACTGCTTAGAACGTTGATGGGCGGCATTCCCTAACCTGGCACTGCTTAGAACGTTGATGGGTGGCGTTCCCTAACCTGGCACTGCTTAGAACGTTGATGGGCGGCGTTCCCTAACCTGGCACTGCTTAGATAGGGGAGACACCTCTGAACACAATAGTGTTTGTAGTGCCATTTAGGTCTACTGGGATCTGATAACTCATGGGTCTTCTTTTTTCTTTTTAAATAAATAATTACCTTTTCTTGATCACTATTGTATAAAACTTGGAAATACAGAAAAACATGTAGAATAAAAGAAAATATAGAAAAATATATAGAATAGAATGAAAAATCACTCATCATCTCGCCACTCAGAAATAACCACTCCTAATATATTGGTAAATGTTTTTCTCTCTGTGCACCAACATAGCTGTTATTATAGTACATATATTTTATTTTTGTAGCCTGTTTTATTTCCTTAACCTCATAGTATAAGCATGTTCCATATCATTCAAAATTCTTTATAAACATGGTTATAAATGGCTGTAAGATATTTAATGTAGAGAAGCCTCATAATGGATTTAATCATTCCCTAGCTGTTGGACATTTAACTATTCTCCAAATGTTGGGTTGTTTCTGGTTCTGCCTATTATCATGTTGTGATGAATATATTTTTGTTTGTTTGTTTGTTTGTTTGTTTAATAGACAAGTCTCACTCTGTTGCCCGGGCTGGAATGCAATCATGTGATCATAGCTCACTTTAGCCTCAAATTCCTGGGCTCAAGCAATCTTCTTCCCGCATCCTCCCAAAGCACTGGAATTACAAGTGTGAGCCACGGCACCTGGCCTGAATATTTTTATGCACAGCTCTTTGTCTTTATTTTAGATGGTTTCCTTATAGTAATTTCAGAAGTGGCATTCCCAAATGGGAAGATTTTGTAAGGCTTTTAGGATACGTATTGCTGGACTTTTTTTTAGAAGGATGAAACATGAAGGTATTCAGATCCCCTGGACCTACATGATGGGACATACCCTAATTTGTGTGTGGGGTGGTGTTGTCACTAGAAAGAGCTCAGACTCTGCTACATTGGGCAAGTTACCCAACTTCACCAACTCCTGTTGGTTCAGGTCTGAGTAGTCACTTCCCAGAAACCCAAGAGTGACTGTTCTTCACAGCTAGGCTCATGAGTGCTCATATTTTAGCTTTAAAAGTACAGATGTGGGCTGGGCATGGTGGCTCATGACTGTAATCCCCGCACTTCGGGAGGCCGAGGTGGGTGGATCACTTGAGGTAAGGAGTTCAAGACCAGCCTGGCCAACATGATAAAAACCCATCTCTACTAAGAAAACATAAAAGTTAACTGGGCATGGTGATGCGTGCCTGCAGTCTCAGCTACTTGGGAGGCTGAATCAGGAGAATCTCTTGAACCCGGGAGGCAGTGCTTTCAGTGAGCTGAGATCATGCCACTGCACTCCAGCCTGGGCGACAGAGCGAGGCTCCAAAGTACAGATGTCATTAACTTCAGTTTGTGTTATTTCCCTTTCACGAGAAGGGCTCAACAAAAATATTTGGGAAAACTACTTGTCTCAACAGCCTAAAATGCTTTTTTTGTAGCAGAAGCAGGAAAGGTTTGACCAAACATACCTGACATTAGGAAGAAATGCAACAGGGGCTCACGCTTCCTGGTGTCCACGATGCATGTGCCAGGAGCCGAGCAGAGGGCCTGGTGTTGAGCATTTCTAATCTTCCCAAGCAGCTTTCCCCACCACGGATTACACAAAACATTGGTTCTGCAGGATGCTAACAGGTATTCCTTGCAAAAAGGAATTTTGTTGTTTAGAAAAACTGAGTTAATGAAAGTGGAACCCATTCTTTTGTTATTTGAGAATTCCCAAGATGAGGATATGATATTGAGCATTTGCCAAACTCACTTGATAATAAAAACCTTTTCCATCTCATAGGATTGATGTTCCAAAGACCAAACTTTGAGAATCACTGCTGACAACAAGCTTACAATATAATATTTCTCTTTGTATCTCACAAATAGGAAAGCTGAGGTCAGGTAAATTGACCAAGATAGCAAAACCTAGTGATTCAAGGACTCAGGGTCAGAACCCAGAGCCACCTGACCTCAAACCCATGTTCTGTTCCACTCTCTCCCCGAAAGGGGCTCAGACTGTAGGGTGCCCCTGACCCAAGTGAGTGCCTGAAGCCAGAGGGCGAATATGAAATCAATATCAGAGCTTGAATAGAGAATCCCAAACTGACTGTGTTGATCCTGGAGACTGGGCCACACTAGAAACTGATGCAGGGTGAATAAGCCAAGGAAATGAGCAGCCTGGAAGCTGAGCATGAGGAAGGCAGTTGGGATAAATTTTGGGGACTGCATGGACTGCTGTGTCATGGAATCAGCTGGCTTATGGGGGAACAGGATTCATCTCTTGTACCTGGGGTAAGGTGGAGAGAGGAGGAGGAATAATAATCTATTTGAGGGCTGCCCAAGAGTCTCCTCTTATTGCCTCGCAGCTCTTGACTACGTTAATTCTCCATGCCTCCCACTATGAAATCATCAAGTATTCTTCTGTCTCCTGTTGTCCCCAGAGTCTCAGCCTGGGCTGTTTTCTTCTAGGGCTCTGCTTTTCCACAGCTTTAAAACCTCTCCACGTGCATTATTCTGGCTTCAGAGGTGTGGAAGAAATGGATTCTGATAACGCAATAGCATAATATCTAAAGCACTGCTGGTCCATGCACTCGACAAAGATTCATGTCCCAGGCGCTGGTCTAGGCACCACAGATACATTAGTGAGCCATCCGGACACAAATTCCCGGCCTCATGGCATAGCCCTTTGCTGAGGGAGAGACGATAAGCCAGATAAAGAAGTCAAATGTTAGACAGTGATCCGCAATAAAGAGAAAAGGGGGAGGGGCCTGACATTTCAGATTGGGTGTCCAGAGGGCCTTACTGAGAAGGGGCTTTTGAATTTCCATCACAGCCTTTTGAGCAGAGAAGGGATTTAACATTTGCTGCACTTCTGGCAGCTGACAGGCATTGCACACTTATATATCCCATATTTTCTTTTCCCCTGTAACTTAACAGATGAAGACAGTGAGGCTCCAAGAAGGCAAGTCATTTTTCCTCATTAGAAACTTGTTCTGACACCAGAAAGCCCACGCTCTCTCTGCAATCTCACACTCTCTTCTTGAAATAACCATGTCAGCCACTATGTTACCCCATTTTATAGGAAAGGAAACAGAGGCCAGAGAGCCTTGGGGGCCTGCAGAGCTGGGACTGGAGTTCATGTCACCTAACGCCCAGTCCAGTTTTCTTTCTGCTTTAGTAGACTGGGAGCAATGAGTATAGGATTGGTTTTTTGTTTTTTGTTTTTTTTTTGTTTTGGTTGTCTTTTGTTGTTGTTGTTGTTGAGATGGAGTCTTGCTCTGTCACCTAGACTGGAGTGCAGTGACACGATCTCGGCTCACTGCACCTCCACCTCCTGGGTTCAAGCGATTCTCCCACCTCAGTCTCCCGAGTAGCTGGGACTACAGGTGCGTCCAGCTAATTTTTTGTCTTTTTAGTAGAGACGGGGTTTCACTGTGTTAGCCAGGATGGTCTTGATCTCCTGACCTCGTGGTCTGCCTGCCTCAGCCTCCCAAAGTGCTGGGATTACAGGCATGAGCCACCGTGCCTGGCTTGTTCTTTCTTTTTTACTGGCGTACAGAAAGAAACAAAAGACTCAAGGGCTTGTCAAAACTTCTATGCATGTGAAATGATAGAAGTTGACTTAACAAGAAGCGGCAGTGACCAAATGACTCAGCACCCGATTGCACCGCACCGGTCTCTTGAACAGCTGCGAGGAGACTAAAGCCTTCTAAACGCTTCCAGTGGAAGGATGGGCCACAGGCCAGCAACATGGGCAGGACCTGGGAGCGTGTTAGATGTGCAGAATCTCAGGCCTCATCCCAGACCTACTGGATCAGAATCCACATGCTAACCAGGTGATCATATGCATGTTAAAGTGTAAGAAGCCCTGCTCTGACTGCCCCATCCTGTGGTGCAATGAGGCTGGGTGTCCCCACAGAGCAGTCAGGAAGCCTAGGTATAGTTATAGGAAGACTCATGCCAGGTAGGACTGCGGAGCTGGGGTGACATGGGCAGAGGCCTCTGCAGAAGCTTAGCTCTGGTTCTCCCAGCAGCAGCAGCTCATTTTAGAGGGACTGAAGGGGAGGGTATGGGATGGTGGTGTTTCTGTTTCATTTACTGTCCCATTGAGACTAGGACTGGTGGAAGAGATGTTCTCTATGACCTGCTGAAACCTGAGAAGGAATCTGCAGGAATAAACAAAGCCTTTAGAGCTTACTAATTCTGATATTTGGAGGCCTTTGCAAGGTTTAATTCAATTTATTATTTACTGATGACCTACCGTGTACCAGACATTGCACTAGGTACTGGGAATACAAAGGGAATCAAATGTCCTAGTGTTGTATTGGGAAGGGAGGGTCACATTCTTGCATGTGTCTGTGTTTGGGGATGAGATGAGTGAGGGGCAGGCCTGCAGGGATAGAGCAATTGCATACTCGGTGTCACCTGGGTCCCGAGGGGCAGGACGAAGGACAGATTAAGGAAGGCTTCCTGGAGGAGGTGGCTCCTAAGCTGTCAAGTAGGCTAAGAAATGCTCTATGCATGGGCTACCCACTTCCATACACTCGCCACACACACTGACTCACATGCACTCACACACAAACTCCCGCCCACACTCACACATCCGCATCCACACACACACTCACAGCATGTATACCTATTCCATCCACACACACACTCACATGCATCCACACACAATCTCCCACCCACACTCACACATCCGCATCCACACACACATTCACAGGCATGTATACCTACTCCATCCACACACACACTCACATGCACTCACAATCTCCCACCCACACTCACAATGCACATCCACACACACACTCACAGCATGTATACCTACTCCATCCACACACACATATAGGCAAATTCACACACACCCACACATGTGCACAGGCACCTACACACACACACACACCACATATTGTAGTATTTTTCTGGAGAAACAGAGAAACAGTCACTCTTTTGAAGAACCTCAGAAACTGCACAAGAAGAGCTCTTAATTTATCATCAAAATTCAGATAAAGTTGAGGTCTAACTTCCAAGAAGATCTAGACTGTTTTCCAGATTGTTATAAATGCATCTTCGGACATGAAGGAGCACCTCACGGTTGCATTCAGATACCTCCTAGGATGTGATTTAGTCTTGATGATTATCATTACATGTCAGTGAATATAGTTTGATGGAAACTTTTAGGGAAACAAAAATTTTCAGAAACTGTGTCCAGATTTACTGTAGTAGTAGTAAACTCTGAGGATACATTTTTTGACCAGGCAACTATTGTTGGGGGCCCTATACCTGACTTGGAGAGGTGTGTTCGTGCCTTTTAGGTAAGATGAGGAATAGAGGGCCCTCAGACTTAAGAGCTACATGTGATATTTGAGATAAATTGATCCTTAACATTTTTCCCAAGTCAGAGTTCTCATTACTTGTCTCCTTGATGCCAATAGAGTAAAATGCAAAATGGCTCAAAGCCCCTCCCTTTCAACTGGCCACATCCTGGCTTTCCTGGGCTCTTTCTACTGAACCAAGCTCTGTGTTCCAAGAAATCATCCTGTCCTCAAATCTCTGTACCTCGTTCTCTGCCGAAGCCATGCCCAAGCAGTTCCCTTTGCCTGGTATGTTTCCCTCTCTCATTTTCCTGCAACACTGCCCCTCAACGTCTTCAATGTGAAGTTCCAGCCCCTCCTTCTAGAAGCTTCCAGAAGCCAGTATTGGGCTTTGGCATTAAACAGCCTGTGTTCAAACTCCACCTCTGTCATTGACAGGGTGACTCTGAGTATGTGGGTCCTTTTGAGCCTCTGTTTTCTAATCTTTAAAAAAAAGGGAGGGGAAAATATTTACTTCACACTTTTATTTAGTTTGTCAAAGATTAAATGAGACAATGTGAGTGAAACTGACCAGCATACAGGAGATAGTCAAGAAATAGTTCAGTGGATAATGGCATTTCTCTCCTGATGAAGTTGGATTAACCCTCTCTTCTACAGTCCGGAACGATCTGTACCTTATACAGCTGCCTTGGATCTGAGGTTTCTGGGTTTGTGAGGTGGGCTCATCTCGGTCTCTTGCCTGGCGACTTTAGCATAATCCTTGCTCAAAAATTTAAATTAAATGAAGTAGACTCTTTGGGTATCGCTTTCTTTTTTTCTGCCACATTCCTTCTAACAGCCACCGAGCCTGAAGACAGCAAAGCTGCCCAGACTTTTCTCCTGGGTTCCAGCCCCTCCTGTCTGACTGCTCAAAAGAATCTCAGCAAGCAGGTCTCACAGGCACCTCAAATCCAGCCTGTGTAAACCTGAGCTGCCTGGGTCCACACTCCTATATCCTAGAACCATGGTTCTCAAATGTGGGTGTTTTTGCCCCCCAGGTTACATTTGGCAGGGTCTGGGGATGTTTTTCTTTGTCATGACTCAGACAGAGGGTCCTTCCTGGCGTCTTGTAGGCAGAGGTCAGGGGTGCTGCTGAACATCCCACACTGCATAGGACAGTCTCCGTAACAAGGAATGATCCTGCCCCAAGTGTCACTAGTGCTGGGTTGAGAAATCCTGATCGAGAGGGAGCCTTTACCTGGTAGGTCAGGCCATTGCACTGCTCTGCTCACCATCCCCCGGGACTGGTGTTGTGGAAGACAATTTTCCACGGACTGGGGGGATGGGGGGAATGGTTTCAGGATCAAACTGTTCCACCTCAAATCATCAGGCATTAGATTCTCATAAGGAGGGCACAACCTAGATTGCTAGCATGCGCAGTTCACAATAGGGTTCGTTCTCCTGCGAGAATGGCATGCCGCTGCTGATCTAACAGGAGGCAGAGCTCAGGCGGTAATGGGAGCAAGGGGGAGCGGCTATAAATACAGCTCACCGCTCACCTGCTGCTGTGCAGCCCGGTTCCTAACAGGCCATGGACGGTGCTGGTCTGTAGCCCAGGAGTTAGGGAATCCTGCTCTACAGAGTTTCCAACCTCAGAGATGAAGCATCCCCTCTGTAAGTCAGAAAGAAATTATTCAAGTAGGAGAATTAAAACAGGATCACAGAGAGGGAGGCTGAAGAATTTGACATTCTGTGTTTACTTGTATGAGGAAAAACAGTACATAGAGGCATCCACAGTATTTAATTTGTTTGGATAATAGTTACAGATAAATAGGTACACCCCATATACAATTACCAATACTTTTTATACAGTTCATATTTCAGTACATCAACACTATTTTATTTACACTCTATTTATGCACATTAACATCTTTCTAAAGTCAGTGCATTGTCAACAAGTTTTATACAGTCATTTACAAGGTGAATGTGGTTAATAGTTAATTTAATAAATTTTCCGCTAGTTCATGAATTAAAAAAATTAATTACAACCAGTATAACAAACACAGATCAAACAACATTAGTAGATTGTGCTACCTGCTTAAATAAAACATCTGTAAAGAAATTATTTAAAATCTCCCACTTTTTAATGGGACATGTCCAGGTAGGAAAGGACAGATTTTATGTACTGAAAATCTTGAAACTATAAAGTATGCATTTTGTCTGACTTTATTACATTAGATAATTTAGGCCACTCCTACCTATTTGCAATTATATTTTTTCTGAAAAGGATTTCAATTTAGGTAGCCATTTAAGATAACCTTTCCAAATGCTCTGAGAACTAGACATTAATAGTTACTGGCCTCAGATATCAGAACACAAATGCTTAGTTACACTGGTAATTACTACCTATGAGGAAGAAAGTGTAGTGGAATCTGACAATTAATGAGAATCAACTTGCAGGGTCTAAATGAATAAACAAAGACCAAAAATAAGGTGAAACATTTCCTTCAAGTATATATTAAAAAACTACACGAAAAAAATTCTACCTGAAATAAATAATATTTATACTTTTGTGCCAGTCTTGAATAATTAGAGGAAAAAATGAAGTAAACAAAGAAACATAACTTTCAATGACTACTGTAAAATTTTTTAAAAAAGACTAATATCAAAATAAAAAAATTAGTGGACATGCAAACAAAGCAAAACTAAAGTTGACTTCCTAAAACCACCAATTTCATTAAATATACTTATGAACTCCTAATGTCTGGGATGTGTTTTGTTTGTAATTTATAGCCCTTAGAGCCATCAAATACACACAAGCAAGTTCATTTGCATGCGTTCTCTCTTTTTTAAAGTGCAAAATAAACACGGAAAAGAACAACCACTAATTGTGAAACGTGATCTAGCTCCGATGCTGCTTACCTTCCCAGAAGCTCTTGTTGCAACATGTGCATGTGAAGATGGTGCAAATATTGGCAACTGCTCCCCTTCCCTCAGCATGGGCGGGGCCGGGGGTGCAGAATACATTTCTGAGGATACTTGAAGTATCCTAAATGTAAGATGCCTCCACTGGGAGGGCCATGGTAGCTGGATTTCCCAGGATGTTTTTCTTTCTACTGGGTCTCCCTCTGGGTGGAAGGCACATAGCTCTTAAGAGAGCCTCCCTTTCAGACTGACCACTCTATGCCCCTGCCACCAATGACTGGTTGTATCTCAAACATAAACACAAAGGCAAAAACAAAAAGCAAGAAAGACAAAGAAAGGGTATGGAAACTTTAAAAAATAAATTGAAAAATCCTCGCCCATGCCGTAAGAATCATTTGCACACCTTCATGATCTTGCTTTCTCCATCTTGTCAACAGAATGGAATAAAACTTCAGGAAAAAGGAGGTAGCATATCATGTCATCCCTAGACAACATTATAATTTTTTGTTTTTTACTTTGACTCCAAGGAAATCTTTAATATTTGTTATGATTATTGATAAACTCTATACTCACTACATATTTGTTCATATCTGGACAAGCACAATTGAATTCTTATTTGGTCCCAGGTGGCTGGTGCCAAACCTTTTGTTTACAGGCTAATGGTGGGATCTGCCTGAAAGTTCTCTATCAGACAACTTGCATGAGACTTCAAAATAAAATTACTACTACTCTTAAAGTTAACTATTTTAATTAGAATTTGTATTCTAACAGGATAAAATAACTACATTTAGCTTGCCTCTCAGTGACATCTTTGCCAAGTATCAGCTACAAGGAGTCATCTCCCTCCCCACCAAGCTGTCTAGCAGCCAGAGTGGTAGCTTTGCTGTAACACACAGTACTTTTTGTAATCAGACTCAAAGTCTTCATCCATACTGCTTGTGTCTGCCATCTTTTTGCCATCAATCTTTGGCAGAAATTGTGCGTAGTCTATCCTCTGCTGCTCATAGAAAAGAATGTAGGCAGAGTTGGTGTCAATTTCATCAGGGTGACGTTCCTGAAAGGGCAAGAAAAACCTTTAACAAAAAGCCATCACTATTATGGCTCTAAATCCTTGCCAGGAAAGGGAAGACCAACCCTCTGTAATTACTAAACCTGATTGCTTCCAATAAGCTCGCTAGTTTGGCTGTCTCACACCTGCCCCTTTAAAATGAGCCCCATTATTTCCAATGTTTGCTTTGGAGAAAATATTTTGACCATAGACAAGTCAAAACAGAATGACCTAAAACCCCATCAAATTCTATTTATTTATTTTGTATTTATTTATTTTTTTGAGATGGAGTCTTGCTCTGTCACCAGGCTGGTGTGCACTGGCACGATCTCAGCTCACTGCAACCTCTGCCTCCTGGGTTCAAGTGATTCTCCTGCCTCAGCCTCCTGAGTAGCTGGGACTACAGGCATGTGCCACCACGCCTGGCTAATTTTTTGTATTTTTAGTAGAGACGGGCTTTCACCATATTAGCCAGGATGGTCTCGATCTCCTGACTTCATCATCTGCCCACCTTGGCCTCCCAAAGTGCTGGGATTACAGGCGTGAGCCACTGCACTTGGTCCAACCCCATCAAATTCTAAGTCTATAAGATAGGAGTTTTTTGCATTAACTAACTCCTTTTTTTTTTTTTTTTTTTTTGAGACAGAGTCTTGCTCTGTTGCCCAGGCTGGAGTGCAGCGGTGCAGTCTTGGCTCACTGCAACCTCCACCTCCCAGGTTCAAGCCATTCTCCTGCCTCAGCCTCCTGAGTAGCTGGGATTACAGGCATGTGCCAACATGCCCAACTAATTTTTGTATTTTTAGCAGAGATGGGGTTTCACCATGTTGGCCAGTCTGGTCTTGAACTCCTGACATCAAGTGATCCACCTCCTAAGCCTGCCTCAGCCTCCCAAAGTGCTGGGATTACAGGCATGAGCCACTGCGCCCGGTCAACTAACTCTTTATTTTTCCTCGCTACTCATGTTTTCATTCCCTATTCTGCATATCACTTTTGTTTCTTTAATACTGACAGCATCTATATATTGATTCTAACAGAAATATCTATTTCCTATTCAAGAGATAGTCCATTATTTCAAAAAATGTTCCCCAGTTCTGTTGATTGTTTCTAACTTTCATTCAAAGATTGAGAATGTTTACCTCACAGATGCTGCCATTGTAGCAGTACCACTTGCAGTTTGGGTTTTTGGCATAAGTGACGTAATGGCCCCCACTCAGAATTCCTGAATGGCACTGTAAGAGATAAGAGAGTGGATGTATGTTAGTAGTTAACTGTACTATGGCCAGGGTATAGCACTAGGATCTGAGCAGGAGAACAGTGATCATGTAAATGATCAGTAGGTGAGAAAATATTTTAGAACCCTCTAACTTTCTCTAAAACCAAAATAAGCAAAAAGCAAAATACAAAAGTCATAAGCTCCAAGTCTTGTGTGGATAAACAATCATTTTATAATGTAATTACTATTATTATTATTATTTTGAGACAGGGGCTTGCTCTATCACCCAGGCTGGGGTGCAGTCGAGTGATCACAACTCTCTAAAGACTTGGCCTCCTGGGCTCAGGTGATCCTTCTGCCTCAGCCTTCCAAGTAGCTGGGACCACAGGCAATGCCACCATACCTCGCTCCATTTTAAAATTATTTGTAGAGATGGGGCCCAGGCTGGTCTCAAACTCCTGGGCTCAAGCGATCCTTCTGCCTCAGCCTTCTAAAGTGCTGGGATTACAGGTGTGAGCCACCACACCTGGGCAGGCCCAGATTTCTATGTTAACTTTCTCTATCACTAAGCTCAATGCTAGGAAATAAGCAGGACCTGAAAAATACTTGCTGATGAATACATGAAGACAAGTGAACAAAACACAGACCACTCTCCGAAAACCATACAATAAACCACTTACTGAAATTGCATATAAATAGGCTTAATATGAGTGTCTTCTCTTTGGTCATCAGTGCTGTCTTCTTCACTGTGGTTTCCAAGCTGACCATTGCTATAGCCATTGCCATATGCTTCATGCTCATAAAGGAATCCATTGGCCAAAGCTACCTCATGGTCCTGAGGAGTGACCAGCTCTGGTTGGCTGCCCACCCCCCGCATATGCCCTCGGCTCAAGGCGTCAGCCAGCTCACAGATCTGCCCAGCCCCATTCTCTTTGCTGGCATCCAAGTTCTTCTTACTACTTGACAGTTTATTTTTGCTGCCAATCTGGGGCAGCCAGAGCCTCCCTTTGCTCCTCCCCAAAGTCCGTGGGCTGCTATTAGGGCTGCTGTTTTTGCTGGAGGGACAGCTGGTTCCACTTTTTCTTGATGAAGAAGGAGAACCTGTGAACAGGACAGAAGAAAAGATTCACAAATCCAAATGCCACAAAGTAAGCCAGCCCCAAATGCTAACTCTGAGGTTAGCTTCACAAATGTGCACACAAAGGTAAAGACAGGGGAGTCGTGACTGGCTACCCTTTAGTTCCTATTGTGTAGCAGGTAAGTTACATTTTTGTCTTCTTCAATGCCGAGTCCCTATAAGCAACAATGTCCTGAAAATGTAAAGTAGGTTATAGGGACTCAGAAAATAGCAGAAAGATGATTTATGTCAGATTCAGTTGAAAAAAATCTAATTATTAAGAGTAAGGAGTTTTCCAAATACATATTCCTCTCCTTTGTAAAATTAGACAAAAAATGCGACCACCATTTACTGAGTACTTCCTATTGTTAGGCATGGTACTGGGAATTTCTTGCTGTCCATTGTTACCTCTATGTCTCACAAAAATCCTGTAAGGCTTTAAACTTTTTGGTTATAGCCTCTTACCCCTACCCCCTTTTATACCTTTAAAAATTACTGAGAACCTTTAGAACTTTTATGTGAATTTTATCTATCAATATTTCCTGTATTAGAAACTAAAACTGAGGCATGAAAAAGTACAATACATTAGCACAGATCTTCACTGTCAAAGTGACGATATTATTCCACGTCATGTTGTCTCTTACACCATTGTACATCTGTGAGAGAATAAAAGTGAAAAGGCACATATTGTCTTAGTATTTTTATGAAAATAGTTTTGGGCCAGGCACAGTGGCTCACACCTGTAATCCCAGCAGTTTAGGAGGCCGAAGCAGGAGGTTCACTTGGGTGCAGGAGTTCGAGCCCAGCCTGGGAAACATGGCGAAGCACCATCTCTACAAAATATACAAAAATTAGCTAGGTGCAGTGGTGCGTGCCTGTAGTCCCAGCTACTCAGGAGGCTGAGGTGGGAGGATTGATTGACCCCAGGAGGTCGAGGCTGCAGTGAGCTGTGATCTGTGTTGCACCACTGCACTCCAGCCTGGGTGACAGAGTGAGAACCTGTCTCAAAAAAATAAAAAATAAAATAAATAAATAAATAAAGAGTTTTGATCCTCTAGACCCCCTGAAAGATGGGGAACCTCAGAACTTTCACTATAAGGGGACAAGACAGCAGCTACCATTCCTGTTTACCATACATCAGGCACTGTGTGAAGTGCTTTACTCTCCATGTGTCAAACTCTCAACTCTGTAAACCTGGCATTATCTCCATTTTACAGATGAGAAAATAGATTCAGGGAGGCTGAATCTCTTGATAAAACTTACAAAGCTCAAATACAGATAGGTCTGATTCCAGATAGGTTCCTTCCACCCAACCAACCTGATGTTCCAGAACAGAAGACAGAGAAACATATGTAGCCTACAGGAGTCCCAAGAAAGCAACTGCATAAGGCCCCCAGGCCTCACCTTTTGGGCTGCTGCTGATGTTAGCGCTGAGTGAGGATGGGCTTTTGCTCAGGAGCATGTCCTATTCCCCAGCCAAACTCTGCACATCCACTTTCTTCACCTCTCTTGCCAGAATCCTGGGCTTGGAGAGCTCATCCCCCTGGGGTGTGAGTGGTTGATGCTGGCAGAGAGCCGGGTCTCGTGGTACCAAAAAAGCACTCAGGTCAAAACTTTCCCGAGGAAATTTGACAATTTTCTGTGATTTTATCCACTGATCATTTACAAACTGAAATCACTTAAGGTGAATAATCTGGAGAAGTAAAGGTAGAAAACATTGCATTAAAGCGTTCTGAAGATACAAAATTTACATGGAAAAAACAAGTCAAATACATGTGAATGTTTGGGAATATATAACAGAACATTTACTCTTCATTATTTTTTAAAGACTTCAAAAATATGGTTTCCTAAAGGCCTCTACACAGGCCCCAGTGCACTGGTGTGCTTGTGCACACACTCAACTCAGCAGCGTGGCACAGCCACGTGACTGCGCAGTGGGTACTGCCTCCAGGCTCAGTTGCTCTTCTAGAGTCCACAAAGGGCTAGCCTGAGCTTCCACTCTCCACAGAGCCAGAAGTTCACCCTCTCCTGAAGTTCAAATTCACCACGTTGTACCCCTTGTGGCAGTTCTCACATCACACTGAATTGCAGTTACTGGGCTACATGACCGCTCTGCTTGTTTTATTTGATGATTATATGAAAATATATACTTGTTAAAATTCATCAAACTGGATATTAAAAATCTATGCTTTTAATTGTATGTTAATTATACCTCAATTTTTTTAAAAATGTCTCCCCCTTGGCCAGGCATGGTGGCTCACACCTGTAATCCCCACACTTTGGGAGGCCGAGGTAGGTGGATCACGAGGTCAGGAGATCGAGACCATCCTGGCTAACACAGTGAATCCTCGTCTCTACTAAAAAAAAAAAAATAAAAAACACACACAAAATTAGTCAGGCGTGGTGGTGGGCGCCTGTAGTCCCAGCTACACGGGAGGCTAAGGCAGGAGAATGGTGTGAACCTGGGAGGTGGGGCTTGCAGTGAACTGAGATCTTGCCACTGCACTCCAGCCTGGGCGACAGAGCGAGATTCCATCTCAAAAGAAAAAAAAAAGGTCTCCCCCTCCTCCCCACCCACCTTGTCCCCAAGCCTGCCCCTTCCCTCTAGTTCTTATCTGTGGAGCTAGCTGACAACCAGTGTTATTAATTTCTTGTGCATCATTCCCTGGGAAGCTGTTCTGGTCTAAGAAAAACCTACATTCAGCTTCACAGAGTAGTGTGACAGAGACATGATTAGAATAAGAAAATACGGCTGGGCATGGTGGCTCATGCCTGTAATTCCAGCACTTTGGGAGGCCAAGGTGGGCGGATCACCTGAGGTCAGGAATTCGAGACCAGCCTGGCCAACATGGTGAAACCCCATCTCTACTAAAAGTACAAAAATTAGCCAGGTGGTAGTGGTGCATGCCTGTAATCTCAGCTACTCAGGAGACTGAGGCAAGAGAATCACTTGAGCCCAAGAGGTGGATGTTGCGGTGAGCTGAGATTACAACACTGCACTACAGCCTGGGTGACACAGTGAGACCCTGTCTCCGAAAAAAAAAAAAAAAAAAAAGAAAGAACATACATATAAATATCTGATTAAAATAGGCCAGTACCTTACAGTTACACTGATCTTAATGAATAGGAAGATTTGTCATTTCAAACTCTCCTGACAAACAAAAGGACAGTCTCCTAATCCATGAAGGGAGAAGGCAGAAGTAAATTAAATCTAAAAGAACACACAGGCCCTAGTGCACTGGTGTGCTTGTGCACACACACTCAACTCAGCAGCGTGCCACAGCCACATGACTATGTGCAGTGGGTGTTGGGGGCTCCGGGCTCAGTTGCTCTTCTAGAGTCCACAAAGGGCTAGCCTGAGCTTCCTCTCTCCACAGAGCCAGAAGTTCACCCTCTCCTGAAGTTCAAATTCACCACGTTGTAACCCTTGTGGCAGTTCTCACATCACACTGAATTGCAGTTACTGGTCTACATGATTGATCTCTTCTTCTAGGTTGTAAGTTCTTTAGGAAAAGGAACTACCAAATATTTGTAGAAAGATTCATCTCTGTATTCAACATAAAAACCTTGTACAGAAAGTGTTTTAAACACTGCTGCAGGAAAAGTCTTATTCTCAAAAATAACAAAACCTCCTGTTTGTTCATGTCTTCTTTCTTTTATGCTAGATTCCTGCTCTCTCAGAGGCAGGACTGTAACATACCAGGAAGGGTGGAAGCCTCCAGAGATCCAGCTTCTTTGTTGCTAAGCAGTGGGTCTTACACTTGGAACAGTAGTACATCTCATCTTCCCCTAGCTCTTCCTCACCGGTGAAAGCACGGAGACAGCTGTCCAGGTTGATGGGCTCGACTTGCGCTCGCCGACTCTGCTCCACACTCTCATGCTCATCTACAACCTGTAGGTGGAGGGAACAGGAGGAAAGGGGTGTGTGGGAAGGCATTTAAACTGGTGATCTAGCTATGCATCAACCTCTCGGTCACTCACCCTTATTTTACTCTATATAAGGAAAAAGAAAATATAACTGGCTGGGTATGGTGGCTCAGGCCTGTAATCCCAGCACTTTAGGATGCTGAGGTGGGGGGAATTGCTTGAGTCCAGGAGTTCGAAACCAGCCTGGCCAACAGAGACCCTGTCTATGTGAAAGAAAAACCTAAAAATTAGCTGGGCGTTGTGGCGCATGTCTCTAGTCCCAGCTACTCAGGAGGATTGCTTGAGCCTGGGAGTAGAGGTTGCAGTGAGCTGTGATTACGCCACTGCACTGCAGCCCAGATGACAGAGAGAGACCCTGTCTCAAAAAAAAAAAAAAAAAAAGGGAAAAGAAAACACAACCCAAACTAGAGTCTGAGCAAATACAGCACCTACACATTTATTCACAAATGTTACATTGTAACATTCTGGATAAAATTTCTATTTATATGATCATAGCTTTTCTTGAAAAATTTTTGAATGCTTCAAAATGACAAAAAGAACTGCATTTATTTAACAACTTTGGAATCCTATAAGGGATTACATGTGAGCTGGCCCTCAAGCCAGGGGTGATGATAGTAAGCCATTTATCTTTAATCAGAAAGCCAGAGCATTATTCGTATGCTGCAGAGTTTACAGAGGCTAGGAGAAATAACATGAAACACAGAAACCAGAGCTGGATGAAATAAGGGCACAGAAAAGCTCACCATGAGAAGACAACACAGCAGAGCATGAAACATCACAGGGTACAACTCATTTACATCTGATCCCATGTAACACAGAGTTATCAGAATACCAAGTCTATACTTATCTGTCTCCTCCCTCATGGGGCCTTTTTATCTGAGATGGCAACAAAAGGAAGAACAAGCTCAAGAGTGTGCTGCTTTTGTTGAGAAGGCCCCTAATACCCACCCAAACCTTTGGGGTCCTGTTAATCAGCATGTTAGGCTGTGGAGCAAGAAGGAGTTAAGTGTAAGAAAGGAGAGAGCAAAGAATGGGCGGGGTGCAGGGATATGTGTTGGGGGTGGTGTAGAATGAAGGAGGAGAGAAGGAAGGATCTAGAGTGCAGCAGAAAAGAAAGAATTTTTCCCTCTCCATGCCTGGCTGCTACCTGACAAACAATCAAGAACCATAGAGCTGGGATCCTTCTGTTTGTCCCTCTAATGTATGGGAAGGTGGGTGAAGCATCAGGGTTATGAATGCTACCATAAGACTTCACACAGTTTATATTTGTGTCCCAAAGCAGAGCCCGGACCACAAGGCCCATACTGACTGCCTCTCTGTGGCAAACGTCACATATGTCCATCACCCACCCTATTTATTGCTCCTCACCCTTCCAGAGGTGAACTTCCTCCATGAATTTCCCTTCCTGAAACTCACGATGGGAACCTTAGGCTGCCTGGAATACAAATTGGCACAGCTCAAGACATGCAGCTTAGCATGGGTTTTCAGGCGAGACTTTTTCCCTATGTGAGAGTCACGAGGCTGTCAAATGCTGTTATAAACAAGCAAGGTTGGGTTTGATCATGCAGTTAAGGTTCTAGCACTGCATAATTATCCAGGCTAAAAAGCTCATTTAAAAAGGGGAACTTAGAGGAAAATTCTTTTTTTAGAAAAAGAAATCTGGCTTGGACTTGGGTTATAGACTTCTTTTTTGAGTACAAATTCTGTAGTAACAAGATATTAACTGTCATCATCTTTTGAACTGGTCACTCAAGGAAAAAACACGTGCTTCAAAAGGAAACGTGCTGTATCATCGTTGTTGGAATGAGTAGAAAAAGGGGTGTATCATATACGATAGTGTTTCCTTTCTCATGGCCAGTTAAATATTATCTCTATTATCTCTACCAGGAATACTTTATGGCCAACCACAAATTAGAGTAAGCTAGTAAAGAATGTTGAATTTTATTGACTATATTTTCTGGGGAACACAGGCTACAGTGCTAGAGGAAGACAGGGAGGAAAGATGGCTGATAAACAACATATTTGTGGACTGTACTGACAGTAATTTCTATTTATCAGTAAAAGTTCCCAAAGTGATAAAGATTCCCTTTACCTCTTGGGATCTATGCTTAGATCCTCTACTATTGTTTAAACAGTCTATGAATTACTTATAGGCACCCTCTTCTTTTTCAGAGTTGCTTTAAAGCTCATCTTAACACAAAACACAGGAAATGAAGTAATAGTCTTCATATAAGACTATTAAAAAAAAAAAGAGAGACAGGCTTAAGAATTTGTCTAGTTTAATTTTCTTTTTTTCTTTTTTTTTCTTTTTTTTTTTTGAGACAGGGTCTTGCTTTGTTACCCAGGCTGGAGTGCAGTGGCGAGATCACAGCTCACTGCAGCCTTGATCTCTTGGGCTCAAGCAATCCTCCAACCTCAGCCTCCCAAGCAGCTGGGACTATAGGTGCACAACACCACACCTGGCTAATTTGTGCATTTTTTGTAAAGACAGGGTGACATCATATTGCCCAGGCTGGCATCTAGTTTAATTTTCTACTGAGGAATCTGAGGTCCAAACAGGAGAGAAATGTAAAGGATAAGAGTGAGTGTCCCTGTATTTTTTTCTGATTACTAGGCATAATATTCATGTGGAAATTTTGGAAAGCAGAGAAAAATGTAAAAAGGCATGGAATCCTTTTATATTCTTAATACAAAGGCAACCACTGTCAAAATTTTGGCAGATTTTCTTCTGTCCTTTTTCCTAAATAGTATTTTTTTCAATATTGAAGGTATTATTTCCAGTATATGCAACTTTATGTCTTGTTTTTAAAAAAATGTTCACATATCATAAGCATGTTCCCATAAATGTTAGCAAAAACTCCTGGTAATCATTTTCAACAACTGCATTATAGTTTATCCAATGAATACACCATGCTTTATTTAACCATTCCTCTAATGTGAGACAAATATAAGTTGTTAATAACTTTTTACTCTCCTAAAAAATGCTATGATGATATTTGCCTGCAAATTATGGAGTAATTACAGAGTATTCTCCCCTCAGATAAATTCCTAAAAGGGAAATCACTGGAATAAAAAATATAAAACATATGGACAATAATCCCAATTTAAAAAGATGTTAATGTATATAAATAGAGTGTAAATAAAACAGTGTTGATGTACTGAAATATGAACTGTATAAAAAGTATTGGTAATTGTATATGGGGTGTACCTGTTTATCTGTAACTGTTATCCAAACAAATTAATTACTGTGGATGCCTCTATGTGCTGTTTTTCCTCATACAAGTAAACACAGAATGTCAAATTCTTCAGCTTCCCTCTCTGTGATCCTGTTTTAATTCTCCTACTTGAATAATTTCTTTCTGACTTACAGAGGGGATGCTTCATCTCTGAGGTTGGAAACTCTGTAGAGCAGGATTCCCTAACTCCTGGGCTACAGACCAGCACCGTCCATGGCCTGTTAGGAACCGGGCTGCACAGCAGCAGGTGAGCGGTGAGCTGTATTTATAGCCGCTCCCCCTTGCTCCCATTACCGCCTGAGCTCTGCCTCCTGTTAGATCAGCAGCGGCATGCCATTCTCGCAGGAGAACGAACCCTATTGTGAACTGCGCATGCTAGCAATCTAGGTTGTGCCCTCCTTACGAGAATTTAATGCCTGATGATTTGAGGTGGAACAGTTTGATCCTGAAACCATTCCCCCCATCCCCCCAGTCCGTGGAAAATTGTCTTCCACAACACCAGTCCCTGGTGCCAAAAAGGTTGGCAACCACTGATGTAGAACAAGATCCCTACAGTGGGTACTACCCTACAGAGGTACTACTACAGAGGGTAGAACAAGATCCCTCCAGTGACCAGGTGACTTTAAACATGGCTCACATCCCTTTTAGAAAGTTATGGCAGGGAAGCAAGTAGAGAGCAGGTGGTAAACTGAGGATTGGTGCCTACATCGGTACCTACACTGGGTCCTACAGTCACTTTTGTGCAGATCAGGAGATGAGGTGAAGAGAAGGAAAGCTTCTCATTTGCATAATGCCTTGAAATGACCCGAGGTTTCTAGGGGGCACCGAGAAACCAGAGATGTCCCTTGTTGTCTGTCTGGGAGATCCAAGGGGACAGTTGGCAGTGTTGAGAAGAGATAAAGGTGACAGCTGTAGGTCCTTCACCCTCAGCTTCTATTTGTTCACCTATAAAATTAAAATACCGAACACTCAGGCTTGTAAGAATTAAATGAAGGACACAAATGCCTGGCACAGTTGCTTGGTAAGTGCTCAATCCAACGATACTCAAACCTATTTTACAAAAAGGGTTTTTTTTGTTTGTTTTGTTGTTTGTTTTTTTACCTCCTTGCTACACTGATGCTAAAAGAGTTTAATAGTCCTCTGGTCACATTTTCCAAAAACAAGAATACACATTAAAAATGTATAAAATGGGCCAGGCCCAGTAGCTTACGCCTGTAATCCCAGCACTTTGGAAGGCCAAGGCAGGCAGATCACCTAAGGTTGAGAGTTCCAGACCAGCCTGACCAACATGGAGAAACCCCGTCTCTACTAAAAATACAAAATAGCCGGGTGTGGTGGTGCATGCCTGAAAACCCAGCTACTTGGGAGGCTGAGGCAGGAGAATTGCTTGAACCTGGGAGGCAGAGGTTGCAGTGAGCCGAGGTCACGCCATTGCACTGCAGCCTGGGCAACAAGAGCGAAACTGTCTCAAAAAAAAAAAAAAAGTATAAAATGAAACATGTTGAATCAGCAGCAGTGGCAGCTTGTTTAAGGAAAGGAACAAACAAAATTAATACAGAAAGTCAAAAAATGAAGCACAACTCTTTTAAGTGCCAGTCTGTTTTTAGGTTTCTTTCTTTCTTTTTTTTTTTTTAAATAGAGACAGGGTCTCTGTTGCCCAGGCCGGAATGCAGTGAGGTAATCACAGCTCACTGCAGCCTCGACCTCCCAGGCTCAAGCAATCCTCCCACCTCAGCCTCCCCAGTAGCTGGGACCACAGATGTGCACCATCACACCCAGCTAATTTTTGTATTTTTTGTAGAGATGGGGTTTCACCATGTTGCCCAGGCTGGTCTTGAACTCCTCAGCTCAAGCTATCTGCCCACCTCAGCTTCCCAAAGTGCAGTGATTACAAGTGTGAGCTGCCATGGCTGGCCAAGGCTGTCTTTTAAAAAGCTAAAAATGTGTTGGTTCAAGACCAGTCTGAGCAATATGGCGAGACCTCATTTCTACTAAAAAGAAAAAAAAAAATCAGCTGGGTGTGGTGGCCCATGCCTGTAGTCATTCCAGCTACTCGAAAGGCTGAAGTGGGAGGATCGCTTGAAACCAGAAGGTTGAGGTTGCAGTGAGCCTTGATTGTGCCACTGCACTCCGGCCTGGGTGACAGTGAGACCTTGTCTCAAAAAGCCTCGGAAGGAGTGGCCTAGGGAGATGAGCAAGCATTTTGTTTCTAGTTTCTGAATGGCCCTGTGCATTGAGAGAGGTCTTCGGCCTCCCAGCCTCTCTGGCTGAAGGTGGCGATTCTGCATGGAGTCTCTCCACCACTTGGTGGCATTGCTCACAGTGACTTCCTACTTCTAAACACCATTGAATTGGAGCAAGTAGATGATTTGCCACATTTTTCCCAGCTAGTTTGGAGGCTGAATACAGAATTTTACTGGGGCACACCAGAATGTGTACGTTGGGGAGCAGCGATCCCCGTTTTCCTTGATAATGTGCCGACAGCTTCCTTAGTATTGAAATCACAAAGTCAGAAATGCACACACCTCTATGATGAGAGATCCATACAGGAGAGAGCAACAAAAAGAGGCCTTTTAAGTTTGCCAGACTTCCTGACCAGTGGGAAGCAAGAGAGTAGATAAGTGTGCAACAGGCACAAACCCAGGCCTATAAGAACCTAGTTGGGAATAGAATGTAAGAGAATGGGGACCGATGGGGACTCTAGTGTGTTCTGGGCACGTGCCCATCTAAAGTCTCCATGTGACTGTTGCCCTGCAGGAATGTGGGCCCCAGTGTTCACCAAACCTTTTTTTTTGTTTGTTTTTTTCCCATGAAGAGAAGCCAGAAACCCAGATATTGATACAAAGTATCCAGTTTAGAAGTGTTGGTAGTTTTTTTAATTTTGAACATTGTGCTGCCCAAAGAAGGTATCTGCAAGCCAGGTACAAACCAGCAGTTCATGCCCTCTGGTGAGCAGAAATGTCGGAGGTCGAATTCTAGTTCTGCTGTTGCAACAGCTGTAAACGAAAGTCTTCAGATTTCCAATGCCCAATGGAAATGCCACTTTATCTCCAAAGGTTATTAAAAGGAATAGTTCATGTATGTAAGTAGGCACAGAGCTTGCCACCTATTAGGTACTCAAAAGCATTCTTCCTTCACTTAAGGAAACAATACAGGCATAATGCAACAATAATGTTATGATCAAGTTCATTATCAGGAGGCATACACCCAAACAATAGGGCAGTGAGCACCTACCACGTACAGAGCTCTCTGCTAGGTTCTCTGGGGGCAGCAGTTCCCAACCTGGCAATTCATCGGCATCGTCGGAATCAGCCAGCAGCTTGTTGGATATGCTGAGTCCAGAGTCCCGCCCATATTACACCTAACGTTCTGTGCCTATTACACCCAGATTTATGAGATCCTCCTCTCCCATGCAGTCAAAGAATCTGCATTCTAATAAGTTCCTCAGAGGAAGCTCTTTTGCAGCCAGTTTGCACTGGTCTGTGGGTTGGTCACTTATGGAAACCACTGCTCCAGGGAATGAATCATGATTTCCAGTCTCATTAGGGAAAGATGATATGCATATGCACACATGTAAAGAGGAGTGACAGTAATTAGCCAAAAGCTCTGTGGACATAATTGCCTCTGATGAAGTGCTGACTGATGACATCAGACAGTAGGCTATTGACAGTGTACCCCGGGGAAAGCTAAATGCAAAAGAGAAGCGAACTGCCTCATGAAGTGAGATCAGGATTACAGGGTCAGAAATGTGGAGAGGGTGATTCAGATGGACAAAGGAGCAGAGGCAGGATTCAAGTGATGTGTTTCGGAGGCAGTGCAGCCTGTTTGTGCTGAGTGGAAGGTGCACGAGGAACATAGTAGACGGTAACATGAAGGCAGGAGCTGTGAAGGCCTTTGAAGGTCAGGCCAGTTGTAATAAAACTATTTCACATTGTCAGGTATCTTGCGATGGTTGCCAAACATTTTTCTATGGTTTGCATAAATACATATCTATTTTATTTATGTATTTATTTATTTTATGTATTTATTTTATTTATTTATTTATTTATTTTTTGAGACGGAGGTTCGCTCTTGTTGCCCAGGCTGGAGTGCAATGGAGCAATCCCAGCTCACTACAACCTCCGCCTCTCAGGTTCAAGCAATTCTCCTGCCTCAGCCTCCTGAGTAGCTGGGATTACAGGCATGAGCCACCACGCCCAGCTAATTTTGTATTTTTAGTAGAGATGGGGTTTTTCTCCATGTTGGTCAGGCTGGTCTTGAACTCCCAGCCTCAGGTGATCCACCCATCTCGGCCTCCCAAAGTGCTGGGATTACAGGCGTGAGTCACTGCACCCAGCCTATTTTAGTTTTCTTTGAGACGGAGTTTCACTCTTGTCGCCCAGGCTGCAGTGAAGTGGCACTATCTCGGCTCACTGAAACCTCCACCTCCCGGATTCAAGTGATTCTCCTGCCTCAGCCTGCCAAGTAGTTGGGATTACAGGGTCCCTTGAAGCCCAGGCCAAATGGCCCTGCTGTGGCCTTGCCCCAACTCACCCCCCCACTTCCTCTGGGTCAGCCCCAACTCGTAGTCCAGTCCTCCCAGTTCCTCTGCTTCTCTGAGTACAACTTGAGCTGATGTGTGGTGCATTCCACCTACCTGACTTACATCAAGCTGTCAATGGCAATCAAGTGTAATGAGAGCATGGCCAAAGGTCTGCAGAGGGCTCTGCTGCAGCAGCAGCCAGAGGATGACAGCAAGTGCTTCCCCCCGGCCCCAGGACCTGATCCGGCTTTATGACATCATCTTACAGCTGACCCTTGAGGACCGGGAAGGCAAGGGCCTGTCGTTTTCCTTTGCCTGTGTCAGACATAAAATGACTTAACTTTGTATCATGGAGGGGCTGTGACAAGCAGGACCTGTTAGTAGCTGGGAAAAGACAAAGGTCTTACACCAGTTCCACAGTCTGTGAGCCCCTACCTCTCAGACATGCTGATCTGCAGAGAATAGTGACCCCAGATCATCACTGAGCACTTCACCTGTGTAAGATGCTCCCAGGTGCCATAGAGCATCTGAGACCTGAATCCATGCCATCTCGGCCCCCAGGGAGTTTGTCAGTCAGTAGGACTGTGAGACACACACAGTCAAGGCATCTGAGTAGATGCTAAGCAAAATAAAAGCTCAGCGCTGGAACAGATCCCTTCCAGCTAAGATGGGCCAAGAAGTCTCTGAAGGCGGGTGAGCTATGAGTTGAGTTGTAAAGGGCAAATCTGTTTCCAAGATGAGAGGGGAATGGAGGTGACAGCAGGTGTGGCTGCTGCCAGGTCACTTCACAGGCTTTTCCCCATTGTATTGACCTCGGGCTTTTTTTTCCTCACCATTGTCTGTTCTTACAAGGTCTTCTGTGAAAAATTCAACCTAAGATCTATTCTTCATGAATTTTCTTGTTGCATCTGTTGTACAGAATCTGGTGGAATTGCTCCAGCTTCCTGGTTTAGAGGAAGACAAAGCCTTCCAGAAAGAGATAGGCCTCAAGATTCTGGTGTTCAAAGCTTACAGGTAACGTCCCATGGGATGGGCAGAGTTTTCCTCTGCCTCCCAGGTTCTGTAAGCATTGGGAGCATGACCCAGCCCACAGCAGATGGGATCATTGGCCTTGAGTGTATGGTTACCTTGCCTGTGATCAGAGGAAGGTCAGCCCAGCACGTTCAAGGGGAGTTTCTAAAGGCTGTGGTCAGTAGTGGCCAGTGATGATGACTGCCCTTTGGCCAGGTTGGAGGAGTGGAGCACACACGTTAAACTTGGCTTCCTCGCTGGGTGTGGTAGCTCACGCTTGTAATCCCAGCACTTTGGGAGGCAAAGGCAGGATTAAAAACTTAAATCTAAAATGAAAACATATTAAAACCTTGGACGATAACCTAGGAAATACCATTGCGGACGTAGGACCTGGAAATGATCTTCATGACAAAGATGCCAAAAGTAATTGCAAGAAAAACAAAAATTGGCAAATGGGACCTAATTAAACTAAAGAGCTTCTTTACGGCAAAAGAAACTATCAACAGAGTGAACAGCTCACAGAAAGGGAGAAAATATTTGCAACCTAGCCATCTGACAAAGGTCTAATATCCAGCATCTGCCAGGAACTTAAATTTACAAGAAAAAAAACAAACAACCCCATCAAAAGTGGGCAAAGGACATGAACAGATACTTTTCAAAAGAAGACATAACATGTGGCCAAGAAGGCTACGAAAAAAATGCTCAAACTCACTAATCATTAGAGAAATGCAAATCAAAACCACAGTGAGACACCATCTCACACCAGTCAGAATGACTATTATTAAAAGGTCAAAAACTAACAGAAGCTGGCAAGGTTGTGGAGAAAAGGGGACGTTTATGCACTTCTGGTGGGAATTTAAACTTGTTTAGTCATTGTGGAAAGCAGTTTGGCGATTTCTCAAAGAACTTAGAATTGCCATTTGATCCAGCAGTCCCATTGCTTTCCCCATTGCTTTTTTTAAGTGGAGTTGTTGAAGGTTGGATGGTTGTAGGTGTGCTGCATTATTTCTTAGCTCTCTATTCTGTTCCATTGGTATATGTGTCTGCTGTTGTAACAGTACCATGCTATTTCTGTTACTGCAGGTTTGTAGTATAGTTTGAAGTCAGCTACCAAACCACCAATGACATTCTTCACAGAATTAGGATAAACTATTTTAAAATTTATATCGAACCCCAAAACAGCTGGAATAGCTAAGGCAATTCTAGCTTACTTTTATAAGAATATAGTGTATAATACATAGAATATACAGCATATATATTAATCAACTTTGTTATGGGTAAGGTTTCTGGTCAACAATAGTTAATCAGGTCAGTCAGCAGTTACATTACAGGGAAGTCAAAATTTAGGCAAATTTTCGGCTGTGTGGGGTTCAGCCCCTCTAACTTCCACATTGTTCAAAGGTCAAGAGTACTGAAAGGGAAAAAAAAACTAAAATGAGCCATGTGTGATTCAACTGGAATTAGAATCACCAGGAAGAACTCATGGTTTTCAGTATATTCTAATATAGAAATATGGATGAATATAAGCATGTATGTTTGTATATTTATCCATCTAGCTGTATTTTTCTGCTCTGTTCACTGAGGAAGCCTATGAGCAATGACAACTCCAATAGCCATACGTATCTACCACAATTACTGCCCAGATATTGGTTTCTAATTACTGTCCCCTAAAGAAAGTCAGGGCTTCTGGAAAAAAATGAAAATGGCTGATTCAAGGGCTAGGGCAGAGAAAATACGAAGTATGGTTGAAACAGCTTATGCCAGAAAGTAAGGAAGTATTCAAAGAACAATAAGGACAGTTCAAAAAGACATGAACTCAGCTTGAAATGGCTACCACTGGTCAAAGCGGAGGGAACCTGAACAGCAAAACAATAAATTTTCCCTTCTCCCCTATTTGTTGGTTGGTTTTGTTTTGTTTTACTTATCCACTTAGAAGGAATGAAAGATGAAGACAATCATGATTTGGCAACCACCATAATAATAACTGACCCAACAAAAATAATCAATGAAATGCTAAATCTAGTGGGTGAGATGTTTAGAGTAACCAGATATTTACAGAGCCTCAAACTATGTTCACGTAAGACATTGGTGAAAAACAAAGGGTAGATAGTCACTTTATCATGGACAGACCTGGTAGATTCTCAAACAAAGCCAACACTGGCCAGTAATGGAGCCAAGTAACAGCATATGCCTCCAGATATGCTGCATTGGGAAGAACTCAGCCTCACTTGTGTGACCTTCCTGCCTGAATGGTATAACCTGAACTGAATCATGAAGAAATATCCTATGAACCCAAACTGAGAGAAAATCCACAAAAAACTGACCCATACTCTTCAAACACATAAATGCCATGAAAATCAAGGAAAGACTCAGGAATCATGCTGGACTAAAAGAGACTAAAAAGACAGAATAATTTGACACAGATCGACCTCCTCCAAAGGCCAGCAACCTCAAACATCAAAGGTAGATAGGCCCACAGAGATGAGAAAGAATCAACGTAAAAATGCTGAAACCTCTCAACATCATGGATTATGAAAGTCAACATCATGGATTGTAAAATCACCCATCTTAAATTATTTGGCTATAAAAAATATTATTGAGACAACTGAAAAAAGTAAAATAAGGTTTATGGATGAGATATTAACAGTAAACCATTTTTAATTTCCTGATTTTGATAGTTATACTATAATTATGCAAGATAATGCATTGTTTTTAGGAGACACACATAAAATTATTTAGAAATAAAGAGGCATCATACCTGCAACTTATAAACCATTCAGAAAAAGTCTATATTATGCACCTACATTTATATTTACCTAGAAAGAGAAGAGGAAAAGGGGGAGAAAGGATAAAGCAAATATAGTAAAATGTTCACATTTGGGGAATAGTATCCAAGAATGTTTTGTAGGTTTCTTACTATTTTTCTATAAGTCTAAAATTGTCAAAATAAAACATTTCTAAAAAGAAAAAAATTGTTAAAAAAATTGTCAAATTATAACCTATTAAATGAAATAAACCACAAGTAAATATCAAATCAAGTAAATGAATAAATTGAGTTTGATGAAGAACAGAGATATCTACATAGTCTCAAATTACCTCCCCACAAAATATTAATATTAATTAATTACAAGGTGAAAAAGTAACATTACAGAGGAGAAAGCTAGCAGACACCACTGTTTGTGATCAATGCCAACATCACCAGTAAAAGGGCAAATCAAAATTGTAGGTCACTCATGTTCTATGGGGCTAACAGAGCTCTAATTTCTTCCCGGGATGGAGTGCCTGAGGGGTGGGGCAGGCTGCCACCTAGGCCTTTCAAGCTTCTCAGCCAATTCAGCCTGTGGGCCTTTGGACAGCCCAAACTGAATGGGAACTGAAGGGATCCCCAACACAGCACAGCTGGTCTACCAAAAAGTAGCCAGAATCATTCTTTAAGCAGGTCCCTTATCCCATTTCTCCTGACTGGAGGAGACCTCCCAACTGGGGTCTCCAGCCACCTCCTTACATGCACTTTCGAGCCAGCAATAAGTCAGTACGCTGCTGGGCTGGAGCTTCCAGAGGAAGTGGCAGGCAGCCATCTTTGCTGTTTCACAGACTTCACTGATGATACCTCCAGCTATGGGAAAAACCGAGGCAACTAGGGTATAGTGCGAACCCCCAGCAAACTGCAGCAGCCCTGCAGAAGAGTGGCCAGACTGTTAAAAGAAAAACAAGCAGGAAACAACAACAATAACAATTTAAAAAGCCACAAAAACCCCATCCTCAAGGTCAAAGTTTAAGATAGACCCACAGAGATGAGAAATAACCCCAAAATCCTGAGGACTCAAAAAGCCAGAATATCCCTGCAACACCTCTCCAGCAAGGGCTCAGAACTGGGTTGAGCCTGAGATGGCTGAAATGACAGAGTAGGCTTCAGAATGTGAATAACAGTGAACTTCAATGACCTAAAGGAGCATCTTGTAACCCAATGCAAAGAAACTAAGAATCATGACAAAACAATACAGGAGCGGACAGCCAAAATAGCCGGTCTAGAGAAAAACATAACTCACCTGTTAGAGCTGAAAAACACACTACAAGAACTTCACAATGAAATCACAATTATTAACAGCAGAATAGCCCAAGAAAAGAATCTCAGAGCTTGAAGACAATCTTTCTGAAATAAGACAGGCAGACAAGAATAGAGATAAAAGAATGAAAAGGAACGAACGATACCATCAAAAAATATGGGATTACATAAAGAGAACGAATCTATGATGGATTGGGGTACCTGAAAAAGACAAGGAGAATGGAACCAAGTTGGAAAACATACTTCAGCATAGGATTCAAGAGAACTAACTTCCCCAGGTTAGTTCTAGCAAGACAGGCCAACACTCAAATTCAAGAAATCCAGAGAACTCCAGTGAGATACTCCACGAGGAGATCATCCCTGAGACACATAATCATCAGATTCTCCAAACTCTAAATGAAAGAAAAAATGTTAAGGGCAGTCAGACAGAAAGGCCAGGTCACCTACAAAGGGAACCCCATCAGATGAACAGCCGACCTCTCAGTGGAAACCCTACAAGTCAGAAGATACTGGGAACCAATATTCAACATTCTTAAAGAAAAGAATTTCCAACCCAGAATTTCACATCTGGCCAAACCAAGCTTCATAAGCAAAGGATAAATAAGATGCTTTTCAGACAAGCAAATGCTGAGGGAACTTGTTACTACCAGACCTGTCTTGCAAGAGCTCCTGAAGGAAGCAGTAAATATGAAAAGGAAAAACCATTACCAGGCACCAGAAAAACACACTAAAGTACAAAGAACAGTGACACTGTGAAGCAACCACACAAACAAGTTAGCAAAATAACCAGCTAGCATCATGATGATGAGATCAAATCCACATATAATACTACTAACCTTAAATCTCAATGTGTTCTCCAATGAAAGACACAGAATGGCAAGCTAGATAAAGAACCAAGACCCATCAGTATGCTGTATTCAAGAGACCCATCTCACACACAAAGAAACACATACGCTAAAAATAAAGGGATGGAGGAAAATTTACCAAGCAAACAGAAAGCAGAAAAAAACAGAGCTTGCAATCCTAGTTTCTAACAAAACAGACTTTAAATTAACAAAGATCAAAAAAGACAAAGAAGAGCACTACCTGTTGGTAAAGGGTTCAATTCAACCAGAAGAGCTAACTATCCTAAATATATATGCACCCTATACAAGAGCACCCAGGTTCATAAAGCAAGTTATTGGAGACCTTCAAAGAGACTTAGACTCCCACACAATAATAGTGGGAGACTTTAACACCACAATGACAATATTAGACACATCATGGAGACAGAAAATTAACAAAGATATTCAGGACCTGAACTCAGCTGTGGATCAAGTAGACATGATAGATATCTACAGAACTCTCCAACAAAAAACAAGCGAATATACATTCTTCTCATAGCCACATGACACTTACCCTAAAACTAATCATAAATTAGGAAGAAAAACACTCCTCAGCAAATGAAAAATAACTGAAATCATAACAAAGAGTCTCTCAGACCACAGCACAATCAAATTAGAACTCAAGATTAAGAAATTCACTTAAAACCACACAACTATATGGAAATTGAACAATCTGCTCCTGAATGACTTTGGGGTAAATAATAAAATTATGGCAGAGATCAAGAAGTGTTTTAAAACTAATTAGAACAAAGAGACAACATAACAGAATCTCCAGGACTCAGCTAAAGCAGTGTTAAGAGGAAAATTTATAGCACTAAATGCCCACATCAAAAAGAGAGAAAGATCTCAAGTTAACAACCTAATATTACAACTAAAAGGACTAGAGAACCAAGAGGAAACAAACTCCCAAGCTAGCAGAAGACAAGAAATAACCAAGATCAGAGCTGAACTGAAATAGAGACACAAAAAAACCTTCAAAAAAATCAATGAATCCAGGAGGTTTTTTTTAAATTTACTTTTTATTTCAATAGGTTTTTAAGGAACAGGTGGTGTTTGGTTATATAAATAAGTTCTTTAGTGGTGATTTTTGAGATTTTGGTGCATCCCTCACCCGAGCAGTGTACACTGTACTCAATGTGTAGTCTTTTATTTCTCACTCCCTTCCCACCATTTCCCCTGAGTCCCCAAAGTCCACTGTATCATTCTTATGCCTTTACATTCTCATAGCTTAGTTCCCACATATGAGAACATATGATGTTTGGTTTTCCATTCTTGAGCTACTTCACTTAGAAGAATGGTCTCCAATTCCATCCAGGTTGCTGCAATTAGAAGAATGGTCTCCAATTCCATCCAGTTTGCTCCTTTTTATGGCTGAGTAGTATTCCATGGGGTGTGTGTGCACATATCACATTTTCTTTATCCACTCATTGATTGATGGGCATTTGGGCTGGTTCCATATTTTCACAATTATGAATTTTGCTGCTTATAAACGTGTGTACAAGTATCTTTTTTGTATAATGACTTCTTTTCCTCTGGGTAGATACTGAGGAATGGGGTTGTTGGATCAAATGGTAGATCTACTTTTAGTTCTTTAAGCAATCTCCACACCGTTTTCCATAGTGGTTGTACTAGTTTACATTAGCATCAACACTATAAAAGTGCTCCCTTTCCACCACATCCATGCCGACATCTATTATTTTTTAATTTTTTTAATATTGCCATTCTTACAGGAATGAGGTGATATCGCATTGTGGTTTTGATTTGCATTTCCCTGATCATTAGTGATGTTGAGCATTTTTCCATATGCTTGTTGGCCATTTGTATATTTTCTTTTGAGAATTGTCTATTCGTGTCCTTAGCCCACTTTTTTATGGGATTGGTTTCTTTCTTACTGATTTGAGTTCTTTGTAGATTCTGAATATTAGTCCTTTGTTGGATGTGTAGGTTGTGAAGATTTTCTCCCACTCTGTGTGTTGTCTGTTAACTCTGCTAATTATTTCTTTTGCTGTGCAAAAGCTTTTTAGTTTAGTTAAGTCCCATCTATTTATCTTTTGTTTTTGTTGCATTTGTTTTGAGCTTCTTGGTCATGAAGTCTTTGCCTAAGCCAATGTCTAGAAGGGTTTTTCCAATGTTATCTTCTAGAATTTTTAAGGCTTCAGGTCTTAAGTTCTTGATCCATCTTGAGTTGATTTTTGTATAAGGTGAGAGATAAGGATCCAGTTTCATTCTCCTAAATGTGGCTAGCCAATTATCCCAGCACTATTTGTTGAATAGGGTGTCCTTTCCTCACTTTGTTGAAGATCAGCTGGCTGTAAGTATTTGGCTTTAATTCTGGGTTCTCTATTCTGTTCCATTGGTCTATGTGCCTATTTTTATACCAGTATCATGCTGTTTTAGTGACTATGGTGTTACAGAATAGTTTGGAGTTAGGTAATGTGATGTCACCAGATTTATTCTTTTTGGTTAGTCTTCCTTTGGCTATGTAGGCTCTTTTTTGGTTCCATATGAATTTTGGGATTATTTTTCATCATTTTGTAAAGAATGATGGTGGTATTTTGATGGGAATTGGATTAAATTTGTAGATTGCTTTTGGCAGTATGGTCATTTTCACAATATTGATTCTACCCATCCATGAGCATGGGATGTGCTGCCATTTGTTTGTGTCATCTGTGATTTCTTTCAGTAGTGTTTTGTAGTTTTCCACGCAGAGATCTTTCACCTCCTTGGTTAGGAACATTCCTAAGTATTTTATTATTATTATTATTATTTGTAGCTATTGTAAAAAGGGTTGAGTTATTGATTTGATTCTTGGCTTGGTCGCTGAAGGTGTATAGCACAGCTACGGATTTGTGCACACTTGTGTGTAACTCTGTATCCTGAAACTTTGCTGAATGCATTTACCAGTTCTAGAAGCTTTTTGGATGAGTCTTTAGGGTTTTCTAGGTATACAATCATATCATTGGGAAACAGCAATAGGCAGACTTCTTCTTTACCACTTTGGATGCCCTTGATTTCTTTCTCTTGTCTGATTGCTCTGGCTAGAACTTCCAGTACCATGTTGAATAGAAGTGGAGAAAGCGGGCAATCTTGTCTTCTTCCAGTTTTCAGGAGGAATGCTTTCAACTTTTCCCTGTTCAGTATAATGCTGGCTGTGGGTTTGTCATAGATGGCTTTTATTACCTTAATGTATGTCCCTTCTATGCTGATTTTGCTGAGGGTCTTAATAAAATAAGGATGCTGGATTTTCTCAAGTGGTTTTTCTGCATCTATTGAGATGATCATGTGACTTTTGTTTTTTAATTCTGTTTATGTAGTGTATCGCATTTATTGACTTGTAGATGTTAAACCATCCCTGCATCCCTGGTATGAAACCCACTTGATCATGATGGATTATCTTTTTGATATGTTGTTAGATTCAGCTAGCTAGTATTTTTTTTGAGGATTACTGCATCTCTGTTCATCAGGGATGTTGGTCTGTAGCTTTCTTTTCTCATTATGTCCTTCCTTGCTTTTGGTATTAGGGTGTCTATTAGTCTGTTTCAGTATTAGGGTGTGTATTAGTCCATTTTCACACTGCTGATAAAGACATATCTGAGACTGGGCAATTTACAAAAGAAAGAGGTTTATTTGACTTACAGTTCCACATATTTGGGGAGGCCTCAAAGTCATGGTAGAGTCAAGGAAGAGCAAGTCACATCCTACGTGGATGGCAGCAGGCAAAAAGAAAGAGCTTGTGTAGAGAAAGTCCTGTTTTTAAAACCATCAGATCTTGTGACATTCACTCACTGTCATGAGAACAGCATGGAAAAGACCCGCCCTCATGATTCAATCATCTCCTACTGGGTCCTTCTCACAACATGTGGGAATTATGGGAGCTAAAAGATGAGATTTGGGTGGGGACACAGAGCCAAACCATATCATGGTGATTTTGGTTTCATCAAATGATTTAGGGAAGATTTCTCTTTCTCTATCCTGTGAAATAGTGTTAATAGGATGAGTACCAATTCTTTGAATGTCTGATAGAATTCAGGTGTGAATTCATCTGGTCCTGGACTTTTTTGTTGTTGGCAATTTTTAAATTACCATTTTCAATCTTGCTGCTTCTGATTGGTCTGTTCAGAGTCTCTATATCTTCCTAATTTAATCCAGGAGGGTTGTATATTTCCAGGAATTTATCGATCTCCTGTAGGTTTTCTAGTTTATGGATGTGAAGATGTTCATAGTAGTCTTGAATAATCTTTTGTATTTCTGTGGTATCAGTGGTAATATCTCCCATTTCATTTCTAATAGAGCTTATTTGGATCTTCTCTCTTCTTTTCTTGATTAATCTTGCTAATGCTTATCAATTTTATTTATCTTTTCAAAGAACCAGCTTTTTCATTTATCTGTTGTATTTTTTTGTTTCAATTTCATTTAGTTTTGTTCTGATTTTGTTATTTCTTTTCTTCTGCTGGGTTTGGATTTGGACTGTTCTAGTTTCTCCAATTCTGTGAGGTGTGACCTTAGATTGTTTATTTGTGCTCTTTCAGACTTTTTGATATAGGCATTTAATGCTATGAATTTTCTTCTTAGCTCCACTTTTGCTGTATCCCAGAGTTTTTGATAGGTTGTGTCACTATTATCGTTCAGTTCAAAGAATTTTTAAATTTCCCTCTTGATATCATTGTTGACCCAACAATCATTCAGGAGTAGGTTATTTAATTACCATGTATTTGCATGCTTTTGAGTGTTCCTTTTGGAATTAATTTCCAATTTTATTCCACTGTGGTCTGAGAGAGTACTTGATATAATTCTGATTTTCTTAAATTTACTGAGACTTGTTTTGTGCCCTATCATATGGTCTATTTTGGAGAATGTCCCGTGTTCTGATGTATACAATGTATATTCTATGCTTGTTGGGTAGAATGTTCTGTAAGCATCTGTTAAGTCCATATGTTCCAGGGTATAGTTTAAGTCCATTGTTTCTTTGTTGACTTTCTGTCTTGGTGATCTGCCTAGTGCTGCCAGCGGAGTATTAACATCCCCCACTATTATTGTGTTGCCAACTACCTCATTTCTTATGTCTAGTAGTAATTGTTTTATAAATTTGGGATCTCCAGTATTAGGTGCATATATATTTAGGACTGTGATATTTTCCTGTTGAACTAGTCCTTTTATCATTATATAATGTCCCTCTTTGTCTTTTTAAAACTGCTGTTGTCTTAAAGTCCGTTTTGTCTGATATAAGAACAGCTACTCCTGCTCGCTTTTGATGTGTCCATTTAGACGAAGTGTCTTTTTCCAACCCTTTGCCTTAAGTTTATGTGAGTCCGTATGTGTTAGGTGAGTCTCCTGAAGACAGCAGCAACTTGGTTGGTGAATTCTTACCCATTCTGCCATTCTATATCTTTTAAGTGGAGCATTTAGGCCATTTACGTTCAACATTAGCATTGAGATGTGAGGTACTATTCTATTGTAACGCTATTTGTTGCCTGAGTACCTGAAAACCTGGAAGCGTTCCCTTGAAAACTGACACAAGACAAAGATGCCCTCTCTCACCACTCCTATTCAACACAGTATTAGAAATTCTCACCAAGGCAATCAGGCAAGAGAAAGAAAGAAAAGCTATTCAAATAGGAAGACAGGAAGTCAAACTATCTTTGTTTGCAGATGATATGATCCTATATCTAGAAAACTCCATCATCTCAGCTCAAAAACTTCTTAGCTGATAAGCAACTTCAACAAAGTCTCAGGATACAAAATCAATGTGCAAAAGTCACTAGCATTCCTATACACCAACAACAGGCAAGCCGAGAGAAAACTCATGAATTAACTCCCATTCACAATTGCCACAAGAAGAGTATAATACCTAGGAATACAGCTAACAAGAAAAGTGAAGGACCTTTTCAAGGATAACTATAAACCATTATTCAAAGAAATCAGAGATGACACAAACAAATGGAAAAACATATGCTCACAGACAGGAAGGTTCAATATCGTGAAAATGACCACACTGCCCAAGGCAATCTGTAAATTAAATGCTAGGCCCATTAAACTACTATTCACATTCTTTACAGACCTAGAAAAAGCTATTTTAAAATTCATATGGAACCAAAAAAGAGCCCAAATAGCCAAGACAATCCTAAGCAAGAAGAGCAAAGCTAGAGGCATCATGCTACCCAGCTTCAAACATACTACAAGACTACAGTAACCAAAACAGCATAGTGCTGGTACAAGAACCGACACATAGACCAATGGAACAGAATAGAGAACCCAGAAATAAGACCACACACCTACAACCATGTGATCTTTGACAAACCTGACAAAAGGAAGCAATGGGGAAAAGATTCCCTATTTAATAAATGGTGCTGGGAGAACTGGCTAGCCATATGCAGCAAATTGAAACGGGACCCCTTCCTTAACCCATATACAAAAGTTAACTCAAGATGGATTAAAGACTTAAATCTACAACCCAAAACTATAAAAATCCTGGAAGAAAACCTAGGCAATGCCATTCAGGACACAGGCAAGGGCAAAGATTTCATGACGAAGATGCCAAAAGCAATTGCAACAAAAGCCAAAATTGACAAATGGGATCTAATTAAACTAAAGAGCTTCTGCACAGCATTAAGAACCTATCAACAGAGTAAACCGACAACCTACAGAATGGGAGAAAATTTTTGCACTCTATCCATCTGACAAAGGTCTAATATCCAGCATCTACAAGGAACTTAAACAAATTTACAAGAAAAAAAAACTCAACCCCATTAGAAAGTGGTCAAAGGACACAAACAGACACTTTTCAAAAGAAGGCATACATGCAGCCAACAAACAAAAAAACTTCAACATCACTGATCATCTGAGAAATGCAAATCAAAACCACAATGAGACACCATCTCACAACAGTCAGAATGGCTATAATTCAAAAAAATGAAAAGATGCTGGCAAGATTATGGAGAAACAGGAATGCTTTTACACTGTTGATAGGAGTGTAAATTAGTTCAACCAGTGTGGAAGACAGTGTGGTGATTCCTCAAAGATCTAGAACCTGAAATACCATTTAACCCAGCAATCCCATTACTTGGTATATACCCAAAGGAATATAACTAATTCTAGTATAAAGATACACGCACACGTATGTTCATTGCAGCACTATTCACAATAGCAAAGACAAAGAATCAACCTAAAAGCCCATCAATGATAAACTGGATAAAGAAAATGTGGTACATATACACCATGGAATACTATGCAGCCATGAAAAGGAATGAGACATGTCCTTTGCAGGGACATGGGTGGAGCTGCAGAACATTATCCTCAGCAAACCAACGCAGAAATAGAAAATGAAATACTGCATGCTCTCACTTACAAGTGGGAGCTGAATAATGAGAACACATGGACACATGGCGGGGAACAACACACACAGGGGCATGTGGGATGGTGGCGGGTGAAAGAAGGGAGAGCATCGTGAAGAACAGCTAATGGATGCTGGGCTATTATTAATACCTAGGTGATGGGATGATCTGTGCAGCAAACCACCATGGCACATATTTACCTATGTAACAAACCTGGACATCCTGCACATCCTGCACATGTACCCCTGAACTTAAAAGATGAAAATAAAAAATAATAATAATTGCAGGTCACCTGATAGAATGCAGTGAGAAGATCATGGGATAACTTCTGTGATACTCTTGCCAAAAAAAAAATTATCATCTAAATCTTATCATAAAAAAAGTTCAGAGAAATCCAATGGAGGGACATTCTGTATTATTGGACTTTACTCTTCAAAAGATTTAAGGTCATAAAGGTCAAAGAAAAACTGAGGAACTGTTCCAGACTGAAAGAGTCATGACAACTAAATGAAATTCATGGACCTGAATGGGATCCTTCTGCTACAAAGAACATTATAGACAATTAAGAAAACTTGAAAAGAAACTGAGAATTAAATGATCAAGTGTATTGATGTTAACTTTCCGATTATGAAGTAGTTATATAAAATGTCCTGACTTGTGGGAATACCCACATACCAGATGTGATGGCATAATGTCAGCAATTTACTCTCAAATGGCCCACAGGGGGAAAGCTGTTTTTCCTAAAATGTGGAAATTTTCTCCAATTTTAAGACTGTTTCCCAAAAGTTAATCTAATAAAGAAATGAAACAATAAATAAAAAAGCAAAAAGCCTTAGGCAAACCTTATTTTTCCACAAGGAAAGATCTAAATAAATCAGTGCTTAAAATTAAAATTATCTAAGTTTGATTGCACTATAACAATCGTAATACATCCAAACATTGACAATGACCACAGTACCAGTATACCAAAATGATGTCTATCTAAACTTAAATCTATCACTATGTATAAAGATAAAATTATAAAATACAAACAAGCCATCAATTGGCTCCACTAAATTACTAATGGCAACTTGATTATTTGGCTGTTTAAACAGCAAACATTTGGGCAGTTCGAGTATGTAAAACTCAGTAATACTGGTTTTCATTTGCAAAATCCACTTAAAAGTTAGCTGAAGAGGCCAAGAAACATTATTTAAAATACTATATAAATTTTCATCAGACATGTATAATATAGAATATTTCCCTTTAGTAAAAATGTTCACATCATATATTTAATGGGAAACAAAATATCATGTGAATAGCCCAAATAAAATTGCCTTATCTTTCAGAGTATGTATTTTCTTCTTAAAATCTGTGCATATTCTTTTGTTACTTCCAAAACTGGATCTTGATTCAGATTTTCCTTGTGTGTAAATCCTAGAGGAGAAGCTATATAGGATCCAGGTTCATATTTAGTAGCAGCTGAAAAAAAAAGCAAGAATTATATTATTATTATTATTGTTATTATTTTAAGATAGGGTCTCACTCTTTCACCTATGCTGGAGTGCCATGGTGTGATCACAGGTCACTGCAGTCTTGTCCTCCCAGGCTTAAGCAATTCTCCTGCCTCAGCCCCAAGTACTTGGAACTGCAGGCATGAGCCACTGTGCCTGGCAAGCTTTTGTATTTTTTATAGGGGCAGGGTTTCGTCATGTTGGCACAGGCTGCTCTCAAACTCCTGGGCTCCAGTGATCTGCCTGCCTCAGGCTCCCAAAGTGCTGGGACTACAAACGTGAGCCAACATGCCTGGCCAAAGAATTATATTCTATATATTTCATAGTTAACTAAGTGCAAATCAGTAAAAAAGAGTTGAGAGCTTTTTCAGTGTTAACAAGAATGAAAAGTATGTATGACTACAATGCTAACTTATTATTAGATAAGAATCTGCCCACAGTTGCACACTAAATTAATGATCATTGTGGTTGTGTATCACAGCTTCTGGTTTTCTCATTCTTCATTCATTTATTCAACAACCACATGCTAAGGTACTAGACTATGCCCTGGAGTTACAAGATGAAGATGATACAGTCCACCCCTCAGCAATCATATGCTATAACCTGAAAAAGCAGACAAATAGGCAATTTCCATACCAAGTCATAGATACCCTGACAGGTATAAAACAGGGCACTATTGGAATGCAAGAGGGACACCTATCCCAGTTTTGTCTCGATACTGTAGGCTTTTCGGTGGAGGCATGGTTAGTGGATACCTGAAGGATGAGAAAAAAAGGTTGGCAGATAGAGCAAAGAAGCAAGTGCAAAGAGCTGGAGGAGAAGGACGAGCACTGTGGAATTCTGTGCAGTCCAGTTTGGCTGGATCCTAGAGCAAAGGGGCAGAGTAAAGTAAGTGGTGAGAGATAAGCCTGAGTAACTTGACAAGAACCAAATGAATGTGGGTGTTTATATTACATGTTAAGGAATTTGGAACTTTTTCTGAGGGCAAAAGTAAACCAATGACACTGTAAATGACTGGAGATTTAAAGTGTTACCTCTCAAGCGACTGCTTATAAACTGTAACTGCTTGAATAGGTTACTAGATGAGACTGGGATGTTTTGGCCTTAAAAATCACTACCATAACCCTGAGAAGTTGATGATGCTTCTGTTTTCTGAGAACCGTTTCTGTGTGCTGGCTGACAATTCCATAGGGATGGCAGAAGTGAAGAGTAGAGCCAGACTTCTTGAGCTATTTTTTTCAAGCTATGGAACGTGATGAATTCATGAGGCATAAGTATGCTCTTCATTATACATGTTCAAGTTTTCACATCTTTCATTAGATGTATATGAAAGAATATTTAATGTAGTATCTACTAGCCCAAGAACGGAAAGGGATGTCGTTTGCAGTTTATTTCAGATATATATTACTTAATCTAAATTTAATTCATAAATTTTGGTAACATACCTGCTACTTCTGCAGTTAGATCATTTTGCAACTTCTGCTGCATCTGAAATAAGTCAAATATTATTTATAACGTTTAAGAAGATACATTATCATGGTAAGGAGCATTAATTACAAAATGCGGCCTTTAAATAATACTTTTACAGACTAGACCTAACTTGAAGATTGCTTAAATTAAAAATATCATATAAATTCCTACCTATTTTAAGTTTAGATAATGGAGAACATATATGTGTTATGCTGTTTAGATTAATCTCACAAAAGTACAATTAATATTGGTCTGTTGGAGCTATGTCATTTCAAAAGTGTGATGTTTTCCCTTATTAGTACAGAGGTTACACAATTCAAGTCATATTCTGCAATGAATGCATTACTTTCCCATTCTTATCAAAACTCTGCCCTTTATCAAGGTCTAACCAGTTTTTCACTTTAATGAATAGTTCCTTACAATGAACTCCCCATTCTCCACTTTTAGAAAATAATAATTTCAAAGTATGTTCTTTGCTATTAATTCAGCACAGAATCTTTAATACATACTTGAAGAAAGCAGTATTGTTGTGATGCCATGTGAAAGTTCCACTGGCAAAAGATTAAAAATATTATGCTATTATGATTAACATTTCTTCATTCATACGGACACAAAGATTTCAGAAAATTTACATAAAAACAAGGATAAATACAGGTTAGAGCCAGTTTTCAATCTTAGTTTCTTTGATTCATGAGTGTCTAGAATTAAAAACTAGGAAAACAATTTAGAGTTATTTAACTGCAACTTTGATTTCTTTTCAGAAATTAGTACCCATTTTTTAAGCATCTGACAAGTTATAGTTATCTACTTAATTATGAAAGGTGTCAGAATATTTCAAACTTATTGCCAGTGTCCCTATCTAGAGTGCTCTTATTTAATTTTTTTTTAGAATAGGTATTCTCTCACTAAATGCCTAGAACGGGGTCTGAGATAGTTTGTGGTGATAAAGATAATGATATCTAATGCCTTTAGAAATTTTAGGTGTCAAGTCAATTTTTTTTTTTACTAACAGGTTTACCAATATTTTGAGACTCCTTTCCATAACATTTCTGTGACAAAAACATTATAGATAGGCTTTATAGAGTAGGTAACATGACAACAGCATTACCATCCAGGCCTTATAAAAGTAATAATTCAAGAAATGATCCTTTTCAAGCTATGTCCCACAGAAATCTAAGGTTCCACAGAGGATGCTGAAGGATTAAGGGATAAGAAAGTCACAGCTTCAGAGCACTGATCCTTCCTTTAGTCAGGCAGCACTACTTCTGTTTTCTATAATGTGGTTTTATGCAATTTAAAAAAGTTCCATTCTTAAAAAAAAAAGAGATTTACTTAAACGTATGAATGTCACTGATTTAGTCAAAGTCCTTAATTTTACATAAGAAACAAAACAGGCTCGGAGAGACTGCAGCTTGCCTGAGGTCACAAAACCAATTAGTTACAAGGTAGGAGTGGGCTTCAGATCTTTCACTGAGCCTGGAGTTATTCTATGCCAGCACCTTCCTTCATATTCAGAAAAGAAATACAGATTTTTAAAAATAACTCAGGCTGGGCACGGTGGCTCACACCTGTAATCCCAGCACTTTGGGAGGCCGAGGCGGGAGGATCACAAGGTCAGAAGATCAAGACCATCCTGGCTAACACAATGAAACCCCGTCTCTACTAAAAATACACAAAATTAGCCGGGCATGGTGGTGGGCGCCTGTAGTCCCAGCTACTCAGGAGGCTGAGGCAGGAGAATGGTGTGAACCCAGGAGGCGGAGCTTGCAGTGAGCTGAGATCGTGCCACTGCACTCCAGCCTGGGTGACAGAGTCAGACTCCGCATCAAAAATAATAATAATAATAAAAATAAAAAAATAACTCAGACAGTCCAGGTGTGGTGGCTCACGCCTGTAATCTCAGCACTTTGGGAGGCTGAATTGGGTGGATCACAAGGTTAGGAGTTCAAGACCAGCCTGGACAATATGGTGAAACCCCGTCTCTACTAAAAATATAAAAATTAGCCAGGCGTGGTGGTGTGCACCTGTAGTCCCAGCTACTCAGGAGGCTGAGGCAGGAGAATCGCTTGAACCCGGCAGGCAGAGGTTGCAGTGAGCAGAGATCACGCCACTGCTCTCCAGCCTGGGAGACAGAGTGAGACTCTGCCTCAAAAACAACAACAACAACAAAAAAGAGAAAATGCATCTATAAACTGTCATGATGCTCTATAATGTTTAAGCATGAGACAAAAAATAGTAGCTCTCCAAATTGTAAGTTATGAATCAAATTTAAAGAACAATTAATATCATAACTTCTGGCTAGTACCAGTCAAGACACTCAATTTATAAAGAACCCATTTTTCAAACCGCAGAACAGAAAACTTGAAGGAGAAAATCTTTAGTTGAACCAAGCAAGCAGAAATTAAGAAAACTGTTCCTTAAAAGAACTATTCATTCTCCTCCAAATAAGACGTGGTTTAGGAAAATCAATCAAGTCAATTATCCATGTTGTGAGTTATTTATAGAAAAACTGAAAACACAAAACAGATTTCTCTTTACCATCTACCATACGCCTGTCCAACTTCTCATCATTAATTTGTACATACAAAGACATGGGATTAATTTCAATTATCACTTAAATCCAGCCATAAATGATAGGAGAACCTTCATTTTCCTGGCCTCAGGTTTCAAATGAGGACTTAGACTCTCTCTACCTACAGCTTCCTCTTGAGAGGATATCAGATCTACCTAATGGGTGAATTTGGGCAAAGCACACAGTGTGCTTGCTTGGCTCAGGGTCTCTTTCAAAAGATGTGTCTGCCCACAGTGACATGAGTTCAGGTCTGCTGTCAT
Organism: Homo sapiens; assembly: GCF_000001405.40. Taxonomy (NCBI): domain Eukaryota; kingdom Metazoa; phylum Chordata; class Mammalia; order Primates; family Hominidae; genus Homo; species Homo sapiens. The sequence goes on along the minus strand of NC_000017.11, from coordinate 16,769,162 downwards.
CTCTGCAGTAAGCAGCATGCACCTGCGATGGGTGTCAAGCATTTGTTTTCTCCACTTAAAACTCTGTGGATTAGTGCCTAATCTGGGATAAAATACTGTGGCTGCACATCTGAGCCACATCCTCCCATTAGTTATCATGAGTCTGCAATAGAGCTAGTGTGTTGATGTCCATCTATCTGACTCCTGTGTTCTGAACTCAGAAGGGAAGGAGGAGCACCATTTGCTGCCTATCCACCACAGCCTGAACAAGAAAGATGACTGTATAACACTTATAGAAATAGTTTCTTCTTCCTTGACTTTTCTAATCTTACCATACATTCTTCACAACTACCTCCACTTTAAAGAGGGGAGTAGTTAGAAAATTTTTTTAAAGAAATATAGTGAAATCAGTACCAAAGGCAAAGTCCAATAAATACAAAGTTCACTCTTCAGCAATAACTTATTGACAGGCTACTGCTAAATTATACTTGAGATTACAGGCTGGAAAATAAGGAGCCAATAAAACTATAAAAAGTACTTCTGATATATAGGACAAAGGATCCCAGGGTTAATCTAGAATGTGAAACCTATAAGTAAAAATCAGTAAAACACAGGCATAGCAATCTATTATCACTACAATGGTGTTAAGTGGCAAGGCTATGTGGCAGGCCAGGTCTCACTAACGCAGGCCTCCATAACAACTGCTTTGGCACTGACTGAGTAGTTAAGTTAAACATTAAAAGCTGAAAGAGCCAGTGCCCTTATACAGGCTGGAATGTAACAAAAGCCCACCAAGAATCTTGCCTAGGCCTTCCCTGGGCCTTAAAGTATGACAAAATAATGAAGGAATTCTTAATAGGACCTGTTTGGTATTAAACAAGTTTTATTGGGGATCTCAAGAAACTCCCCAGGCCTCCACAAATAAGTTTATTGGGGGTCTAATGGAACTCCCAAACCTCCATGATTTAGCAGGAGACAAGATAAGGGTAATCACCCCAGCACCTGGACCCATTTAGATTAAATAAATTTACTGAAGCTCCAGAGGAAGGTCTGCAGGACTTAGATCTTTAACGTTATAGATTAAACTTATGTCTATAGACGAATGCACACTTACATGTAGATATATAGCTTAGAAGGTATATAAGCTCTGGAAAACTTTGTAATTTTGAATTGGTGTGGTAATAATTTCCAGGCCTTCCTTGTAACCCCGTAACCGGTTGCAGAAAATAAAACCTCTCTTCCCAATTCATCTGCATCTCATTACTGGACCATGATAAATAGCAGCCCGACTCTCAGTTTGGTCTGGGAACAGTCAGACTCTAGACTTCATATAATGGGGTGAGAGATGCAATAAATGCTAACTGTCATGAATGTAGAGAAAACTTGTTTCAACAACCAGTTATAATATATTATTTCTCTGGTGTGTGATTTCATACAAAATTATAACCATTTTTCTTGAGGTTAGAGAAAATGCTGAGTATGATAGCACTTCACAGTAGGAATAGTCCAAAGTGTTAAAATCTTGCAAATAAAGGAGATGTATAAACAGATCCAATATTAGTGCTATTTTTAACATTTTGCTTTTGAAAATCGTAGCTAAAAATTTCTAAATATCCTGTTTTGTAATGCCCCACCCAGAAACCCACCCCACCCAGAAACCCACCCCACCCCCTACCTTTTTTTGTAAATCTCAGTTTAGATGGTATGTTACCTCCTCCTCCTTGTATTAGCTGATGTTTTCCTATAGGAAATACTTAAGTTCCTAGCAACTCTAGAAGGCACCTTCTTTCTGTAACTCTCAAAATTCTGTAGACAACAGCTGTATAAGAACTCTTCCAAGGTGTGATTATGGAGACATGCCTTTGTATCTTTTTTTTTTTTTTTTTTTTGAGATGGAGTCTTGCTCTGTCACCTGGGCTGCAGTGCAGTGGCACAATCTTGGCTCACTGCAACCTCTGCCTCCTGGGTTCAAGCGATTCTCCTGCCTCAGCCTCCCAAGTAGCTAGGATTATAGGCGCCCGCCACCATGCCAGGCTAATTTTTGTATTTTTAGCAGAGACAGGGTTTCACCATGTTGTCCAGGCTGGTCTTGAATTCCTGACCTCAAGTGACCCACTCGCCTCGGCCTCCCAAAGTGCTGGGATTACAGGTGTGAGCCTCCGTACCCAGCACTCATATCTTGATATAATCATGCTTTTAAATCTCTTTTAGTAAATCTAACATGATTGGGCAAAAAATGCCCCACAAGGAAACTAGGTATGCCTTGGAACTACTACATTAACATTAACTTTAAAACAAACAAATTTTCTACTTATCTAGAAATACTAAAAAATGAACACCCCCTTCCCCACAAAACAGAAATTAAAAAAAAAAGATCCTCAAAAATCTTCCCTTGCATCACATCTGCTTTTATTTATTTTATTTATTTTTTTTCCCCCACCCATGAGATGGAGTCTTGCTCTGTCGCCCAGGTTGGAGTGCAGCAGCGCAATCTCAGCTCACTGCAACCTTTGCCTCCCAGGTTCAAGCAATTCTCCTGCCTCAGCCTCCCAAGTAACTGGGACTGCAGGCGCACACCACCATGCCCAGCTAATTTTTGTATTTTTATTAGGGACGGGGTTTCACCATGTTGGAGGTTGGTCTCGAACTCCTGACCTCAGGTGATCCACCCACCTTGGCCTCCCAAAGTGCTGGGATTATAGGTTTGAGCTACAGTGCCCGGCCTACATCTGCTTTTTATACTCTCTCAGCACTATCTTGTAAAATGATACATTACCTTGTTTTTCTGGTAAGTACTGTGAAAGGAAAATATCTTGGGCCTCCAAAATCACTAAGCTAAAAGGAAAACTCAGGCTGGAAACTGCTTAGGGCAAACCTGCCTCCCATTCTATTCAAAGTTACCTCTCTGCTCACTAAGATAAATGCAGATCTGACTGTCTCCTTTGGAAAAGCTAATCAGAAACTCAAAAGAGTGCAACTGTTTGTCTCTCACCTATCTGTGACCTGGAAGCCCCCTCCCCGCTACCAGTCTTCCTCCCTTTGCTTCAAATTGTCCCGCCTTTCCAGAGTGAACCAATGTACTTCTTAAATATATTGATTGATGTCTCATGTCTCCCCCTAAAATGTATAAAACCAAGCTGTGCCCCAACCACCTTGGACACATGTCATCAGGACTTCCTGAGGCTGTGTCATGGATGTGTGTCCTCAACCTCGGCAAAATAAACTTTCTAAATTAATTGAGACTTGTCTCAAATTTTGGGGGTTCATAGTACTAATGAGAACATTATATTTGCATCTTGCTTAACCATTTACAGACGTATTTAACATTCATTTCCCATTAGTACCCAGTGGTACAATTTCATGACTGAGGCATTTGGACGCTGATCATCTCATTTTTTTCAGAAAAATAAAACCTAAGCGAACAATATGATTAAAAATATCAGCTAGCTGGGCTCTTGTAATCTATGTATTAAAACAATCATTTAATGCATTCCCTTTTAAGCTATTTGGCCACAATGCTATCTAAGAAACCTTAGATTTGCTCTTCTATGATTTGTTAGGACACGAAATAGCCAGGTAAACACAACAAGGTTGAGGTTCATTCCATGTGGGCCTGCGCTACTTTTCTGTGCGCTAAGGAGATCATAAAAACATCAAAACTATAAGCCAATGTGCATCGATTGAAAATTTTAAAAACAACAATATACACAAAGAAAACTATTTATCTATTGTTGTTCAAACAAATGTTTTATGGATTTTGTAATTTTTTTAAGAGACAGAATCTTGCTATGTTGCCCAGATTGGAATGCTGCAGTGCCGTAGCTACTCACAGGAATAATCATTGCGCACTGCAGATTTGAACTCCTGGGTTCAAGTGATCTTCCTGCCTCAGCCTCAGGAGCAGCTGGGACTACAGGTGTGTGCCACTGTGCCCAGTTTTTGTAATTTTCCCTCAGTTGAAAAATGGACAAATGTTAGACAAATACCTTAATCTGGGTCAAGCATAGTTGAACTACGTTTTGTTTTTTTTTTCCTTACCAACTCTATAGTTGATACAGCTCGTCATTTTTGGATCCATTTTGAAATCCCCAGAAATAGACTCTTACTCTGAGTGAAACCACACGGTTGAACTAAAAGGTTCCTGTTACATGTCCAGGGGAGATGTCCATGTGCAGCTTTACATGGAATTTGGGGTATTAAGAATAGAACTGATTCTGTTTGGTCACATTTGCTATTGAAGGACTCTAGATACCATTGCCATCTTAGTCATCAATTACTAAAGTTATGGCCAGGTAGAGAGACAAAACTTATGTGAGCTTTACTTTAAAAATTCAAATATTTATTTGATTTAACTATTTCAAAACCACTGTGCTATTGCATAGCAATAGACACATTTTACTAAAATTGGGATTAAAACACTATTAAGTGCAATAGCAATTACAGATGTACTCATATAAGAAAATCACAAAACTTTTAACTTAAAGAACAGATTAATCAAGTGTTGCAGGTTTATATAACATATAAAAGTATTCACCTTGGGTCCTTTTAAATAATAAACATCCATGGGTGGTTAGTGTTTGGACACCAATCATTCACATATGATGACAGGTAGAAAACCTGAGATGACGCAGAAAAACTTTAAAAGTGACCCCAGGCACACTAAACCCATTAAAAGTGAACCCCAGACAAACTAAAATCAATTAGTAAGACAAAGCACATCAAAGTAAACCTTTGGTTAAAATCTAACTTAAATGCAGTTTTTAAAAAAATTTAAAATGTGTCAGTTTGGTTACATTTATTAAATAAAGTTAACAAAGGAGTAATCTCTTATCAATGAGAGCTCCAGAGACTTAAAAATAACGGTAAAATTTCTGTCTCCTCTCTTTATTAACACAGGTAATTATTACTTTTACTTACCATACACAAGACAATTAAGTAACTATTTTACCAAATAACATACAAGAATTCTATCAGAAATCTGAACGCCGAAGGAAAAAAGATAGCTAACCTTCAACAAGTAGCTCTCCATGTCCTTAAGAGCAGACCTCTTTTTTCTTGGAATATGTTTTCTGTTGAGACCTTCACTATCATTAAGATTTCCAACGCAAGGTGACTCTAGGACTGGCCTTGTAGCATAAGCAGTGAATAGAGATCTGGATCTGGTCTGCTCTTTCTCCACAGTAAGTTGCGTACTGACCTCTGCTATCATCTCATTAGTTCTATGAAGATTGAAAAAGACAAATGCTTAGTATTTCATTTTTTCCTAAATGATTCCTAAATGACTTCGATTGTTCTAAAAGTTGCCATTAAGAGTAAATGGAATATACCATAAGCCGTGTTTTAACTCTGAAAATGTGTTAGAGCATGCCTACTGTATCCAATTATAGTTTTAACATTGTTCTAAAGAAGTACATCTATTTCTAGAGGGATTTCTAACAAACAAGTAGTTCAAAGAGAGGGAGGGGACAGAAAAGACTATCAATGATGTATGGCTTCATAGTTAACACTTGTTGCCCATCTGGAATGACTCTACTTATATGATTCTTAAGGATGCCATTAGAATTACTTGTATTCCAAGGGTAACTATGTGAAATGATGAAGATATTAATTTGCTTGACAAAATAACCATTTCACTGCGTATAAATATATCAAAACATCAAGTTGTACTCCTTAAATATATACAAGAAAAAACTAAAAGTAAAAATAAAAGCTAGAAATACTTGTATTTAGTAAACAATACATGTTGTTAGAGATTGTCTAAAAAACTCTCTCTCAAAGACATTTTCAAACAATTGTTTTCACCACCCTTGTATATTTCACCCATTATCTGGAAAAACTTGAGCATTTGGCACTGAGGAATCATTCACGGCGACTTTTCCTTGGGGAGAATAAGACTGCTGAAATCAAAGAGAACTAAAGCAGCATCGAGGACAATCAGCTCCTAACACTGCGGCCCATGTATCAGAGGTGGGGCCTGCCCTTTCTGTCTTCCATATACCGCCTCAGGCTGACCAAGGTGTTATTTTTTTATCACTTAGTAAGTTATACTTCCCTTCAACCCTAGTTGATCATTCTCTGCTTCACAAGTGTGCCTTTATGTGGATTGGAAAAACTATACAGGACACTTCTTCTCAAGGCACCCTCTAATGATCACAATCAAGCAAAGTGAATTTACTGAGTGCCAGAATGTGTCCAGAGTAGTCGTACTTGACCCTTTCTGTTTTCAGCTGTCGTCTTCCAGAAATTAATTAATTAGTATTTTGAATTAAGGGAATACTGACAAGCAATTTTTATAATGGTATCACTGTCTAAATTATGAAGCTTCATAAATATTTAGCTGAAACCCTAATAGATCAGGTTAACTATATAAGAATATTAAGGGGTTGGGGGAAGCCACATAAAACCAAAAAACAGGAGAGACAGGAACTGTCCTGGACTAAGATTTTAAAGGTTACGTTCATTTACTATTTTCAATTTTACTTAAAGGTTAAGTTCATTTACTATTTATAATTTACAATTTTCCAAAATTGTATGATCTAGTTAGCTTTCACTTCCCACAAATCTCATGAACCTGTCTCACTAAAAGTCATGCTTTTGAAGGCAAATTAATGAGCTTAACTTATTTTCTATGATTCTGCATATTGACTTACCTACTGAGTTCATTTGACAAGGATTCTCTAACTTTCACTTCTTCTAGGTAGAGTTCCTTATATCTTTCCAATTCGGTTTTATTAAAGTCGGCTTGCGAAGTTTTTATTCTGGAGATTTCAGATTCCAGATCTTTGATTGTGAGTTCCATCTGAGTTTTTATTGAAGTAGTATTATCCTCCCTTAACTGTACTAACTGTTCATGAGATACTGCTGCTTGTTTCTAAAATAAATTAAAAGGGAACATTTTAAAAGTAATTATAACCTGAATAATTACTGTGTATTTGTTTCCTTTTGTTTGGAGTCAGTGACTCAGAGAACAATTTTAAGTACGTGATTCAGAGAACAATTTTAAGAAAAATGTGAAGAAAGAAAGAAGCTCAAGCTTAACATATTTATCACCAGTACCAACTGAATTAATAACTGAATCTGAATTGTTGAACAATTCTCCAAAGAATGACAGAACCAAGTTAAAATTTTAAAAGTGGAACAACGTAACTTAAAAGCAGTTCAAGAGTATGGTATAATTTCTAAATCACAATTTTTTTTTTACTTTCCCTATTAGTCTTGTTTTATGCCAACTGGCTTTAGTAATTAAATGATTCTCTAGTGAGAATTATTCTTATGGAAGATCAATTTACTTATAAGAATGATGGAAACGAAAATATTTAAATGGAGAAACAAATACCACCTTCCTTCTAGAAGTCTACCAAACAAATTGCTGTAAGGAAAGTAGAGAAAACATGTACAATGTATATATCCAAAATAAAATTTGCAGCGAAATGAATGAAAGCACATTACAGATAAATAAACCAACCTGCAAGGTGAGAATGGCTTCGTTTAATTTTTCTTCTATCTCCTTCCTTGCTCTTTCTTCAATCAACAGTTTATGCCATTCAGCTTTACCACGTTCTAACATATTTCTTTCCATATAACTTTTGAGGTTTACTACTTCTTGTTTCAGCTGCTTCTTATTCTTCTGTAGTGTTTCACATTGCTTTTGTATTGCTTTCATAGAGAATAATGTCTGTTGAAGTTGAAGAACTTCATTCTCTGCATCCAGATGTAGACATCGTGAAGGTACAGTTTCCTGTGCTTCTGTAAGGTCAATCTGCATGAGTAAAACAATATAGTTTTGTAATGAAGAAGGTAGACTGAGAATGGTCTAACAAAAAACTAATAATTTTTTTTTTTTTTTTTTTGAGATGGAGTCTCGCTCTGTCGCCCAGGCCGGAGTACAGTGACAGGATCTCGGCTCACTACAAGCTCTGCCTCCCGGGTTCAGGCCATTCTCCTGCGTAGCTGGAGTAGCTGGGACTACAGGTGCCCACCACCACCCCTGGCTAAATTTTTTTTAATTTATTTTTTATTTTTAGTAGATGGGGTTTCACCGTGTTAGCCAGGATGGTCTCGATCTCCTGACCTCATGATCCACTCGCCTCGGCCTCCCAAAGTGCTGAGATTACAGACGTGAGCCACCGCGCCCAGCCAAAACTAATAATTTTTGAAATAAATTCAGTTGCAATAAAATGTTACCTATACTGTTGTAGATTCATAAAATACAGACCCTTGGATTACTCAGAAAATTAAAAACAAAGTTAAAACCACCAGAATTCACAAAAATACATCCTTTACTTTCATCATCTTTGCCACACAACATTTGGACTTGATCTTAGACTTCTGTTTTCCTATGACTGTTTCATGGCTTTCCTCCTTAAAATGGCTCTAAGTTACCCCTTTAGCACAAAGTCTCTTATTCCTTTAACCCACTATCATTCTCCATAATTTGCAGAGAAGTTTTAGGGGCATCATATTGAATTATTTGGGCCTGAGTCAATAAATGGCTCCCATAATAAGACTCTGAAAATAAGACTCTAATTAATACATTTTGAAAAAAAAAAAAGGATTCCAATACCATAAGCCTTTTGCTGAACTGCAAATGTCTTACGCTAATTTGAGTTACATTTCAAAGAGTAATGATACTTGGAGTTAAGAAGCAATCACATCTCCCAGTATAAAAGTTCAGTGGCATGATCCATACCATTTTTCTGAAGAAAAATGCCTTAATTCAGTAGCACAATCTTGTAATTCATTGTTACTTTACACAAAATAAGGGAGCACATTAAAGAATGACAACAAAAAATTGCACTGAAATTTCAATGGTGCTGAGTTGGAAATAACTGCTTTCCTTTAGAGGAAATAATTATGATTGTTTTTTATTTTATAAAGGTAAGTGAAGTGGTGGTTTTAAAACATCTACAAATTGCTTGCCACTTCTCCCATGACATTCCCTCTCCTAAATACAAGCTGGCATTGACAACCGGTTTCTCCGGAACACAATGTGGCAGAACTGCTGTGTGACTTCTAAAGTTGGTTACAAAAAGTCACACAGCTTCTACCTGACTCTCTCTCTAGGGACGCTTGTCCTTAAAATGCAGCCAACATGCCGTGAGAAAGCCCAAACCATACCATGAACCCTCATGTAGGTAGGTGTTCGAGCTGACTTCCCTACCTAACGTCCCAGCCAAAAGCCAGCTTCGAATGCCGCACAGGTAAATAAACAAGCCTTTAGATGATTCTAGTCCCCAGCTTTAAGTCACCTCAGCTGATGCCAAGTAAAGAAAAAGGGAGTTGGCCCCACTGAGCCTTGCCTAAAACTGCAGATTGTGAACAAAATAGATGTTGTTTTGAGACACTGCATTTTGTTATATACCAAGAAATAACTGATACAGATATTGACACTACATATAGATTGCACAACAACAACACAACAAAAACTACTAAAACATGTAGGATTACCATTGGACCAGGAGCTAATCAGAAGCTGAAAGGACCTACAGAAGAATAAGCACAAAAACAAGAAGAGTTTTAAAGAGACTGTTAGTGGAAGCCTGATGGTCCTCGAAGAAGCTGGTAGGAAGGGCTCCAGGATAGTGAAGAAAACGATACGGGAACCTGAAGGAAAGGGCACTGTTACTACACAGCCGCTGAAAGTAAAACCAATGCAAGAGATAAGCTAAAGAAAGACTACTACATATAAAAGAACCAGGACTTTCTAGGTTCAGTATCCTTTTTATAGCCTCTCCACATGTCAGATTCCCAAATATAGACAGTCCTTGACTTAGCATGGTTCGACTCACCATTTTCTGACTTTTTATAATACTGTGAAAATGATATGTGTTGAGTAATGACATGATATGTGTAAGCCTTTTGGCTTACAGGGGTGGTTACATCAGGATAAAGTCACTGTAAATGGAAATTATCGTAAATGGAAAACCCACCCATAACTTCTGATATTTACAATTTATGATGGCCTATAAATTACAAATATCAGACATAACAAATGCAAATGCCATCCAGACATAAACCCATCCTAATCTGAGGAGCATCTGTATTGCTGAGATAAATGGCCTCTGAGATAAGATCAAATCCAGGGTGCTGCCAGGAGAAAGTCTGAAGGTGAAGCCAAGACTGTCAGTGTAAGGCTCTATTTTAAGACCTTAGAAAGATTTAAGGTGGTGCCTCAAATTCCCTTAAAGATCTTAAGGGTATACGCATCTTAAGGCACTGTCGTACTACACAGAACAGTGTGCTTCCTTCACAGGAAGCACAAGGTGAAGTGCTTATCTCAAAGAGATTGGGACAAGTGGTTTTTCCAATGACAAGAACTCAAGTAAAATTCACAAGAGACTCTAAGAGAATTATAGTAACAATAGCACTGCTTGCTAGCTTGGCTTAAAAGACAACAAGACAGTAAAAATGAAAAGAGGCCTTAGGACCTAAGAGCTTCTACAGGGAGGAAGCTGGCTGAAGAAACTACTTAGCTGAAAACACAGGTCATTGCTTATGAAAAGGATACAACAAAGAGCCAAGAAGGTACCACAAAAAGCCACAGAGGATGGTTCCCATGAAGTCCAAATCAAGTAAGTGGAAGCACACATCAGGCTGTATTTCAGAATTTCTATGGTCTAATATTCCCTTTGTGACTCCCATTTTCTCTCTGTTCAATAGGAGGGTCTCTGGCAGTTTAGGAGAATGCTGGGTGGGTGAGTGGTAGACAAGTTGTCCCTTTAGTTCTTACGTCTTTGTGTTGACAAGAAATGCACTCAAGGGGTTATACCGCAGAAACCACAACCCAGGGTGCATCCCTACCGTCTGTGATAAAGATGGTAGGATCTTGCACTTCAAGCCTGAGCTTGCTGCCATATTAAATGAAACTTGTGTGTGTGTGATGGGAGGTTAGGATCTTGCACTTTAAGCCTGAGTCTTCTGCCATATTAAATAAAACCTGTGTGTGGGGTGAGAGGTAATAATTAGAAATTAGTGTGTTTTTCAAGTGGTAGAAATCTTTTAAATTATAGTTATAGGGTCAATTGTGCAGGTTTTAAAACACGTCTATACATTCCTTAATATGCACAGCATAGACAGAGACATCATCGAGATGGCTGACTGGGAATACCCAGCACTCACCTCTTTCAAAAAGAAAAACCAAAACAGCAAGTAGGTAACCACACCTTGAGGAAAACATCAAAGAGAGTATACTGGAATTCAGCAGGAAATTGATAGGGATCCTCTGATGACAGAAGGAAAGGGAACTGAGGTAGCCAGCCCAACCAGGATCATCTCAAAACCAGGACCGATTCCCCCAAATCCCTAGCCCCACAGCACCATATACCTGTGGAAATAGGTGGTCATCTAATAGCCCACCAGGGAAGCTACTCTAGGTCAAAGGGATCCTAAGTGTGTGCTGTCTAGAGCCTAGGAGCCACCTGACTGACACCACTGCCACCACCAGCAGCCCTATCCCCTTCAGGGGCAGTGCTGTGCATACCTGTACATACCTTTAGGAGGCCGGAGGACTGGCCCACTCAAGTGTACCATGCAGGAGCCTGAGAACAAGCCTGTCAAGCCCACCAGGGGTGGCGCCCATGTGAGCCATATGAGAGCCTGAAGACAAGGCCACTTTGCTTGCTGCTGCTATTGTTGCTATCAGTGCTCACATACACTGTCCAGGACCCTGAGGAGCAGCCCACCCCACCCAGGCCTCTGTGCCTTTACCCAGGCCCCATCTACCACTAATACCAAGGAGAGTCCTACTGCCCCACCGGCACCTGCACGTGGCATCCAGGAGCATAAAGACAGGGCTGCCTCACCAGCCACTGGCAAAGGCTCCTGCACGTGTCTTCAGTTAACCTGTGGACAAGCCTGCTCCACACACTGCCTTAGGTACCCACCTAAATGTTCCTCATAGGGGGCCAGAGAAATGCCCATGCAGCCTGCTTTCACCACTACCAGTGCCCATGCATGCTACCAAGGGATCCAAGGTCCGGCCCCCAGCTGCTACTGTCATCTCCAGTGCCACAAGTGTCACCAAGGTCCTTTGGCCTGGCCTGCTATTGCCACCTCTGATCCCAGCACACACCACCTGGAGGCCCAAGGGCCAGACCACTCAGGTAACCCACTGCCACCAAAAACTGGGAAGCATGGCCTGGTGCTGCCAATCACACATACATCCTTGTGTATGCCATCAATGTGCCTGAGGACTGGCCTGCTGTCCTCCCCATCACCATCAAGGCCTCACCACAGCATCCCCTGCTACTAACAACCACACCGTAAGCCACTGAGGAACTTACAGACGCTGATGTTGATTACAGCAGAAGAAAGCATAAGTATATGGAGGCCACACCAATGCACCCACCCATCATCAATGCCAGAGCACCATATTCAACCAACAACATAGATACATCTACAGAAAAAAGACAACCCCTAAAACTAGATGAAGTGACTGTTACACCAGCTGCACAGTTATCAACATTAAGGACACAAGAAGTATGAAAAATCAAAGAAACATGACACCTCCAAAGGAACAGAGTAATTCTCCAGTAACAGATCCCAAAGAAAACAAAACCTATAAAATTCAAAATAATGATCTTAAGGAAACATAGCGAGATACACAATAATACAAAGGAATCAGGAAAGATTCCTGATAGGAAAGATAGGTAATACAAATGAATCAGGAAAACAATTTATGATCTGAATAAGAAATTCAACAATGAAAAAGATAGCATTAAAAGGAACCAAACAGAAATCCTGGAACTGAGAATTCAATACATAAAATAAAAACAACTGAGAATGTTGGCAATAGACTAGATCAAGGAGAAGAATGAATTTCTGAACTTGAAGAGAGGTCTTTATATGAGGCCAGGCAAACAAAAAGCAAAAATAAAAAAAATAAAATAAAAAGAATGAAGACAGTGTATGTGGTATATGGGCCATCATGAGCCAAAATTTTTTCAGATATTGGGAGTTGCAGAAATAGAAGAGATGGGAAAAGGCACAGAAAACCTATCTAATGAAATAATAGCTGAAAAACTACCAAGTCTTGTGAGAGATGTAAACATCTGGATACAGATGTCTCAAAGATCCCCAAAGAAATACAATAAAAAATGTCTTCTCTGCAGCACATCAGAGTCAAATGTCAAAAGTCAAAGACAAAGAGCAAGAGAAAAACACCAAGTCACATACAAGGGAATCCATATCAAATAGCATATTTGTCAGCAGAAACCTTAGAGGATAGGAGAGAATGACATGATATATTTAATATGCGGGAAGAAAAAGACTGCCTGTCAAGAATATTATACCTAGCAAAGCTATCCTTTAAAACTGAAAAAGAGGGGCCAGGTGCAGTGGTTCATCCCTGTAATCCTAGCACTTTGAGAGGCCAAGGTGGGGGGATTGCTTGAGCTCAGGAGTTCAAGACCAGCCTGGGCAATTTGGCAAAACCCTGTCTCTACTAAAAATATACAAAATTAGCCAGGCATGGTGGCTCATGCCTGTGGTCCCAGCTACTCAGGAGGCTGAGGCACAAGAATTGCTTGAACCTGGGAGGCAGAGGTTGCAGTAAGCTGAGATCATGCCACTGAACTCCAGCCAGGGCAACAGAGTGAGACTCTGTCTCCAATAAATAAATAAATAAAACTGAAAAAGAAATAACGTCTCAGACAAGCAAAACCTGAAGGAATGCATCACCACTAGACTGATCCTACAAGAAATGCTTACAGGAGTCCTCAATCTGGAAGCAAAAAGACAATGTCTACCACCATGAAAATCAAAAAACTGTAAGACTCACTGGTAGAGCAGGTACAGAACTGAAAAAGAGAAAGGAATCAAACATTATTACTACAGAAAACCAGCAAATTGTAGAGGTAAACAATAAAAGAGGAAGATAGGAACAAATGATAGACAAAACAATCACTAAACAATTAATAAATGAAAGGAGTAAGTCCTCACCTCTCATAAAAACTTTGAATATACATGATTTAAATTCCCCAATTAAAGATATAGATAGAATGAATGGATTACAAAAAAAGACCAAATAATATGCTGCCTACAAGAAACTCACTTTACCTGTAAAGACACATAGACTGCAAGTGAAAGGATGGAAGGATATTCCATGCAAATGGAAACCAAAAGCACACAGGAGTAGCTATATTTATATCAGACAAAATAGATCTTAAGTAAAAAAAATAAAATAAAATAAAAGAGAAAGAGAAGGGCATTATATAATAATAACAGGATCAATTCAGCAAGAGGATACAGCAGTCATAAAGGTATATATACTCAATACCTGAGCACACAGATATATAAGGCAAACATCACTGAAACTAAAGAGACAGATAGCCTCCAGTACAATAATAGATGGGGACTCCATAGTCTGACTTTCAGCATTGAAGGGATCATCTAAACAGAAAATCAACAAAGAAACATCGAAATGAACCTGCACTATAGACCACATGGACCTAGCAGACACTTACAGAACACTGTATTAAAAGCTGCAGAATACACATTCTTCTCATTAGCACATAGAACATTCTCCAGAATAGACCATATATTGAGTTTAAAAGCTCATATCAAATATCTTCTCAAACCACAATGGAATAAAAATGGAAATCAGTAACGACAAAAACTTTGTAAACTGTACAAATGCACGGAAATTAAACAGCATGCTCCTGAATGAACAACTGGGCCAATCAATAAATTAAGAAAAAAAATTTAAAATATCTTCAAACAAATGAAAATGGGGAAAAAAATCAATCCCTATAGAAAGTGACAAAAGAAGCACTAAGAGGGCAATTTATAGCAATTAACAGCTACATCCAAAAAAGAGAAAGACTTCAAATAAACAACCTAACAATACACCTGAAGAAACCAAAAAAGCAAGAACAGACCCAAAACTCAAATGTAGTAGAAGGAAAGAAATGATAAAGGCAGGGCAGAACTGAATGAGGTAGACTAATAAAGCAAAACTGCAAACTACATTAAACAAGAAAAAAGAGAAAACTCAAGTAAATAAAGAGGGAAACATAAAAGGAGATAGCAAAGAAATACATGGAGTCATGAGAGACTATTATGAACAACTATATGCCAACAAACTGGAAACGTATGGAAAATGGATACATTCCTGGAAGTGCATAACCAGCAAGAATGAACCAAGAAGAAAAGGAAACCTGGACAGACCAGTAACGGTAATGTAATTGAATCAGTAATAAAGTTTACCAACAAAGAAAGGTCTAAAACTGGGTAAGTTACTCTGAATTCTACTAAACTTTTAAGGAAAAACTAACACCAATTTTTCATAAATTATTCCAAAATCTTCCTAGTTTATTCTAAAGTTCAGTATTACTCTAAGGCCAAACCCAGACAAAGACACAACAACAAAAGAAAACTACATGCCAATATCCCTGAAGGATGCAGATACAAAAATTGTCAGAGAAATAAAGGGGATCCAGATTGGAAAACAGAAAGTCAAACTGTCTCCCTGTGCACATGACCTGATCTCATATACAGAAAACCATAAACACGCCACCAAAAGAGCCTGTTAGAACTAAAGAATTCAGCAAAGGTGCAGGCCACAAAATCAGCATACAAAAATAATGCCAATAGCATGTGTAACATTTCTATACACTAATAATCAACTAGCATAAAAAGACATCAAGAAGGCCGTCCCACTATTCTAGCTACAAAATAATAAAATGGCTCAGAATAAAGTTAACCAGAGAGATTTTGTAAAGAGCTTTACAAAAAAAAAAAAAAAAAAAAAAAAAAAACTACAAAACACTGACAAAAGAAATTGTAGAGGACACAAACATGGAAGATATTGCATGCTCATGGACTGGAAGAATATTGGTTAAATGACCTTATTACTGAAAGCAGTCTACAGACTGAACGCAAGCTCTATTAAATACCAATTTTGATGTTTTTAGGGGAAGACAAGATGGTCACCACATGCAGCCAGGAGATGCCTCTCTGCGAGAGAGAAACCAAAATATCAAGTAAATTATCACACTTGGAGTAGGTCTTTGGAGAGAAAACACTGAAATTTGATAGGTAATGCAGGCATCAAGGCTGAAGAGGAATAAATCTGGGAAGCCTGCACAGAGTCACCAAGCACTAGGATTACCTCCCAATCCAGAAACTAAGGAAGGGGTGGGTGAAGGAACTGTGCAGCACCACACTCCCACCAACGAACTCTGGGATACTAGCTCCCAGAGATCCCTGGACCCACACAGACATCTGAACTGGCAAGAGGAACCGGCTGGCGAATAGGCAGAGGCACAGCTCAAACCCGCATACAGCCCAGAAGGTTTCGCACCTGGTACGGCTGCAGCAAAACATGACCATAGGCACCCATCCCCCAAGGCTCTCCATCTTGCTCTGAGTGACTCTAGCTCCTGCTTACTGCCAGGCCAGAAGACAGTAGGGCTGCATTTACCATGGGACTGCAGCATATCTGGTCTGTGTACCTTCTTGTCCACCAGCCCCTCCCAAGGCCCCTGCCTAGCTACTCACGCAAGGGTAAGCACACAGCACAGCCTCCACTGCCCCATCTGAGTGCTTTGCCGGAGGCCTGGGAGCAGTTCAGCCCCCACCCTCAGCACAGCCAAAGCTCAACCCCATGAGACCAGAAGACAAAGTCATGAACCTGGTCTCAATACCCCCCGGATTCAAGCACACTGCTCAAGTATACTGAGCTGGTGTCTGTGGCCTGAGCTCAAGAAGAGGAGTAGCTTTCTCTCTCACAATGCCGAGAAGAGAGGGCCCAAGTTCATATGTCAGTGTGGGAGCCGGGTGTGCTCCCTCTGCAACAGCAGTCCCCAACCTTTCTGGCACCAGGTGCTGGCATTGTGGAAAACAATTTTTCCACAGACGGTGGGGTGGGGATGGTTTCGCGATGGAACTGTTCCACCTCAGATCGTCAGGCATTAGATTCTCATAAGGAGCACGCAACCTAGATCCCTCACGTGCACAGTTCACAACACGGCTCGCGCTCCTATGAGAATCTAATGCCGCTACTGATGTGACAAGAGGCGAAGCTCACGTGGTAATGCTCACTCACCAGCCCTCCCCTCACCTCCTGCTGTGCGGCCCAGTTCCTAACAGGTCACAGACCAGTACTGGTCTGCCACCTGGAGGTTGGGGACCCTGTTCTACAAGATCTGTCCAGGAAGGGTGTAACCTGTCTGTCCACAGCCTCTGCCTGAGGGAGCACCACTGCCTGAAACAGCTAACAGTCCAGTTGATCTGGGCACAGAAGGCTGGGGGACAAAACTACCTAGTTGGGCCTGCCCTGGGGGCAGACACTGGAGGGAGGCCTGGTTGGGTGAGTGCGAGCTAAGTGCTCCCCACAGCCATCTGCTGGGCAAAAAACCCTGGGCTGCAGGCACCACACCAGGTGCACACCCACAGAACCACAGCCCTGCCCGGGGATCCTCCCCCCTTGACCCACATTATATCAACAGACGACCCGCAGATCCGCAGACATACTCTACAACCTGCTCTGACTCTACCAAGCCCAGACAACCAGCACATCCCCAGAGAGTTGTAGGTCTCTCGGCAACCTAACTTTTGGCTTGGGCCGCTGCCCTAAGGGTGGGAGGTGTGCAGCCCTCAAAATTCAGGTGTGGCACCAGTGATTGGAGGGGGCTCTCCCAAGTTCCAGGAACTGATTTGGTGAGGGGGTTATCTCTCGCCTTCACAATCCTACTTTTCCCCCTTCCCCAGAGCACTGCTGCCAACACGCTGAAATAGAAAAGAGGCATGCCAGCCCGTACTCTAGAGCACCATCTCCTGGATTGCAGACTGAATTACACCACCAAACAAAAATCATTATATACCTTCAACACACATCTGTGAAACCCAATGCAGGAAAGTAGCCACAAGGAAGGAACCTGTGTAGAGTCCTGGCCATCTGAAACCACCCAGAAAAAAAGGCCAATCAACTATACACAATACACACCACAAACCCTCAAGAGAAAAAAAAGAACATAAAAACAAAAATCCCCATCCAAATGACAGGAATTTCAAAACGATAAAGAAACATCAGCATTTTCAGAGGAGGAATAATCAGTACAAGAACTCTAGCAATTCAACAAATCAGAGCATTTCATTACCTCCAAAAAATCACACTAGCTCCCCAGCTATAAATTCTCACCAGATTAAAGTGTAATGACTTGCTTTATCACAGACATGTGATTCAGAATCTCAGTGGCAACAAAGCTCAATGAGATTAAAGAGAAAGTTGAAATCCAATCCAAGGAAGCCAGTATAACCATCCAAAAGTTGAAACACGACAGAGCCATTTTTAAAAAGAATCAAACTGAACTTCTGGAGCTGCAAAATTCAACACAGGAGGGACCTTCAAAACCAGATGAGACCAAGCGGAGGGAAGGATTACAGAGCTCAAAGACCAGTCTTTTGAGTCAGCCCAGTCAGACAAAAATAAAGAAAAAACCATTTTAAAAATGAACAAAACATCTGAGGAATGTGGGATTTTGTAAAGACACTAATCTATGACTCATTGGCATGGCTGAAAGAGAAGGAGAGAGAGGAAGCAACATGGAAAACATGTCTGAGGATATAGTCCATGAAATTTCCCCAATCTCATTACAGAGGTCGATGGAAAAATTCAAGAAATTCAGAGAACCTCTACAACCATCCCCAAGATACACAGCCCATCAGACTTTCCAAGGTCAACACGAAAGGAAAAATCTCACAGGCAGCTATAACAGCTGCATCAGGTGAAAAGCTGACCTCTTTCTGGCAAAAACCTTATAAGCCAGAAAGTGGGGCCTGTTGTCAGCATCCTTAAAGAAATTTCAGCCAAGAACTTCATACCACTCCAATCTAAGCCTCATCAGTGACAGAGAAATACAATCTTTTCCAGACAAACACTAAAGAAATTCATTACCGCTAGACCAGACTTACAAGAGATTCTTAAGGAGTTCTAAATATGGAAAAGAAAGAACAATACCCACTACCACAAAAACACACCTAAGTACATAGCCCACAGACCCTATTACACAACTACACAATCGAGAGTACAAAGCAAACAGCTAAAAACATCATGGCAGAACCAAAATCTCACATATAAATATTAATACTGAATACAATGGTCTAAATGCCTCACTTAAAAGGCACAGAGTGGCAAGTTGAATTAAAATAAAACAAACCAATAAGAATCAACAGTCTGCTATATTCAAAAGACACATCTCACATGTAATGGCACCCACAGGCTCTGAGTAAAGAGATGGACGAAGATCTGTCATGCAAATAAAATGCAAAAAGCAAGGGGTTGTTATTCTTAGATAAAACAGACTTTAAACCAACAACAGCCAAAAAAGGATGAAGAAGGGCATTACACAATGATAAAGGATTCACTTCGCCAAGAAGACATCCCTATCCTAAATACATACCCACCCAACACTGGAGCACCCACATTCAAAAACAACCAAGTACTTCCAGACCTACCAAAAGACTCAGTCACACAATAACAGTGGGGATCTTCAACATCTCATTGATAGTGTTAAGGCAAATCATTGAGACAAAAAACTAACAAAGAACTTCTGGGCTTAAATTTAACACTTGACTAATTGGACCTAACAGACATCTACAGAATACTCCACCAAACAACTACAGAATACACTTTTTTCTCATCTGCACAAAGAACATACTCCAAGATCAACAACATGTTTGACCATAAAGCAAGTCATGATAAATTTTTAAAAAATGAAATCACACAACACCATTCTCTTGGACCACAGTGCAATAAAAATAGAAATGAATACCAAGAAGATCTCTGAAAACCACACAATTACATGGAAATCAAACAACTGGCTCCTAAATGACTTTGGGAAAAGAAAGAATTTAAGGCAGAAATCAAACAATGATTTGTAATAAGCAAAAAGAAACATCATACCAAAACTTCTGGGATACAGCGAAAGCAGCATAAGAGGAAAGCTTATAGTGCAAAACAAATATGTTGAAAAGTTAGACAGATCTGTAATTAACAATCTGACACTGCGCCGAGAGGAACTAAAAAACAAGAACAAAATAACCCCAAAGCTGGCAACAGAAAAGAAATAAATAAAATTAGAGCATAACTGAGAAAACTTGAGGCCCAAAAATCCATACAAAGGATCAGTGAAACCAAAAGTTGGCTTTTTGAAGGGATAAAAATACTGACAGGCTACTAGCTAGATAAATAAATAAATAAATAAATAAATAACAGAGAACATCTAAATAAGCACAATCAGAAACAACAAAGACGACATTACAACCAATCCCACAGTAATACAAAAGATCCTCAGAGACTACAATGAACACCACTGTATACACACAAACTAGAATATCTAGGAGAAATGGATAAATCCTTGGAAACCAACAAAGATTGAACCACGAGGAAATTGAAATCATGAACAGACAAATAACAAGCTCTGAAATTGAATCAGTAATAAAAAACCTACTAGCCAAAAACAGATTCAGATCAGACTGACTCATAGCCAATTTCTACCAGACATACAAAGAAAAGCTGTTAACAAACCTAATGAAACTATTCCAAAATATTGAGGAGATACTTCTCCCTAACTCATTGTATGATGCCAGCATCATCTTGATACTAAAAGCCAGCAAAGACACAATGAATAAAGAAAACTACAGCCCAATATCCCCAATGAATGTAGACACCAAAGTCTTCAATAAAATATCAGCAAACAAAATCCAGCAACACATCAAAAACTTACTTCACCACAATCAAGTCAGCTTTATTTTTGTGATGCAATTGGTTCAAAGTACACAAATCAATAAATGTGTTTCACCACATAAACAGAATGAAAACTAAAAACCATATGATCAACTCAAAAGATGCAAAAAAGCTTTCAATAACGTCCATCATCCCTTCATGAAAAAAACACCCAACAAATTAGGCATCAAAGAAACAGACCTCAAAATAATAAAGGCCACTCTATAACAAACCCACAGCTAAAACCATACAGAATGGGCAAAAGCTGGAAGTGGGGGCTAAGTGCACTGGCTCATGCTTGTAACCCCAGCATGTTGGGAGGCGAAGACAGGAGAATCACTTGAGGCCAGGAGTCTGAGACCAGGCTGGGCAACACAGTGAGACCTTGTCTCTATAAAATAGTAAAGAAAAAAATTAAAGAAAAAAGAACAAAAACAGTTGGAAGCATTCCCCTTGCCCACTGGAACAAGACAAAGATGCCCACTCTCACCGTATGTATTCAACATAGTACTGGAACTCCTAGCCAGAGCAATCAGGAAAAAGAAAGAAAGAAAAGGCATCCAAAAAGGAAAAGAAGCCAAACTATCTCTCTTTGCTGATGATATGATTCTGTACCTAAAAAACTCTAGAGTTTGCCAATTTATCCTGGAACTGATAAATGACTTCAGTCAGGACACAAAAATCAATGTAAAAATATCCATAGCATTTCTACATACCAATAAAGTTCAAGCTGAGAGACAAATCAAGAATGTAATCCAATTTGTAATAGCCACACACAAAAAAGCAAAATACTTAGGAATGCATCTAACTACAGAGATGAAAGGTGGTTACAAGGAGAACTACAAAACACTGCTGAAAAAAATCATGACACCAAATAGATGACACCAAAAAAATGGCAAAACATTCCATGCTCATGAATTGGAAAAATCAATAGCATTAAAATGGCCATACTGCCCAAAGCAATCTACAGATTCAATACCATTCCTATCAAACTACTAATGTCATTTTTCACAGCATTAGAAAAAACTATTCTAAAATTTCATATGGAACCAGAAAAGAGCCCAAACACCCAGAGCCATCCTAAGCAAAGAGAACCAAGCCTGATGCATCACATTACCCAACTTCAAACTATACTACAGTAAACAAACGCTACACTAAACAAATCAGCACGGTACTGGCACAAAAACAGACACATAGACCAATGGAACAGAACAGAGAGCCCAGAAATAAAGCCACATGCCTACAACCATTGGGTCTTTGACAAAGCCGACACAAATATGCAATGGGGAAAGGACTCCCTATTCAATAAATGGTGCTGGGATGACTGATTATCCATACACAGAAGAATGAAACTTGACCCCTAGCTATCACCACATACAAAAATTAATGAAAGCTGAATTACATTCTTAAAATAAGACCTCTAACTATAAAAATCCTACAAGAAAACCTAAGAAATACACTATTAGAAATCAGCCTCTGAAAATAATTTATGAATAAGCCCTCAAAAGCAATTGCAACAAAAGTCAAAATGAAAAATTGGGACCTAGAGGGGAGGGAGGGGAGGGAGGGGAGGGAGAGAAGGGAGAGAAGGGAGAGGAGGGAGGGGCGGGGGCCGGGCCTCCCAGCGCGGTACGCGGTGCCTTTTGAGCTCCTTGTCCACGCTCCGCCCCGGTGGGAACGGCCGCGCGCTCCCCGCAGGTGGTCATCTGCCGCCTGCCTCCGGGCCTCACCAAGGAGCAGCTGGAGGAGCAGCTGCGCCCGCTGCCAGCACACGACTACTTCGAGTTCTTCGCCGCCGACCTGAGTCTTTATCCTCATCTCTACTCAAGAGCATACATTAATTTTAGGAATCCTGATGACATCCTTCTTTTTAGAGATCGTTTTGATGGATATATCTTCCTTGACAGCAAAGATCCAGAATATAAGAAGTTTTTAGAAACCTACTGTGTGGAGGAAGAGAAGACCAGTGCCAACCCTGAGACTCTGCTGGGGGAGATGGAGGCGAAGACAAGAGAGCTCATTGCTAGAAGAACCACACCTCTTTTGGAATATATTAAAAATAGAAAATTAGAAAAGCAGAGAATTCGAGAAGAGAAGCGAGAAGAACGGAGGAGAGAGTTAGAAAATAAACGTTTGCGGGAAGAGGAAAAAAGAAGAAAAGAAGAAAGATGCAAAAAAAAAAAAAAAGAGAGAGAGAGACAGATAAACAGAAGAAAATTGCAGAGAAAGAAGTAAGGATTAAGCTTCTTAAGAAACCAGAAAAGGGAGAGGAACCAACCACAGAGAAACCAAAAGAAAGAGGAGAGGAGATTGATACTGGAGGTGGCAAGCAGGAATCCTGTGCTCCCGGTGCAGTCGTAAAAGCCAGGCCCGTGGAAGGCTCGCTGAAGGAGCCCCAGGAGACGTCACACAGCGGCAGTGATAAAGAGCACAGGGATGTGGAGAGATCTCAAGAACAAGAATCTGAATCACAAAGACACCATGTGGATGACGGCAGGAGGCACAGAGCTCACCACGAGCCTGACCGGCTTTCCAGAAGGAGTGAGGATGAGCAGAGATGGGGGAAAGGACCTGGCCAAGACAGAGGGAAGAAGGGGAGCCAGGACAGCGGGGCTCCGGGGGAGGCCATGGAGAGACTGGGAAGAGCGCAGAGGTGTGACGACAGTCCAGCACCCAGAAAAGAGCGACTGGCAAACAAGGACCGGCCAGCCTTGCAGCTGTATGATCCAGGAGCTCACTTCCGAGCGCGAGAGTGTGGCGGAAACAGGAGGATCTGCAAGGCAGAAGGTTCGGGGACTGGTCCTGAGAAGAGGGAAGAGGCAGAGTGAGTCACTGCACGCACCTGGCCTCCATGGACGAGCGAGGGCATCCCAGAAACGTGTAAATGACCCCGAGTGTGACTGGGAAGGAGAACTTATTCCTTACCAGGAAACTGGAAGCTAAAAATACAGAGGGTGACATAGAAACACGCAGAAACCATTCTAAAGAAAGTAGTGATCTTGTATTAAATTGAGCAGAATTCTCACAGATTTTACCATTCCTGTTATAAACTAGTATTTGTTGTTTAGCCAAAACAGAAAATGATTTCCACTGGACAGTAGAAAAATATGTGTAAAATAGGGAAGAAAGTTAGTATTGGATCAGTGTGAGTCCTGAAGCACTTTCAGTGCTGTGAGAACGACATCCACTTTGGGTTTCATTCGTTTGTAAGCAGAGGAGCTGTCAGTCACTCGTGCTTCTCGGTGGCCTCTGAGCCATGGTGTCGAGTGAAGAGTAGTTCTTGTTTGTTACAACCTTTGTGAGTCAGCCATGCCTGCAAAGTGTGCTGTGTTTTAGTCCTGGTAGGAATATTTATCAGAGTTCACACTATATAAAACCCAACAGCTTCAACTATTGCCCTTTCAACAGTTTTGCCACTGACCAGATAAAAATGGTTTCAGTCTTTGGATGGATGTGTTTGTGGTTTGTAACCATTACGGTTTAAATCATGATTTAAGAATTTGCCCAAATAACAGAAATTTTGTTCGGGAAGGGATAAACGAGATATAGCACACACAGCCTGTTTTTGAGTTTTAGATACTTTATTTGTAAATAACTTAAAATAGCTTTCTGAAACCGTGCATTCTGTAGTTTCTTCCTTTCAGTGAAATTGCTAAATGTGAATGTATTTTTGGCACTGCGATTTTAACCATTTATTAAGTAAAAATTTTGTTAAAGAAAAAAAAAAAGAAAGAAAAATTGGGACCTAGTTAAACAAAGGAGCTTCTGCATAGGAAAAGGAACCATTCAAGAGACTAAATAGGCAACCTAAACAATGAAAGAATGTATTTACAAGCTATGCATTGAACAAAGTTCTAATATCCAGAACCTATAAGGAACTTAAATCAACAAACAAGAATTTAAAAAAATATATAAAAGCGGGCAAAATACATTAACAGACACTTCTCCAAAAAAGACATAAAAGTGGAGAGCAAACATATGAAAAAATGCTCATCATCACTGATCATCAGAGAAAAGCAAATCAAAGCCACAATGACATACCATCTCACACCAGACATAATGGCTATTACTAGAAAGTCAAAAAATAAGCAACAACAACCCAGATTTTGGCAGAGCTGCTACAGTGAAAAGGGAATTCTAATACACTATTGGAGAAAATGGTAAATTCGTTCAGCCACTGTGGAAAGCAGTTTGGAGGTTTCTCTCACGGAACTAAAAGTAGAACTGCCATTCAACCCAGCAATCCCATTAGTTGGTTAAATATCCACTTCTCACCACCAAAAAATCATTCTACCAAAAAGACACATGCACCCAATGTTCACTGCAGCACTATTCACAACAGCAAAGATATGGAATAAAACCAGAAGCTCATCAATGATGCACTGGATTAAGAAAATGTAGCACATATACAATATGGAATACTATGCAACTATAAAAAGAACAAAATACTGCCCTTTGCAGCAACATGGATGCAGCTGGAGGCCATTATCCTAAGCAAACTGATGCAGAAACAGAAAACCAAATACTACATGTTCTCACTTATAAGTGGGAGCTAAACATTGGGTACACATGGACATAAAGATGGGAGCAATAGACAGTGGGGACTATAAGAAGGGGGACTGGGTTGGACAATGGTTGAAAAATGACATGCCAGGTACTATGCTCATTACCTGGGTGATAGGTTCAACTGCACCCTAAACCTAAGCATTATGCAATATACCTGTGTAACAAACCTGCACATGTACTCCCTGAATCTGAAAGTTAAGAAAGAGAAAGAATAAGATAAAAATAAAATGCCCTTTATAACTTGCAACAAAAAAACACCAATAACATTCTTCACAGAAATGGAAAAAACAATCCTAAAATTCATATGGAACTGCAAAAAAGCTAGACTATACAAGCCAAGCCTGAGGGAAAAGAACAGAGCTGGAGGCATCACTCCACCTGACTTCAAAATATATTACAAGGTTACAGTAACCAAAAGAGCAAGGTCTTGGTATAAAAATAGAAAATTAAACCAATGGAACAGAATAGAGAACACAGAAATAAATCCACATATTTACAGACACCTGATTTTCAACAAAAGTATCAAAAACATACATTGGGGAAAGAACCCTCTCTTCAACAAATGGGGCTGGGAAAAGTGGGTATCTGTAAAAAGAAGAATGAAACCAGGTCCCTATCTTTCACCATATACAAAAATCAACTCAAAATAGATTAAAGACTTAAACATGAGATCCAAAATTATAAAACTACTAACAAGAAAATATATGGAAAATGCTTCAGGACATTGGTCAAGGCAAAGATTTTATAGCTAAGTTATCACGGGCATATGCAAAAAAAAGCACAGGTATAAAAACAAAAATACACAAGTAAAGCTATATTAAAATTAGGTTTCTTCACAGCAAAGGAAACAATCAACAAAGTGAAGGAAACAACCAACAATTGTAGACTGGGAGAAAATATTTACAAATCTATTCATCTGAGAAAGGTCTAATATCTAGAATATGCCAGGAACTCAAACAACTCAACAGTAAAAATTGTTAATAATCCCCCCTGAAATGTGGACAAAGAATTTAAATAGACATTTCTAAAAAGAAGACATACGAATGTCCACAAATGTATGGAAAAGTACTCAACATCACTAACAGGAAAATGAAAACAAAATCCCAAATAAGATATCGTCTCACCACAGAATGGCTACTATCAAAAAAAATCAAAAAACAAAAAACAAAGAAACCAGAAGTAAAAAATCCTGGCGAGGTTGGAGAGAAAAAGAAAACTCTTATGCACTCGTGGAGGGAATGTAAACTAGTATAACCATGGAAGTTTCTTAAAAAGCTAAAAATAGAAGTGTCATATGATCCAACAATCCCACTACTATTTATCCAAAAGAAAGAAAATCAGCATATCAAAGGGATACCAGTATTCCCATGTTGATTGCAGCACTATTCACAACAACCAAGATACAGAATCAACCTAAATGTTCATCAACAGATCAATGTGGTTGATGAGTAAAGAAAATGTGGTATATGTCCACAGTGGAATACTATTCAGCCATAAAAAAAGAATAAAATCATGTCATTTACAGCATGATGAGGACATTAAGTGACACTAAGTGAAATAATTCAAGCACAGAAAAATAACTACTGTATGTTTTCACTCATGTGGGAGCTAAAATTTAAAAAAAAGTTCACGGAAGTAGAGAGTAGAACTGTGGGTATTAGAGGCTGAGAAAGGTAAAGGGGAGTAGAAGATGGGGAGAGGCTGGTTAATGGATACAAGATTACAGTTACATAGGAGGAATGAATTCTAGTGTTCTGTTGCATTGTAGGGTGAATATGGTTAACTAATTTTTTTTTTTTTTTTGAGACAGAGTCTTGCTCTGTCACCCAGGCTTGGCGTGCAGTGGTGCAATCTCAGCTCACTGCAATCTCCGCCTCCGGGGTTCAAGTCATTCTCCTGCCTCAGCCTCCCAAACAGCTGGGATTACAGGTGTGTGCCACTACACCTGGCTTGGCTAGCTAATATTTAAAAAGCTAGAGGGGAGGATTTTGAAAGTTCACAACACAAAGAAATGGTAAATGTTTGAGGTGATGGAATATATTAATTAGCCTGATTTGACCATTATGCATTGTTTACACATATCAAAATATCACTGTGTATACCATAAATATGTTCAATTATACAGGTCCACAAAAAATCTAAAGAAGCCAGGTGTGGTGTCACATTCCTGTGGTCTCAGCTACTTGGGAGGCAGAGGCAGGAAGAATTCTTGAGCCATGGAGGTCAAGGCCGGCCTGGGTAACATAATAAGACACCATGTCTAAAAAAAAATACATCAATAAAAATAAAAGCAAAATCATTCATCCTATATACAGACTATGGGTGAAACTTAGTGACTTGCTTCTAATGAACAGAAAGTGTTAAAAGTGATAACCATGTGGCTTCCAACATTAAGTTAGAAGAGGCTCTCTACCGCAGACTGCTCACCCTTGGACCCCAGCCCCCATGCTGTGAGGAAGCTTAGGCCACAAAGAGAGCCTAGGAGTTCCAATGTAGATATTTGGGCAACCTGCCCCAGCTAAAGTTCCAACCAATAGCCACCATCAGCAACAGACATCTTAGTGAACAAACCTTCAGATGATTCCAGTCCCTCAGCCTTTGATTTATCCCAAGTGAAGCTGAAGGGAGCAGAGGCAAGCTGTCCCAGCCAAGGTTTTCCCAAGCCACAGATTGGTGAACTTAACGAATGTTGTTCTTAGCCACTCAACTTTGGGTAATTTGTTAGGAAAAAATAACCAGAAAAATAAATTTAAACAAGGAGACAACAAGAAATAGAATAACATACCCAGTAGAAATTAGTCTCCTTTAAAGTAAGATCTAAAAAATGTTGAGGTTAATTTATTAATGACAAACAACTCTAATGGGAAGCAGCAGACAACCAGGAGAAGGATGTAAGAACTACTGCAGAGGAAGTTTAGAAAAAGTTCCTTTCGATTACAAATTCTGATGACTAAGCCAGTGAGGCTTTTAGAATTTGTCCCCCGAGTTATGAAATAAGGAAGATGAAGAAGGAAGGAGATATATAATTTGAAGTATAAAGTTGAAAAAACCAGAAATATTTGATTAATAACCAAAAATCAGACATTGTACCTGATTTCAATGAACTGAAATTCTAAAAGTAATAAGCAGCTTTGGATATTTATTAATCAATCTAGGATTCAATCTTCATTTCCATTTCCTCAGTGAGAAAATTAACAAAATATTATGGAATCAGTTTTAACAATCTCAGAAGTAAAAATGTAGTGTCCTTTGAGTGTTAAGCTATTAAATGCAATTTCCCCTTTACCTTACTTCAAGCTCATTTGTATGGAGAAGAGAAGAGCATCTCATCTTTATGTTGTATCAAAATGCTTCTCCATATCATAAAAATTGGCTCTGAAATTTTGAAATTCATACAACTAATTCAACCATTTGTTTCTGATAAATGCCTGGACATGACCTGATTTCCAGTTGCTGTACTCCTGGAAGTTGTTCTTTGAATGGGTTGAAGTATTTATTCAATGAATTATGTATTGAACTATAAAAGCATAGCTATGCATCTCTATTTAAGCAAAAGGAGGTAAATGCAGGGAACTCTGGTTTCTGAGAATGTAGTATCTGTGCCAAGAAGAGGATTCAGCTCCGGGAGTGTACAAGAGAACCAGGTGCTGGGTCAAAAGAGTATCTAACTGTAAACTGCAACATGATGAATTAGCTCAATTTCCAATGAGGAAAGATGACAGCCTAGACTTAATCTTGCCCTTCATAGATAGTTAAAATCTACACATGACTCTATGACTTACAATGAGTTAATAAAAACATAATGCAGTAAATAGTAGAAGGAGTCAGCATATCCTGTGACCAAGATTTGATGGAAATGGGAATGAAGAGAGAGGCACTGGGTGAGAGACAAAAGGTATGACTGGAGAAAAAAAATTAATGGGATCTGTCTTCGTAAGCCTGACTCTCATCATGTCATGGAGTCAGCAAGGCATAAGCTGGCCATACACTCCTTCAAGAAGCAAAAAGTGAAATTAAAGACATTCTACTACTTGAATTTCTATTCTTACATAAGACAACTGGTAATAAGCAACAGGACTGAAAATGAATTTTCCTAAAATGTGATTTGCTACTGGCATAAGGATAGACATAGCTCAATATATTATAACTGAGAATCCAAAAACAAACACACATTTTTATGGTCAACTGATTTTCAACAAGGGTGTAAAAAAAATTAAATGAGAAATGAATAGATTTTTCAACAAATGGTTCTGGGAAAACGGTATATCCACATGCAAAAGAATAAAGGTGGACTTCACCAAATGTCATACCTAAAAGTAACAAAATAGAACCACTAAATGTAAGAACTAAAACTATAAAATTCCTAGAAGAAAACATAGCCATAAATCTTTGTGACTGCAAAACAAACAAACAAAAAAATTAACTGGACTTCATCAAAATGTGAAACTTCTGTGCTTGAACAGAGACCATCAAGAAAGTGAAAAGGAGGCTGGGCATGGTGGCTTACACCTATAATCCCAACACTTGGGAGGCCGAGGTGGGAGGATTGCTTGAGCTCAGGAGTTCAAAACCAGCCTGGACAACATAGTGAGACCTTCTCTCTACAATTTAAAATTATATAAATTTTAAAAACATAATAAATCATAAAAAAGAAAATAAAAAGGAAAGCCATTGAAAATATTTGGAAACATATCTGATAAGGGACTTACACCTAGGGTATATAAAGAACTCTTAAAATTCAGAAATTTAGGACAACCCAATTTTAATGTGGGCAAAAGATTTGAACAGATATTTCTCCAAAGAAGATATACAAGTGGCTCATAAGCACATAAAAAGAGGCTTAAAGTCATTCATCATTAGGGAAATGTGAATCAAAACCACAATGAGGTACCACTTCATACCTCTAGGTTGGAATTCTTTTTCAATCAAAAATATGAAAAATGTTGGCAAGGATGTGGAGAAATTAGAACCCTCATACAATGCTGATGGGAACGTAAAATGGTGCAACCACTTTGGAAAGCAGACTGGCAGCTCCTCAAAAGGTTGAGCATAGTGTTACCATATGACCCAGAAATTCAACTCATATGTATATACCCAAGAGAAAGGAATACATATACAAACACAAAAACTTGTAAATAAAAGTTCACAGCAGCATGATTAATAATAGCCAAAACATGGAAACAACCCAAAGGTCCATCAACGGATGAATGGCTAAATAAATTAGTGGTATGTCCATACAGTGGAAAATTACTCAGCAATAAGATGAAATTAAATATTGATACATGTTACAACACAATGAACCTTAAAAATGTTATGCTAAGTAGAAGAAGCCAGTCACAAAAGACCACCACACATTGTGTGATCCAATTGATACGTGGTGTCCAGAATGGGCTAATCTATGGAAACAAAATAGATTGCTGATTCTTTTCAGGGTCATGAAAATGTCCTACAATTGATGATGGTGATGGTTATGCAACTCTGTGAATATATTAAGAGACCATGAATTGTACACGTTCAATGGGTAAACTGTATGGTATGAGAATTCTCTCTCAGTAAACTTGTTTTTAAAAATTCAGTGGTAGAATCTAGATATATCTCTTAATTCTCTACTTTGGATGTACATACTATACATGATTTGTAAAAAAGCACAATATATTTAAAATGAAAGGAAAATAAAGGAAGTACCTAACATTTCAAGTAGTTTGTAAATTAAAACATTTGCATTTTGGAGAACAGTACTATGGCCTTTCTGTACCAGTTATCCTGAAATTCATGAAATAAATATACACAGATTCTGTACCCATTCACAAAAGATAAGAAATAAGACAATTTTCTGGAACATTCTATTAAACATTATCCTATAATTTAATCTGGCTTGCCTCACCATGGCAATAGAGAAATCACTAAAAAAATACTACTTCACAGGAAAAAAAAAGCCTCTCAACTTCTGTGAGGAATACTGAATAATTCCCAATTTTCCTAAGGATCTTTGGAAATGATCCTTATTTTTAAAATGTATGTACTTATGAGGAGAAAAAGACAGAATGAAAGCCAGAGGTTAAGAAACAAGTGTATTATAAAGATAATTAAATTGTAATAAAATGAATTATAATAAAAATACAAAAGAAAGCTATCCACTGCAATCAGTATCCTAAAACATCTGACATTATTTCACCACCTATAGATTAACTGTTGACATGTTATGTTTCATACATACTTCACTTCTGATTTGACCCAATTTCTTCTTTGAATCCTGTGTCTCATCTAAATTAATGTGACAACGTGAGGTAGCCTCTGACGTAGGTTGTTGTTTTAGGAGATCGGTCCATTCTTGTTGGAATTCTCTCATAACTACCTGTGAAGGTATTTTTTGTTACTGATTTATAAATCACCTTATTATTAAATTATGGTAGTAAGATTTAACTCTGGCCGGGCGCGGTGGCTCACGCCTGTAATCCCAGCACTTTGGGAGGCCGAGGCGGGCGGATCACGAGGTCAGGAGATCGAGACCATCCCGGCTAAAACGGTGAAACCCCGTCTCTACTAAAAATACAAAAAATTAGCCGGGCGTAGTGGCGGGCGCCTGTAGTCCCAGCTACTTGGGAGGCTGAGGCAGGAGAATGGCGTGAACCCGGGAGGCGGAGCTTGCAGTGAGCCGAGATCCCGCCACTGCACTCCAGCCTGGGCGACAGAGCGAGACTCCGTCTCAAAAAAAAAAAAAAAAAAAAAAGATTTAACTCTAACTCATATACTTTGAAAAACATCAACACATATATGATTCGCCTTCTTTTCCTCATGTGCACACATTCTTGTTTATTACTGAATTTAGTTAAGGACAAAGAAGGTGTTATCTTCCTGCCAAATCGGTTTTCTGTTAACTTAGGCAATAGATTCAGCCCACTACTCACTCTTCCCTGAAACATCTGCAGTGCTTAACAACCTACTGAAGTCTCAAAAAGAATTTGGTACGTGGGTGGGGCTGCTGGTGGTACATCCCACACTGGTAAAATGTTTTCCCTGTTTTTTATTAGAAGCTCAAATCAACCTCAGAGTTCCTTGCATATTCAATTGCCTGCTCAGATCCTTCTAAAAGATTCCTATCTCACAATACAAGTAAAATTCCAATGGCCTTTGAGGCCCTAGGTAACCTGGCCTCTACCTCCCTCCTGATCTCAGCTCCTACAACTGTCTCACCGATTCAGTCCATTCCTGCTATATGTGAATCCTGCCACTTCTGATTAGTTTGAAAATGGGACTCAGTGCCAAACAAATAAATCACAGATAGCCACAGTTACCTTTGTACTATCAAAGTTATATCCGAATGATAGGCAGTGAGCCTTGAAATGAAAATTATGAGCAAATTCTTTGTAAAAACATTCAAAGTAAATTATAAACACCAGTGGTAAGATTAAATGTAACATGGCTTTGCTGAAATTCACATCTGTCCCAAATTATGATTTAATAAAAAGTAAATGCCTTTAGGCTGGGCACAGTGGCTCATGCCTCTAATCCCAGCACTTTGGGAGGCCAAGGCGGGCGGATCACCTGAGGTCAGGAGTTCGAGACCAGCCTTGCCAACATGGCAAAACTCCGTCTCTACTAAAAATACAAAACTTACAGAGCAAAATTCCATCTCAAAAAAAAAAAAAAAAAAAAAGTAAATGCCTTTAAAGAATTGAGAGGTCATAACAAGTAATTTGAGACTGAAATCGTCTCAGATTTAAGTCAAATTGATATGAATAAAAATAAAATTATACCAACTTAAATACATTACAAAATTACTGAAGGAAAAGTATTATGAGATACAGCAGTATACTTCAGTTCACCTGGGAAATCTGGAATTAACGGTCAAAGCAACCCTCCCCACTGAATCTTAATTTCAAAATACTCATGTCAGGTATGAGCATTTCTGTTTATCTGCTTCATCATGGTATTAAAACATGGCCACATAAAGGCATTGCAATGATCATTTCAGCAGCATAAGACTACATCATGAGTATTAGTCTGTACCTATTAACACTGTAACTGAACTTGAAATTTCATAGGTGACACAATTTCTTTATGCAAAGTAAAGCATCTTTCAGGTTTAACTTCTTTTTCACTGGTACATTTCTAGGCTGATACAGCAAGTACATTTATGATCTATACATTTTATATTCAACTAGATACAACATTTAGCCATAACCAAATATTACTTTACATTTTCTTTCAGGAAGGTTGAAAAATATTTTATCTTTCTTAATACTTACTTTTCTTCCTGCTTTCTCTTTCTCACATTGATCCATTCTTTCTTTTAAATGATTATATTCATCCATCAGCTCCTTGTTCTTCTCTTGTAGTGAAAGAATCTGCTTTTCACTCTCAGCTTGAAGATTTTTGGCAGCAGAATGAAACTGGTCTTGGATAGTACTGCTTGTCTTTTCTTGACTGTTAGCTTTCTTGTGAGCATCATCCAGTTGCTGTCGAAGCAACATATTTTCACTTTGTAGTTGAGATAATCTCTCCTCTACAGATTCCTGCTTGGCAATGTATTTCTTCAGTTTGCTTTGTTCAATTTGGTACATTTGTTCAGTTTCTTTCTTCTGACACTGTGTTTGGCTGAGGTCTCTTTGCACACGTTCCAAAATCAAACTCTCTCTTCCAAGAGCATCTCTTGTGTTATGGAGCTGAATTTGTAGGCTGTTAATTTTACTTTCAGCATTAGAAAGTTTTTCAGAAAGAATCTCATTCTTAGCTTGTAGGCCAGACATATCAACCTTCATTTTGTCATGTAAACGAACCCACTCTTGTCTTGTTCTCTGGAAATCAAGTTTTAGGTCTCTTGCTGTCTGACTTTGATCACAGTCACGTACAGCAGCAGCTAGTCTACAACGGTATGATTCCATTTCTATTTCTAGTCTTTCTTGGTTCTGTTTCCCATTCTCCAGTTCAGAATTGAGTATTTTGTTCTCAGCTGTCAGATTGTTCAGCTGTCCACTGTACTGGAGTATTGTTTCTGTTAATGTTTCCTCATTTAGTTTTATAATTTTTTGAAGGTTATCATTCTTTTCTTTCACAGCCTCAATGTCCTCAAAATATTTCTTTTCCTTTTGCTTGTTCTGATTTTTTATTGTATCTATTTCCAGTCTCAGCAAGGCAATTTCTTCCTGCAACATGCAATCTTCATGAAAGAGATCCTTTTCTTTCTGATGCCTATGAGAAATCTAAGTAAGAAAGGAAACATTCAGTAGCACTCAATAAAATGACAGATTATGATTTTCTCTGAAATTAAATAATGTATACAATGAAAAGATTGCCATAAGTGGATATCCAACTGGAAAAAAATATTCTATCGAAACTTCAAACCTCATAGAGCATAAATTCCCAAAACTTCATAAGTTTATTTGAAGACAATGAATCCATGAATGTAGAACATAAATAACTAGAGAATTTTTAAGCATCTCAGAATTGGAAAAGACGGTCTCCAAATTACAACAAACTCAAAGGCATTAAAGATTAATAAATTTGACTACATTAAAAAATTGGCTTTACACTCTGACATCTAACCTATACACCACCCTATAGTAAAAGCTGTAGCTTTGCATATATCTGGACAGAGGAAATGTTCCAACGTTCTTTAAGTTCTTTTTTTCCTGAGAATATTCTATAGCTATTTATTTTTCTAACATTTTTCTCATCAGTTATATAAGAATTACATTTATTCATAAATGCTAAATCTAAGCATTATATTAGGCTTTTTTTTTTTTTTTTTCGAGATAGGGTCTCCACTCCATCACTCAGGTTAGAGGGCAGTGACGCAATCAAGACTCACTGTAGCCTTGGCCTCCCGGGCTCAGGTGATCCTCCCACTTCAGCCTCCTGGGTAGCTGAACTAGAGGCACACACCCCCACACGCAGCTAAATGTATTTGTACTTTTTGTAGAGATGGGGTTTCGCCATGCTGCCCAGGCTGGTCTGGAACTCCTGGGCTCAAGTGATCCACCCACCTCGGCCTCCCAAAGTGTTGGGATTACAGGCGTGAGCCACTGCACCTGGCCTTGTACCAAGCACTTGTACATGTATCACTGAACTCATTTATACACAATTCTGAAAGGAGAGGTCAAAAAATATGCAAGTTGCAGGATTTTCCCTAGGTCCCCTTACTTTACTTCTAGTGCTCTTCCACCAAACCACAATTACTTCTGTGTTGTGTATATATAAATATAAAAGAGGCTTATTTCAAAACACCAGTGGTAAAAAAAGAAGTTACAGAGCTTTTCTTAGAAAATCATGAGATTATCTGTTATTACAATAACTTAAGTTTCCTCTTTATAATGTCTGAAACAGAAATAAGCATGAAACAGGGTGAAATACACTGAACTATTTTTCTTTTCTTTTTTTTTTTTTTTTGAGACGGAGTCTCGCACTGTTACCCAGGCTGGAGGGCAGTGGCCCAATTTTGGCTGACTGCAAGCTCCGCCACCCAGGGTTCACGCCATTCTCCTGCCTCAGCCTCCCGAGTAGCTGGGACTACAGGTTCCCGCCACCACGCCTGGCTAATTTTTTTTGTATTTTTAGTAGAGATGGGGTTTCACCGCGTTAGCCAGGATGGTCTTGATCTCCTGACCTCGTGATCCACCCGCCTCAGTCTCCCACACACTGAACTATTTTTCTAAGAAAAAACACTTACCAATAAATTATCACCAAGTTTATATTATGGCATATCATTGTTTTCAAAGCTCTTTGCACTGAAATGAGACGCTACTTGGAGCAAACTGTTACTCTCCTCAAAAGTAAGGGAAACGGCATCTGAAGTACGGCCTCTGAACTGGCTATACATTTCATCCTTACTACAAGTGGAAATAATAATCTAACCTCTCCATTAATATATTAGGAAGATGAAATAATGTCTGAAAACTAGAACGTCTGTTGTTAGTAGCAAGGATTTTGAGATTGTGGAAAGATCATTAATTCTATGAAAAATAACAAATGTTTCTCCTTTGGATAAGGCCACTGTGAATGTCACTACTTGACTCTTGCAAACAAATGGAGTTGAATTAAGAACATGACTTTATTCAATGAGCCAAAAATGCCAGAACCACCATCACCACCCCCAAATGTGTGTGTGTGTGTGTGTGTGTGTGTGTGTAGTTCAAAAATCCATTGTACTTTCCAAGTTGCACAGAGTTGTTTTTTAAAAATATATTCACATACAAAAATATATTTGAAAATGACTAAAGAAAATACCTCAGAATTCATTTTCTTTCGAGCCATTTCTAGTTCCTTTTGTTTACTCGTCAGAATCTGATCTTGTAATATTCTGGCATCCTGTTCTTCAGAAAGTTGCTTCTGGGCATCGTTTCTCTCCTGCACAACCTAGAGATAACATGGAGGTTTTGGTCTAATAGCACTGAAAAAGAAAATCTAAAAGGTTAAGAGCAGAGCCTCTCTTATAAAACGGTTAAAAAGAAGTAGCCTGTTAAAACACAAGAACTTTTATCCCTCAAGAATCACTCAAATCTTAATTGCATACATGACAGCTAAATCTGTCAAAGAGGAAAAACAGTTCTTAACTACGAGAAGATACAGCATTGTGAAATAAAATTTCTTTCAAAACATTTAACTAGTGTCCTTATAGTTTCAAAGCTATTTAGCCTGTATTTTAACATAAAAAATGTGTAAATGAACAGCTATATTAGTGATTAAACTCAACTTATCCTCCACTCTAAAAACACAGACTGAGCATCTATTAGATGACAAGGTTTACAGTAAATAATTTTATCTATAAATGTCATAGTTCATTCTTAAGAGGAAATAACAGTTTTGGTTTATTTTAAACCTAAATGATATACATGAAGGCAAAAAATTATAAGTAATACCGATGAAACATAAAGTTAGAAAAATGAAGTTTACACCAAAGATTAATTTACCAGATCCAAGTTATTTCTTACTGTCCTCAATTCCTTAACAAGTCTTCTCAGATTCCATTTAAGTTGTTGCTTTGTTTCAACCACTTTCCCACACTCCTCTTCTTTTATTCTTAACTGTTCACTATCTTTATTATACAACATATCGGCATTTCTTTTCTCCTCATTTTCTTGTTTTAAGGCAAGTCTGCAGTTAAACATGGATTACATTAAAATGTGTTTTGTTAAAAAATAAAAAAGTTTATTCTGTGATCTGGCTCTTCCCATGTGGGTTTATTATCCTCATAAAAACTCCTATGCTCTTGTTTCCTTTCTAGTTCTCATGTTTTTAATTTCTCACTTCGATCTCTTCCAAGGGACATATATATTTGAGAGGTAGTGAGGAAAGAAATATTCCATTAACTGGTAAGTTTCTGTTACTAGTAACCCTGGTAAATATTATGGAAAAGCATATTTGAAATTTTTCAGTAAAGTTACAAGTTGAAAATTACTTCTTTTTCACGTTATGCAAGTTGAAAATTAATTAGAACAGATCATTTAGAGTTAGCTAATTTAAAAGAAGTTACTGTTTACAAACAAGTTTAGAAATTCACTAGAAATGCATTTTCATCTTCATGAAATAGTATATGTGTAGTCATAAAAATGATTTACAGTGTAAGATAACACCTTCAGATGTCATTCACACACCATGTATCTGCAGATTACTATAATCCAAGACTAGCCTAAGCTGTCTATAACTGTTACCCCATCCTTTTTATGTTTCTCTTTTGGGTAACACTTTCAACTTATCTTCTTGATTCTTAAGTATTTCATCACCAATTTTAAAATCCCTTTTTGGAACAAGACAGGATCTAATATTTAAAAGTAAAGGATAATATGTGTTTCAACAATGAATTTGGAATTAATTTTATCTGCATATGAGAGATATGGAATAAAATAATCATCAATTACTGTCCATTTTACTTATTTCGTGCATATTTAGAATAAAACTGGGAAGTCCTAGCCAGAGCAATCAGGTAAGAGAAATAAATAAAGGGCATCCAAATTGGAAAAGACAAAGTCAAACTATCTCTGTTTTAGCTTAGAAAACCCTAAAGACTCCTAGATTTAATCAATGAAATCAGTAAAAGTCTCATGTTACAAAATCAATGTACACAAATCAGGAGCACTAGTAAACATCAAGAATGACCAATGTGAGAATCTAATCAAGAACCTAATCCCTTTTACAACAGCTGCAACAACAACAACAACAACAAAAACCTAGGAATATACTTAACCAAGGAGGTGAAAGATCTCTAAAAGGAGAATTAGAAAGCACTGCTGAAGGAAATCATAGATGACACAAACAAATGGAAATATGCCCTATGTTCATAGATTAGAAGAATCAATATAGTGAAAATGATCATATTAACCAAAGCAATCTACAGATTCCATGCAATTCCTATTAACATACCACTGTCATTCTTCACAGAATTAGAGGACGTACCCCTAAAATTCACAGGGAATCAAAAACGAGCCTGAATAGCCAAAGCAATCCCAAGCAAAAAGAACGAAGCCAGAGACATCACATTACCAGATCTAAAACCATATGACAAGGCTAAAGTAACCAAAACAGCATGGTACTTGTATAAAAGTACATACGTAGACCAATGGAACAGAATAGAGAACCTAGAAATAAAGCCAAATATGTATAACCAACTGACCTTTCACAAAGCGTACAAAGACATAAACTGGGCAAAGAACACCCTATTCAATAAATGGTGTTGGGAAAATTGAATAGCCACATGTAGAAGAATGAAACTGGATCCCTATCTCTCACCATATATAAAAATTAACTCAAGATGGATTAGGCCTAACATGTGGCTCACATCTGTAATCCCGGTACTTTGGGAGGCCAAGGCAGGAGAATGACTTGAGCCCAGAAGTTTGAGACCAGCCTGGGCAACATAATGAGACCTCATCTCTACCAAAAAAAAACAAAAAATGTATGTGTGTATATATATATATATATATATATATATATGAAACTACCTACTGAGGTACAATATGTACTACTCAGGTGATGGGCGCACTAAAATCCCAGAGTTCACCACCATACAATTCATATATATATATATATTTTTTTTTTTTGAGACAGAGTCTCGCTCTGTCACCCAGGCTGGAGTGCAGTGACACGGAGGCCAAGGTAGGAGAATCACCTGACGTCAGGAGTTCAAGACCAGCCTGACCAACATGGAGAAACCTTGTCTTACTAAAAATACAAAATTAGCCAGGCGTGGTGGCAATGCCTTTAATCACAGCTACTCAGGAGGCTGAGGCAGGAGAATAGCTTGAACCCGGGAGGCAGAGGTAGCCATGAGCCGAGATCACGCCATTATACTCCAGCCTGGGCAACAAGAGTGAAACTCTGCCTCAAAAGAAAAGAAAAGAAAAGGCTTCTGCACAGCAAAAGAAATAATCATCAGAGTAAGAGAACCTACAGAATAGGAGAAAATATTTGCAAACTATGCATCTGACAAAGGACAAACAAATCAGCAAGAAAATGCAAATAATCCCATCAAAAAGTACACAAATGACATGAACAGACATTTTTCAAAAGAAGATGCCCAAATGGCCAACAAACATATTTAAAAATGCTCAACAGCACTAACATTCACGGAAATACAAACTAAAACAACAAGGAGATATCACCTTACTCCAGCCAGCATGCTCATTATTAAAAAGTCAAAAAACAATAGATGTTGGTGCAGATGTGGTGAAAAGGAAATGCTTATACACTGCTGGTGGAAATGTAAATTAGTACAACCTCTATGAAAAACAGTAGACAGATTTCTCAAACAACTAAAATAGAGCTACCATTCAATCCAACAATCCCCTACTGGGCATCTACCCAAAGGAAAAGAAATCATTATATCAAAAAAAACACCTGCAAACGTATGTCTATTGCAGCACATTTCACAATTGCGAAGATACGGAATCAACCTAAGGGTCCATCAACCAATGAATGGAATAAATAATATGTGGTATATATATGTCATGGAGTACTACTCAGCCATAAGAAGAATGAAATAATGTCTTTTGCAGCAACTTGGAAGGGACTGGAGGCCATTATTCTAAGTGAACTAACTCAGGAATGGAAAGCCAAATAAAACCACATTCTCGCTCATAATAGGGAGTTAAGCTATAGGTGCACAAATGCAGACACAGTAGTATAATGGACATCGGAGAATCAGAAGTGGGAGAGTGTGGGAGGAGGATGAGGGATGAGAAACTACCTACTGAGGTACAATGTGTACTACTCGGGTGATAGGCACACTAAAATCCCAGACTTCACCACCATACAATTCATCCATTTAACCGAAAACCACTTGTATACCTAAAGCTATGAAATTTAAAAAAAATTTTTCAAAAAGAATAAAACTGTATAAATTTTTTGAAAATTACTTTGGGTTTAGAAAAGTGACCAGTTCATGCTCTGTTGCTTGAACTATAAATTAACACAAACATTCTTGTGAAAAATTAAGAAATATTGATCAAAGGTCTTTTTAAAAAGTTCCTATATTTCAACCAATAATTCTATATTGGAGAATTTATTCAAAGCAAACAGTTTAGGAATGTAGAAAAACATTTATATAAAAAATGTTCTGGGCTGGGCATGACGGCTCATGTCTGTCATACTAATGATTTGGGAGGCCAATTTTGCAGAAGGAATGCTTGAGGTTGGGAATTGGAGATCATCCTGAGCAACACAGTGATACCCCGTCTCTACAAAACACTTAAAAAGTTAGCCAAGCATGAGAATGTGCACCTGGAGTCCCAACTACTTAGGATGCTGAGGCAGGAGGATGGAGTTCAAGGCTGCAGGGAGGTATGATCACACCAGTGAACTCCAGTCCCAGGCACAGAGACCCTGTGTCTACAAATAATAGTAACGATAAAAGATGTTCCTTACATCATTAATTATAAATACAAGATAATTTTAAAACCCAAATTACAATTTGTTAAATGAATAACAAGATTTTATATGGTGGACTTCTATATGGCCATTTAGATTGCAAAGAATACACATTTATTTATTAGAAGAGTTCACAGTTAATAATTTGTTTTATTATTTCCAAGAATTTCATATTCCACAAGACCAAAAAGGTTTCTCCCCCATTATTCTGCAGAAGGTAAGTCAGCAGTTACAAAAATTCTGATATATTGTCTTTAGTATAAACATTTCTTTAGAACTAGAACA
This sequence comes from Homo sapiens, assembly GCF_000001405.40. Lineage (NCBI taxonomy): Eukaryota > Metazoa > Chordata > Mammalia > Primates > Hominidae > Homo > Homo sapiens. Next base: position 16,727,746 of record NC_000017.11, on the reverse strand, counting down.
TCATACCTCAAATCGTACAGCTCTTTCTCCCATTCAATTTTTTGAAGTTCTAACTGTAATTTTGTCTTTTTTGTTTCAGATAGCTCATTTTGTAGTACACTGACCATATTTTCCATTTGTTTAAGTTTTACTGTAAGTTGGTCACAGTGATTATTCTTAAGTTTCAGTAAGTGTTCACACAAACAAAATGTGTCTTGGATTCTTGGTAGGCTAGCAGAATCTGTGTCAGGGAGAAAAGGTAGAAATAAAATATATGAGTACTTTTAGGTATTAAAAAACTGTGCATTTTTAACATTGTCTCCTTCATACATTGAACAAATATGCACTGAGTGCCTACAAAGTGGGAGACATTCTACTAAGCTCTGCAGATAAAACAGATAAGACCTCTACTCTCATTTAGCCTTAAGTGAAGTGAGGAACAAACACAACAAAAATGACAATTATAAATTCAGATATGTGGTGTAAGAAAACAGAGTTCTATGATCACACAGAAGAATTTGATCTATAATGGGCCCAGGGAAGATTTCCCTGAGGAAGAGATGGCTACACTGAGAAATGAAGGGTGAGAAGGAAGCAGTTAAGCAAAGGGGTAGAAAAGCATTCTTGCCAGTCGACAGCAGGTGCTGAAGCTCTGCTGGAATCTGCTTCTGGCCACAATGGACAGCAAGTACTGATTTACCTTCTTGCCTGAAACAACCAAAAAGAAAACAGACAAAATATATTATACAATGATTTACCAGGCAGTGGACTTCAGGTAATGAAGACAATGATCCCCGTAAGACAGGAAACAAAGGAAATTCATCCAACACTCCAGCTCCCTGCCTTCACGGAGTTTCCAGGCTACCGCACAGAGAGAAAAAACTGACATAGAGTCCACCAGATTCCCTGAGATGAGATGATGAAGCTGAGAGTCTGGTAAAGCCAAGGCAGACAGAGATCACGAAACAGAACACCGGAAAGGAGACAGAGTACAGGGAAAGAACACTGAAGATTTGCAAAAATACCTCCTGAGTATCTAGCAGAGTAACAAACAGCACATGTGTGCCAGAAAACCGCCCCAGATCAAGGGGAAAAAAACATCTAAAAAACACTGGAAAGAAACATGTCTGGTGTTCACGATGTGCCAAAAAGAGTGTCCATTCCCATGAGTGATGCTGGGAAAACTGAGACTTCGCATGGCAATGAATAGAGTCATCACAAAGATCTTGCCTCAGGAGCAGGAAATTAGACCAAATCATAAAAGCAAGATCAGAAAGATCAAGCTGTTCATATGGAACTCAACTGTATATTAAAATTAAGCTCAAGCAGACAGGCAGAGGCATGGAAGATTTTTCTTTTTTTTTTATCTCTCTTTTTTTTTTTTTTTGAGACGGAGTCTCGCTGTGTCGCCCAGGCTGGAGTGCAGTGGCTTGATCTCGGCTCACTGCAAGCTCCGCCTCCCGGGTTCACGCCATTCTCCTGCCTCAGGCTCCCGAATAGCTGGGACTACAGGCGCCTGCCACCGCGCCCGGCTAATTTTTTTTTGTATTTTTAGTAGAGATGGTGTTTCACCGTGTTAGCCAGGATGGTCTCGATCTCCTGACCTCGTGATCCGCCCACCTCGGCCTCCCAAAGTGCTGGGATTACAGGCTTGAGCCACCGCGCCCGGCCGGAAGATTTTTCTTTAAAGCAAACTACACTTGTAGAGATTCAAATTACAATGTCAGGAATGAAAGCTAAAATGGATGGAAGTGAACACAGATTAGACATCACCAAAGAGAAGATTCATAAATTTGAGACATCAGTGAACTATGAGAAAACTTCAAGCAGGAATAAGTCCCCAAAGAGGGAAAAAGAGAGACAGAAAAATAAAAAAAGAATGGCCAAAACTTTCTAAATGTAAAGAAAACTATAATCCTACAAATCCAGAAGTATCTGGCTGGGAGAGAGGAAATGAAAGTATACTATTCCAATTTTCTTTTTTAAAAAATTTCAATAGCTTTTGGGGTAACAGGTGGTCCTTGGTTACATGAATAAGTTCTTTAGTGGTGGTTTCTGAGATTTTGGCGCACCCATCACCCAAGCAGCATACACTGGATCCAATCCGTAGTCTTTTGTCCCTCACCCCCCTCCCACTCTTTCCCCACAAGTCCCCAACCTCCATTGTATCATTTTTATGCCCCTGCATCCTCATAGCATAGCTCCCACTTACAAGTGAGAACATACAATGTTTGGGTTTTCATTCATAATTTTCTTATGCCATATATGATATGCCATAATATTTTTTGAAGATGGACTGTGATGTTAAAATCATATACTATAAATTGTAGTGCAACTGCTAAGATAGAAAAAAATAGTTATCGCTAATAAGCCATAAAAGGGAGATAAAAATAAATCATAAAAATTACTGGACTAACTGAGAAGAAAGCAGAAAAAGAAGAGAACAAAGAACTGGGGGGACCAGTGGAAATCAAACAGCTTGATGACAGACAAATTTCACTGTATTAATAAGCACATTATAAATGGAACTGGCCTAAAAGTCTCAATTAAAAGGCAGATTGTCAGACTGGATAAAAAGGCAAGAACCTACTCCATGCTTCCTATTAAAAAAAAGCACTTTAAATGTAAAAACATAAATTGTTCAAAAGAATGGAAAAAGATATACCAGGCTAAGAGTTGACAAAAGAAGCCTGAGAAGAAATGGCTATGTTAATACCAAAGTAGATTTCACACAAAAAAAAAAAAAAAAAAAAAAAAAAAAAAAATTACCAGCTATAAACAGTCATTTCCTAATGACTTTTAAAAGTTCAGTTAATCGGCTGGGCGCGGTGGCTCATGCCTGTAATCCTAGCACTTTGGGAGGCCGAGGCAGGTGGATCACGAGGTCAGGAGATTGAGACCATCCTGGCTAACATGGTGAAACCCCGTCTCTACTAAAAATACCAAAAAAAAAAAAAAAAAAAAAAAAAAAAAAAAAAAATTCAGTTAATCAAGAACGTGTAATCTCAACTGTTTGTGCACCTAATAACAGCTTCAAAATATATGAGGCAAAAATCAATAGACGAAATAGACAAATTCACAAGTACATCTGAGATTTGAATATCACTTACTCAATAAGTGATAAAACAAGGGAGCAGCAAATCAGCAAGAATGGAGCACACTTGAACAACACCATGCTTCTCAAGTACCCAGTGAGCACTTACCAAACAGACCACATTCTAGGTTCTGCAATCAATCTTTTTTTTTTTTTTTTTTTTTGAGACGGAGTCTCGCTCTGTCTCCCAGGCTGGAGTGCAGTGGCGGGATCTCGGCTCACTGCAAGCTCCGCCTCCCGGGTTCACGCCATTCTCCTGCCTCAGCCTGCCACCACGCCCTGCTAATTTTTTGTATTTTTAGTAGAGACAGAGTTTCAACGTATTGGTCAGGATGGTCTCGATCTCCTGACCTCGTGATCCATCCGCCTCAGCCTCCCAAAGTGCTGGGATTACAGGCGTGAGCCACTGCACCCGGCCTGCAATCAATCTTAATGAAAGAATTAAGTCAGAAAGATTTAAGTCATACAAAGTATGTTCCCTGACCACATGGCAATCAAGTCACAAATTAGTAACAAAATATCTCATCAAAATATTCAAATATTTTAAAACAAAGTAATACACATCTAAATAACCCTAGGTCAAAGACACGATGCAAAGAGAAATTAGAGAGTATTTTGAACTGAATGAAAATGAAAATATTACATATCAGGATTTGTGGAACACAGCTACAACAGTACTTAAAATTTTTTAGCACTTAATGTCTATATTAGAAGACTCTCAAGTCAATGGTCTTGACTTTTATCTTAAGAAACTAAAAAAAGAGAAGAAACTGAAAAAGAAGAAGAACAAATTAAACTCAAAGCAAGCAGAGGAAATGATACAATAAGCATCTGGTATTGTCTGACATTTGCATCCTCCCAGAACTCATATGCTGAAACTTAATCACAGAGGTGATGTTATCAGAAGGTGAGGCTTTGTGGAGGTAATTAGCTCATGGGAGCCAAGCCCTCATTAGTGGGATTAGTGCCCTTATATATATAGACCCCAGAGGGCTCATTCACCTGTTCTGCCATGTGAGGACACAGGGGGAAAAAAGAGATCTATGAACCAGGAATTGGTCACTCACCAGACACCAAATCTGCCAGCACCTAGATCTTGGACTTTTGTGAGAAATCTATTTCTGTTGTTTATAAGCTACCCAGTCTATGGTATTTTGTTATAGCAGGCGGAACAGACCAAAACATCAAAGATGAAACCAATAAAATGGAAAAACAATAGGAAAAAAATCAATAAAACCACACACTATGAGGAGGTCAATAAAAGTGATAAAACTCTAGCCAGGTTGATCATAAAAAAGAAGATGCAAATTACTAATTTCAGAAACATAGTAATATGACATTTTTATAGATTCTACAGATACTAAAAGAATAGAAATATAATAAGGTAAGCTTTATGTGACTAAACATGACAACTTTGATAAAATGGACACTTTCCTTGAAAAACAAAAATTACCAAGGTCCAATTTAAGAAGGAATAACATGAACTGTCCTATATCTATAAAAGAAAGCATAAGTAAAGCCTTCCTAGAAAGAAAACTCCAGGCCCAGATAGCTATGCTGGTGAATTCTACCAAATATTTAAGAAGCAATATAACAATTTTATATGACCTCTCCCCCGCCCTCAAAAAAAAAATAGAGGAGAAATACAACTCATTCTGTCACTCTAGCATTACCCTGAACCAAAGTCTGACAATGATATTACAAAAAGAGAAAACTCCCTCATGAACATGGACGTAAAAATGTAACCAGTTTCTCAAGAAACCAAGATATCCTCCTTTAGGTGAGTGAACAACTTCTGGTACAGCCATGCGATAATGAGCTATCATGCCATGAGAAGACATGAAGGAACCACAAAGGCATATTACCAAGTGAAAGATGCCAGTCTAAAGGCTACACGCTGTCTGATACCAACTAAATGACATTTTGGAAAAGGCAAAACCATAGACACAGTAAAAAAAGTCAGTGGTTGCCAAGAGTTGGGGAGGGAAGGTGGGAAAAGATGAACAGATGAAGCGCAAAGGAGTTTTAAAGCTCTGAAATTACTTTGAATAATACTACAATGATAAATACATGTCCTTATACTTTTGTCCAAATTCACAGAATATAAGACACCGAGACTGAACCCTAATATAAACTATGGACTTTGGATGATTATGATTATCAATTCAGGAACATCAATGAGGTCAAGTGTAGCACTCTGGTGAGGATATTGATAATTGTGGAGGCTATGCATGTGTGGGGGCAGGGAGTACAGGGATAATCTCTGTGCCTTACTTTCAATTTTGCTGTGAAGCTAAAACTACTCTAAAAAATAGTCTTTTAAAACGCTCTAAATAAAGCTTTGGCAAATCAAATCCAATGATACATTAGAAGGATAATACATCATAAACAAGTGGGGTTTATCCCTAAATACACGGTTTGTTTGACAGTAAAATATAAGTATTCACCACATTAAAAAACTAAAAGAACCATATGATCATCTCAGTAGATAGAGGCATTTGATAAAATACAACATTCATTCCTGATTTAAAAAAAAAATCCCTCTCAGTAACCAAAGAATACAAGGGAACACCATCAGCATGATAAAGAGCATCTCTGATAAACCTACAACTAACATGTGTCATGATGAAAAACTGAATGCTTTCCCTGTAAGATCGGGAACAATACAGGAATGTCTCCTTTCACTATTTTAGTCAGCATTGCACTGAAGCCAGTGCAGTTAGGAAAGAAAAGGAAATAAAAGCTACCTGAGTTGAAAAGAAGAAGTAAAACTGTCTTTATTCACAATCATGATCACATAATAGGGATGGGTAAAATCCAACCTGCGGGGCAGCTTCTTATTTTTGCAAATAAAGTTTTAATGGAATGCAGCTGTGTTTTTTAACATATGTATTGTCTATGGCTGGTCTCATACTACAATGGCAGAGTTGATTGGCTGTGACAGAGACCATTTTGTCACAAGTTTAAAATATTTACTATGTTTAGTAAGATAACAGTTTGAAAATGAAAAGGTTTGACTATCTTTGGTGTATGTAAAAAAGCTGATTGAATCGAATCTCAATTTTAAATGTTCATAAGCTACCCAGATTGGAAAAGACAGTTCACAGGTGGCAAATAAGCATATACAAGATGCTCAACATTATTAGTCCTTAGGGTAATGCACATTAAAACCATAATGATATGCATAATACACATCCATCAGAATGGCTAAAATTTCAAAATTTAAAAACAGCAATAATAAGAGCTTGTGATGATACAGAACAACAAGAAATGTCGTATACCTCTGGTTGGAATGCAAAATCAATACAAATACTTTGGAAAACAATTTAGCAGTTTCTTAATAAAGAAAGACAAAGGGACAAGAAGAGACTTTTATGGATGATGAACATGTTAACTCTCCTGATTATGGTGGTTTCAAATGTGCACACGATTGTATATTTTATATACGTGCAGTCTATCACATATCAGTTATACCTCACTGAAGCTATCAGTGCTGGAACAAACATATAAGACACAGAGTGGGACACAGAGAAAGAGAAGAGTAAAAACGATGCAGGATAAAGCTAGAGGATTCAGATCTCTAACCTTATAGCAATAAGAAGCAGTAGCTGAGTTATAAGCAAAGGAGTAACATGATCAGATCCGAATTTTTAAAAATTTATCATTATGATTGCAGACTAGACCATGGTTTTAGGAGGTGGGGTATTTGGGAAAACAGTTCTAAGATTCCTAAGATTCTCGCAGCATTCCAGGTGGAGAAAAAAATGGTAACCTGACATTGGGGGAAGGAATAGGAGAGAAAGAGTCAACAAAAAGACTGGGAATGCCACTCACACTGAGAAAAGTACAGTGGAGTTATCATAGCTCTTTGGCGTAGAGTATAAGTTAGTTCTCTATTTTAACACTGAGCGTATTTCTGAGATGAGCTTCACTATCACACGTCAGTTCTCAGCAATGTATACACACATTACTGCAGGATACATCAAAAGGCCTTGCATTTATGCAGTGGTCCTACCTTTATACTCCATTCTAAGTTGTTCAATCAGCAACATAAAATTCTCATAAACAGAGTGAGACAATTCACAATCCTCTGAGGCTATTTCAGATGGCTCCATTGAGTCAGCAAAGTCAGCCTCAGGATATATTTGGTTTTTGACCTATAAGATAAATAATACTGTTTCAAAATGTCCTCGAAAGATTTATAGCATATACTAAAGGTACAGAAGCGGTATTTCTCCATTTTTTTTGTATGAGCAAAAATACAGGTACTTCTTAAAGCAACAGATTGTTCTTAAAAGGTACCATTATCAACGGTTACTGTTTCTTCATCACTTTTTCTAAGCAAACAGCCTTACAACAAAACATCTTATTTTTTTCATTTTTACCTTTTAGAACTTGTTTTTTAAAAACAATATTTTAGATCATTTCCTTTTTTACAATACCTCGTTCTTTTCATTAGATGTTTTATCTGCAGGCCTGAAAAAAAAAAACAATTCCTTTTAGAAAAATAGCAAAGATGTAAAATACAAAGAATATCTAACACTACTGTTTTATCATATAAAATGTCTGCATTTGTGTTACTTCTATTCATCAAGTGTATAGGTAATTTTTTTACAGGTAATGTAAAATGCAGTAATTTTCTACAATGGACATTAAACTATAAACAGAAACAGCAACATTAAGGGATAAAGAAATTTACTACTACTAATTTAATTACAAAGAATTAAATTTAGGTCAAGATTTCTCATAGTAAAACCAAAAGAAAAAAACATGTTACCTGCATTACGTGATAAAAATAAATATACCAGGGTCTTCTCATTGTTGTCCTTTTCAATAAAAACAAGCTTTTACGGGCACTAAAACCTATTTGGAAAATATTACTCACATTCTTATATAAGGGAAACCCTTTTTTAATGATGATATTAGTAAGCTTTTTCTGGACTTACTATGCAGGTACTGTGCATCATTCTGAGCACTGTCCATGTGTCAAACTCATATAATCCTCATAACAATTCTGTGAGGTCAGTAACATATTAAGAATTTTATAAAGAAAGAAAATAGGCACAGAAGGGCCAAGTGACTGTCCTCAGCCCATATAGCTGGTCAGTAGCAGACCCAGAACTCAAACCTAAGAATTCTGCCTCAAAAACATGTGCTTCATGATATGCTGTGAAGGTAACATTTATTTTCAAGTGTTTTAAAGAGAGATGATAGCAGATGAACCCACATTGCCATTCCATTTCTGACTACAACTATAAATAATGTCAGAATCTTGCAATTTTTTTCTAATAAAAAAACTTTATACAGAGGCAAGTTTAGAAACCTACTTTCAAAAAACTAAAAAGTATTTTTAATGAAATCCATCAACAGGTATTCATTCATGTATTCACCCATTCATTCACCCGTTCAACAAATAAATACTCATTGAGCACACAATACATGCTGATGGCAATGTTGGTCCAGGGAAACATGGTTTTGATACTTCAGAACTTTATAATCCATTGTAGGTCAACTTGATTAAATATTTTTTAAAAAAACTTTATAGGCCAGGTGCAGTGGCTCACGCCTGTAATCTCAGCACTTTGGGAGGCCGAGGTGGATGGATCACGAGGTCAGGAGTTCAAGACCAGCTTTCCCAAGATGATGAAACCCCGTCTCTACTAAAAATACAAAAATTAGCTGGGCACGGTGGCGGGCGCCTGTAATCCCAGCTACTCAGGAGGCTGAGACAGGAGAATCGCCTGAACCTGGGAAGTGGAGGTTGCAGTGAGCTAAGATTGTGCCACTGCACTCTAGCCTGGGTGAAAGAGCAAGACTCTGTCTCAAAAAAAAAAAAAAAAACACTTTATAATCCAGAAGTAATAATCTGATAGATTGTCAACAGTTAGCTTTTCTAAAGTACTTAAACAAAACCCTCCCCTTCTCCCCAGAATCTAAACAACTATAAAGTTGATACTCCTGACATTTTAGAGTACCTCAGCAGATCATACCTATTCATCAGGGATGTTTAAATTCTATTCAGTATGGCCTAAGTGTTTGCATGTTTATTATTTCACAATTAAAAACAATCTGCATATGATAGTTTAAATTTTAGGTCACCATTCACAGGTTCAGTTATGCTAATATGTTACATTTCTGAACCAATGCTGAAGGAACAAACTCTTACCATAAAACTCTACGTGAATAAACACTTTAAGGACAATTAGTTTGCTAAAAACCTACAAAAGATAATGAATCGAGCTTTCAAACACTTAGACATACAAAATTAAATCTCATAAACATGTTATCCTTGTCCCTATCATTCCCAGCAGCATACAAACACACTCTAAAAGCTTCTATTTTGAAATAAAAAAGAAAGAAAATTCCCTTGAATCCCACATTCTTCTTCAGTTATCACTCATTTCTCTGTTGCCTTTCCCAATAACGGTTCCCTCAAGGGGTATCTATGCTTATCCACTACAGTCAGGATTCCACAGCAATTATTTATTCAAACTGCTCCTTGTCAAAGTTACCAGCCCTCATCATAATCAGTCTTTCAGCATTGATATAGTTGAGTATTCTCTAGCTTTGGCAGACTACACTATTTTCTATTTCCAGAAAAAGTAACCACTGGGAATATTCCTTCTCAGAGAAATAAAGAACTTATACATTTTAACTTCTTTCAACCTCATCTATTTCACTTAAACTGCTGTCATCATCTCCTTGCAGCAGACCACAAGTTACTAAATTACCTTCTCAAACACTGGCGTAATCAGAGATTATTTTGAGGTACATTTTTTATTTTCATTTTTCTTTACTTCCTTCATATGTAACGCAGAACCACAACTTTAAAAAATCTACAAAAGGCCAATGTTTTATAATAATTCTACTGATAACAAATAAAAAAAATTTTGTAAAATTCCAACTCTTCCCCATCTCAATTCATTAATTCAAAAAACACAGTTATGAATTATCAACATATAAAGAAATATATATTTCCTGCCTCAAAAACCAGGTAATATGCAATTATGATACAATGTGTAGTTTAAGAGTTGATATATGGAAAGTTATATTTTAGCACAAGGAAGGCATTACAGAAGAGGCAAAATATAAGAGGAGCTCACCAGGGAAAAAATAGAGAAAACTACTCCACTTGGAGAATGGAATGACAGCACAAAGATTAGTCCCATGGAGTCTAGGTGTTTCCTAGGAACTTGAAAGGAAAAGTGTAAAACACAAAGAAAGTAAGAATGGAAGATGAATGCCACACTAAAAAGCTGGAGTCAGCTGGGTGTGGTGGCTCACACCTGTAATCCCAGCACTTTGGGAGGCTGAGGCGGGCGGATCATGAGGTCAATAGATCGAGACCATCCTGGCCAACATGGTGAAACCCATCTCTACTAAAAATACAAAAATTAGCTGGGCATGGTGGCGCACCTGTAGTCCCAGCTATTCGGGAGGCTGAGGCAGAAGAATCGCTTGAACCCAGGAGCTGGAGGTTGCAGAGAGCTGAGATTGCCACTGCACTCCAGCCTGGTGACAGAGTGAGACTCTGTCACAAAGAAAAAAGAAAAGAAAAAAAAAAAAAAAAGCTGGCCGAGCGCGGTGGCTCACGCCTGTAATCCCAGCACTTTGGGAGGCCGAGGCGGGCGGATCATGAGGTCAGGAGATCGAGACCACGGTGAAACCCCGTCTCTACTAAAAATACAAAAAATTAGCCGTGTGCGGTGGTGGGTGCCTGTAGTCCCAGCTACTCGGGAGGCTGAGGCAGGAGAATGGCGGGAACCCAGGAGGCGGAGCTTGCAGTGAGCTGAGATGGTGCCACTGCACTCCAGCCTGGGCGACAGAGCGAGACTGCGTCTCAAAAAAAAAAAAAAAAAAACAGCTGGAATCCACTGCACACAGGCAATGACTCTCACACATGAAACTCATATTTAGATCTGTGCTATGTTTTGGGTTTTGTTTTTAAATATAATAATGTTTAAACAGATTAAACCAAGTCTTAAAAATAACAGGCACATATTACATGAAAGAAATCAAGGAAATGTCTCGGGAAGAAAAAAATCTTAGTGTTAAAATTCCTAAATGTCATTATAGTCATTATATATTGTTCAAAAATAGCAATATTCTGATTAATTATATGCTTGTTTGAAAATAAAATAATTTGGTAAATTTCCCACATATTTAGTCTAGTACTTAGTCTTAATATAAAAAGCTGGATTTGCCAGCAGAAAATTGTAATTACTTTTTTATGAAGTAAACACACATTATATCACTATCATTGCATGGAAGAGAAAGTGAACAAAAAAAGATTAAGGAATAAAAAAAAGAATATCACTATCATATAACTACATACATTAACAAAGAGACAAACATTTCCCACTGGAGATTAGGAGTTTAGCAGAAGTCTCTGAAAATACTAAAAACTGAAACAAAATTAATAATTGTTTTTTGTTTGTTTGTTTGCTTGTTTTTTAACTATGTAGCGAATTCTTCTGGTTAAGACTAAGCATCAAAAAAAGAGATCTTCCTGAGAGCAATTATTAAACAATTCCTCTTGACCCACACTTCCAAATTAAGTCTATAGTTCTGGAATATGAAATCATTTTCATTTTAAACATAGTTGATGGAAGGCAACTTTTAAACAGAAAACTGCAGTTTAAAGTTGTCTCAAACTTAGTAGCTACATTTGTAACAAGCAACCACCCACAGCCAGTTGTAAATACAGTCAATCATCAGTGACCATTGGCCTCTCTCACCAACCAATATCAACGTGCGCCACTTGCTTTGGAAAGACAGCCAATTAAACACAAACTCGCTCCAATCCACAAGCCTGGGAGTGTTAACCAACCCACAGCAGCCTCACTCAGATAGCCATGTTTCTCAAGATGATGTTAACCCTCTTATGCCGCTGAGAGTCTGCCAATGCTTCAAGTCCGCTCCTCCCGCAACCCTATGTAAGATCAACAGCTGCTCTGTCAGAATACAGAGTGCCTGATGAGCATAGCTCTCTTATAGAAAGCAACACATTCCAACTTGGTCTTTTAACTTCAAATACTGAAGGTTCATAATCAATTGGAAACAATTTTAAGTCCATTAAATTTACCACCCTTATATTTTAATTTTCTTTATAAATTACCAATGAACTATGTAATTCCTTTGATCCATTTTATCATAAGTAAAACTATCATGATTATTAGTAAAAGAATAAATAGTGAGTAATGACAATATTGAGCTTTTCTCTCTAAATGGAAAACTATTAATACAAAGAATGTAGCTTATTACAAAGAGCCAAAAAATCCAAAAACGCATATAATTTCCAGGCAAAAGTGTTAGAATGAACCCATGTGAAACCTTTTTCTTTCTTTCTTTTTTTTTTTTTTTACCTGAGAATCAATCTAATGTTTAAAACAATACACCGAAGGGTAAACTTCAGTTGCTCATTTAATAAATATTTATTGAGTAGCTACTTATTGCAAGCTAGGCCCTTTTCTAGGCACACAAACATCCTACTCATGGGAGTGAAATAAACACAATAACCATAGATAGATTAGGCAAAATATACAGTGTTAAAGGAGAAAAACTAAAGCAGGAAAATGAAATGTTTACAGGTTTGAGAGGAGGGATAGTGGGAATTCTAGGATGGCCAGAAAAGTCCTTACTGAGAAAGGGGCTTTTAAGTAAAGAACTGAAGGAATGGAAAAAGAAAGCCAGGAGGCTATCTGAGGAAAAGGCATCCCAGACACAGGGAACTGCCCAGTGCAGAGGTGTGCCTGGGGTGTTTAAGCAACTGTGATAGATAACGAAGAGCAAGAAGTTTAGTGTAGCTGAAGCACAGCAAAGGGAATAAGAAACAGAAGTTTAAGTGAGAGAGAGAACAGGGCATATTGTGTGTTGCCTTCTAGGTATGAGGAGGAACCCTGACACATACTCAGAGTGAAATGGGAGGCAATCAGATGGATCTGAGCAGAAGAATGACATCATCTGACTTATGTTTTAAGTGCCACTGAGTTAAGGATTAATGAAAAGAGGTTTCTTTAAAAAAAAAAAACAGACCAATTAACAGTCTATTACATGCATCTAGAGAGCAGATGGTGGTGGCTTGGAAATGGAAGATATGACTGGCTTCTGGATATATTCTTCAGGTACTCCTGACAAGATCTGCTGACAGATTAGATGTGAGGTGTCAGAGAGAGAGGGGAGTCAATGACAACACCTTAGTTTCTAGCAGAGCAACTGCAAGAGTTGCCATTAATGCAAGTAGGAAAGACCATGTGAGGGGTAGGTATGAGAAAGAATATCGGTACCCCAATCTTGGACCTGGTTTTGTGATACCCAACAGTTCGTGACCAATCAAACAGAGATGTCAAGTAGGCAGGTTGGTGTAGAAGTCTGGAATTAAGGAGAGAGATCTAGGCTGGAGACACGCATTTGGAAATCATTAGCACACACAAGGTAGTAAAAGTCATGAGAAACAAGATTGAGGACTGAGTCCTGGGACATATCAATGTGTAAAAGGTGGGATATGAGAAGAAAGCAAAACAGACTATGACAGATGGACTGGAAAGGCAGGAAGAAAAGCCAGGTGAGTGAGTGAGATCCTGAAAGCCAAGTGAAGACACTGTTATGGAGGAGAGAGTTTTCCATTGGGTCCAATATTGCTGACAGGTTAAATAAAATGAGGTCTAAGAAACAATGTCTAGATTTACAAATCAATGGTAAACTTGAGAACAACAATCTTGGAAGAGTGGTAGGAGTGAAAATTACTGGTATCAGCTCAAGAGTGAATGGACAAGAAATCTGAATCCATGAGTATATACCACTCTTTCAAGGCCAGCATACCTAGGGGCATGACTGTAGATGATCTAATTTTCTTCTTGTTTAGCTGTATTTTTCAATTCTTATATAACTATATACTATATTTTTACCCTTTAAAAGTTTTTTTAAATCATATCTATATGGCATTTTTGAAATGCCAGATGAAGGTATTAAATAAAAATTCATTAACTTATAAAACCAAAAGACCTCTTGAACATTTCTAGATTATATAAGCTGATTATCATTTTGCTCATGCTTATACATAAAGACCAAGGAAGACTAAAAGTTTCAGGAGAAGTATTTCTTGCTTGATAAAAATCATCTAATTCTAGAATATTTTATACTCATCAAATATACAAAGTAATAGTCAAAATATGGAATTCTATAACACGAATAAAAGGGGACAAGTGCAGAAAATAATCTTATTTTGTAAATCAAATTTGTCTAAATTATATGAAGCTACTGTTGAAAAATATGGTGTGTTTCCTACTGAAATACATTATCTTTTAAAAGAAAGGATAATGGCATGCATGTAGGGTACCTTTAAAAAGAGGATTCACTGCATAACAGCACCTTGGTTTTAGCACAAGGATCAACAAATTGGTGCTTGTGGAGCAAATCCAGCCCACTGCCTGTTTTCATAAGGAAATTTCCTTGAAATGCAGCCACACTTATGCCCTTTATAATTCACAAGGCCTAAAATATTTACTAACTGGCTCTTTACAAAAATAGCTGTCCAATTCTTGGTTCAGTAGAGCTAAGATCCTCTGTTGTATTTTAGTAAGTTTTACCCAGTATATTGAAAAGCTGACACGGAACATGAATCCCCATGTGCAATCCCTTGGCAATATTCAGATTAATTTGAGGATCTGGTATTTCAGCACTCACACATTGACAGCAAAAAACAAAAATTTAATAACTAGAATTCTGTTGCTAACAAGGTACAGTGTCAATGTAGCATGTAGCTAGCTTCCTTTTGTAACTCAGCAGATATTACGAGAATTCCAACAAAACTGGCTTAAGATGTGTCATCAAACTAAAGGCTTTAAATAGACTTTAATTGTGAAATAATCAGTACACTCCTGGTCTAACAACTTCTTTTGTTAAAATGAGTGCATGCTACATTATTTTCTGGGTATGACAATTGTACTATTTCCTTATTGCTAAGGATTTAGACTATCTCCAACTTCTTGATATTATAATGCTATAATAAATATCCTTATACATAAGTATATATGCAACATATATAAATATCCTTAACATAAATATATCATATATACTTAACATTATATATATTTAACCTATTAGCCTATTGTATGTTACATACTACATGTAATAAATGTCCTTAACATATATGTGTATGTGTTTACACAAGTCATATTTTCCTGTAGGATCTTGTCCCAAAAGTGAAGTTGTTAGGTTAAAGAAGTGACATATTTGAAATTTTGATACATGCTACTAAATTACCCTACAAAAAGGATTCATCAATTTCATTTAACAAGTGTATGAAAACGCCTTTTTCTTCACATTTGCCAATACTTCCGATTTTTTAAATAAAATATCAATATGATTAGAAAACATGGTGTCTCATTGTTAGTTTGCATTTTTCTGATAACCAAGGAAGGCTGAATATCCTAGTAAAAGTATAAAATCTGTTCATCATGAATATTAGCCCAAATTAGGATTCATTTCATAGCACATGTCTCCTGTTTTTTGTTTTTGTTTCTGTTTTTGCTTTTTTTTTTTGAAATGGAGTTTTACTCTTGTTGCCCAGGCTCGAGTGCAATGGCATGATCACAGCTCACCACAACCCCCGCCTCCCAGGTTCAAATGATTCTCTTGCCTCAGCCTCCTGAGTAACTGGGATTACAGGCATGCACCACTACATCTGGCTAATTTTGTATTTTTAGTAGAGATGGGGTTTATCCATGTTGGTCAGGCTGGTCTTGAACTCCTGACCTCAGGTGATTCACCCGCCTTGGCCTCCCAAATTGCTGGATTACAGGCGTGAGCCACCACGCTTGACCAATTGTCTCCTGTTAAACGCTGCTATAGGCTTACCTGTCATGCTCTCCATTTTCCTTCCTAGGAATCTGCTGATTTAGTCCATCATCATCATTGCCAACAGTAGTACCATCAGTTAGGGTTCCTGATAATTCTGTGCTATTACTTCTGTGCTTCTCCATTTCTTCTTCAACCTTGAGTGAGAGTTTGATGTTCAGGATGATTGTTATTGCTTTATTCAATACAAAGAACTTTTTTCTGTTTGCATTGATTTCATCATCACTTGACTCAGTTTAATTATAATTTCAGTCATTAAAATATTTGGTGCTTACTTTAATTTTATCACATCTGGAACTATCATCATATAATTATAATTATTATAATTTTATCATCAACATTTTTGTAAAGTCAGCTTCATTTCTGTTTCAATGAATGAGACAGAATTTTCCAAAATTTCAAGCAGGGCCCTTCTTAATTTTGTGCTTTTATTCCCAACCACCCTTTACTATGTATTATGAATTTTTACCTCATTTGACTGGCACAAACATGGAAATAAGAAGATAAAGACACAAAGCTTGTCTTCTTCTGTCTTTGCCACTTGACTTTCATATTAAACAGCCAGATTGAGAGGATACAACACTGTGGGGTTTCAGGAAAAGAAAGGAAGCTTTCCCTTTTCTGCACTAAGCTATTCTTTTCCCCCACTAACTTTTGTTTTTTTTTTTTTTTTTTTTTTCATTTGAATCCTGGGATATCAAAAAGGTGAAGGTGCTTACTGAAATACAAGTCTGCCACAACACAAAAAGCAGAGTGAAACTGCTGAGCTAGGGTGGAATTCTGGAAATGAGATGCTTCCCAAATTTCACATTCAATAGCCATAAAAGTTTATAGCTGGAGGATATACAGTATAAGAATCTACTTTAGCTCACTCTCTATAGATAACTGGGCTAAAGCCAAAAAAGATTAAAATGATTGATCCAAAGCCCCTAAAGTGCCATTACCTAGCATTTTGTGGCACCAAAAGAGACAGTACAATTCCATAATACTGAATCAGACAAATTCAGCAAATTAATCAGATAGGTTAAAAGTGTGACTTGGGTAAAATAATTTAATGCCTTAGCGGAGGGTGGGAGGCCTGCCCTAATCAATGTAGAGGACTCAGCTTTCTACTTTGGCATCATATACTAAGTGTTTGGCTGAGCATTTATGCTACTTACATGGAAAAAATATATATGCCAAAACTTACTGTACTTTATTAAGCAACATAACATAAAGGTCTGATTCAACAGAAACAGTGGAGAGTAGTTATATTAACAAATATATTAAAGTGTATATACTTGTTGTTGAAAAATATTTAAAGTGGTCATGATGCAATTCTAAGTTCCAGCAGTTTGAGTTAAACAGAAAAACCTGAAAAGCACAATAAACAGATTCATTGGCCAGGAATATTTGCTGCAGCTCTCAGGGCTGGATACTTCTTTTTTCTTTTCTTTTTTTTTTTTTTTTTAGTAAGAGATGAGGTCTCACTACGTTGCCCAGGCTGGAATGCAGCAGCTATTCACAGGCACGACCCCACTACTGATCAGCACAGGAGTTACTTATGACCTGCTCCACTTCCGACCTGGGCTGGTTCACCCTTCCTTAGCAAATCTGGTGGTGCCCCGCTCCCAGGAGGTCACCATATTGATGCCGAACTTAGTGTGAACACCTGATCGGCATAGCACACTACGGCCCAGAATGCCTGGCCTCAAATGATCCTCCTGCCTTAGGCTCCCTAGTAGCTGAGACTACAGGTGTTTGCCACCACGCCTGCTAGATACATTTTTATATCTCTTCTTAGTCATTGCTTCCTTTCTACTGTATTCCCATCTTATTGTTAGACACAACTCATCTTTAAGTCGGTAAAAGGAAAAAGCCCTCAAGCTCATCACATTTCCTTTAGCGATTTTCTTGACGCCTCTCCTGGTTCTGAAGGTCACATGATATATGGCTAAATGAGTTTCACAATCCATACGCCACTTGGAAGACTGACAGAGAGACTTAGGTCAATTAAGAAACGAAGATTATGAGAAAGTTTTCCTAAACTCCTATTACTTAGAAATCATCTGTTTCTACACACAATTACAGATTTAGACAACCAAACTGTATGCTTTTCATATGCTTTTCCTAAGTGGAAAATCAGAATGGACCAGATAATTGAGAGAAAAAACAAAGAGTGGCAGCAAGTAAAACCCTACATCTTTATGAAGTTGAACATCTTCTTTCTTCAAAGCCAGGAACTCTTCTTCTAATGTGTTGACCTCATTCTTAAACTTTTGCATGTCTTGCTGTAATTCTTCATGTAGATATACTTCTGATGTTCTGTCAGAATCTGGTGGTAAAGAACTCAGATTTTCTAATTTAGGTTTCAGGCTTTTATAGTTGTTTGTACTGCCACTGTCACTATTTTGGTTCATATTTTTTGTCATTTGCAAATCAAACTCTTGGTCTTCTTTCATTTCAACCATAACCACTTCTGGGTTCCTTGCTTTCTTAGTGCTTGCATCATTATGAAAGTTCTTATCTGTACTAAAAATATGTCCAATGCCTGGTTTGTTATCATTGTCGCAGTCTAATTTATTTTCATGTAAATGAAACTTAGAAGATGACTGGCAAACATGTTCCTGGGACCCAGAGTATGGATGATAGTATGGATGGATGATATTTTTGAGACTGGGTTCTTTTTGTTCAGGAAATGTCTCGAATACCACTGAGACAGATATTTCAGATGCATCTTCTTCCTCACAACCAGGTATGTTATTTGTCAAATTAAAGGGAATATCCTTTACATCTGTTCCTCTTGTAGAGTTATCAAGTAGTGGCTCTTCCTCAGGACAAGCCGGAATTTTGTATTTTTCATAAATTTCACCAAACCTCTGCTTTAACTCATTTATGACGAGTTTTAATTGGTTTTTCCACTCTAATTTGCCTTGTTCAATCCACATTTCCTCAGATTTTTGCACATGAGGAAGTACTGGATATATAGGTATATCCTCTCTATCGCAATCCTTAGCCATTTCTGGTTCTTGAGACGTTTTCTGCAGATGCAAAAGTGGAAGATTAATTTGCTTGTTTTATTTCTTGGGTGTCTTCTCTGTTGGGCTACATGTTTTAAAAATAGCTTTGTCCTTAAATAACAGGTATGAACAAAGAAAAATTCACAAATAATTAAAATGAAAATTTAACTGTTAAACTTCTTCATCTAGGTTTAGCTACTCCCAAATCACTGGCTTGTAACTAAGAAGTTAAAAAAAAATTGTCTTAGCTGAAAGGAGGAGAAAAATATGAACCAGCAAACTTAACTTTGTCACTGTTTGTTTGGAATAAACTTAATTCATTATGTATTAAATCTACCAAAAATGAATTAGCAGACGATTTCTAGTGTTACAAAGGCGTCCTCACTTGGAAAGTGAGCCCCTACAGTACACGTAAGTACTACATATTACTACATGTAAGTACTATATATTACTACATGTAAGTTCCATAGATTACTAACTGGAGGGTAGGCAATCTTCAAATTATTAGGAGCCCGAATCAACACCAATCAGAAAGAAAAGCAAATTCTTAAGTTTTAATTTAAATTATATACTGTAACATCATAGGGTTATATATCTAGACTATCTTCTTCAGTTCTGTTCTAATATATACTATGGTCCCCTAATAACACTTACTAAAACTTTAAAGATAATTCTTACTAAGTTTCTGCATCTAAAAAGTTAGAAAGTTATTGTTTGTACCCTAACACCAAAGATCCCATTCTGCAAGGTATGATTCCCTTAATAGGCAGTTGGGTTGATTTCATAACCCCACTCTCACTGAATGTAGACCGTGAAGTCAATGAAAGGCCACATCTTTAACCTAGGCATTAGTAACTGGCAATATAAAACTGCAAAATTTGAGCCACTGGCCATGATTACTCTTATACCATGAATCCAACTCAGTGGCCATCACTGTTAAATTGTTCATAATTTCTGCTGCTTAATAATATGTCAATAATTGACATTATCTTCTTTATCCCATAAGGATATTGTAAGAATGGAAGAGCAAACAAAATTCTGGAATGTTTGCCTCTACTCCAAGGGTAAAGATTAACTATAAGTTATGATAGATTCTAACAATATTGTGTTTTATAACTAGTTTAAATGTATTTAAAATTAAATATTAAGTAAGGATCTATTGGTTCTCAAAGGCTAGTCTGAGAGGTAATTTCATTTGGGCTAGCTTATATTATTAAAGCAAAGAAAAGAGTATTAAACCAGAAATTTAGATTTTAGTTTAAATGTTTCCACACCTGTGGCTGCTTATTTTCGCATCCTTTAAGTCTTTCTTGCTCTTCCTCTGATGTCAGCTCCGAGTCTTGTTCTGCTGCAAAATCCAAACATTCAGTTAAACTACTTAGAACAGTTAGATAAAAGACATAGTCTTTATAAAAATAGATTTTAAATTACATTTCATTTTATTTCATAAATTGAGAGTTTAAATGAAGCTTGATCTTTAGTGGAATACTTACTTCTTTAAGAAATACTTCTAATTCTCCAAAACTTCAACAAACCACTTTCTGGGAGACACTAGATGCCACCAGGTTAAAGAAATACAATCATGTTGAAGATTCACTCACAGATTCATCCACCCAACATCAATGAACAAAGCCATCACAAACAAAACAAAATTTTGGAATGCAGTAGTAATATTATCAGGCAATGCTGCATACTGTTCTCCACTTCATAATAGTACCTTATTAATGATTTCCAAAATGACTGTGGACACCTTTATTGGTGTACAACCACTTCCTAACATCTGAAATGGTTCCCTGTATTATTCTGACAAACGTATTAATATTTTCATCTTTTAAAACAGACTGCTAAAAATAAATAAATAAAATACATAAAATAAAAAACAGACTGCTAGGTGAAGTTGACCCTCATCCTCATCTTTCCCCAGGTAAACAGGTATCTAGGTATCTCCTTCCTTAGGGCTGCCCTAGAACTGATTTTTCTACTGCATCTCCACCACCCGAACTGTCAATTATTGCTTTACATGTCTATTCCCTTTGCTCCTTGACTGTAGGGAACAATCTTGAAAATCATCTTTGTACAAAGAGTCATTATCTATTTTACTCAGCAATTATGTATTGAGTCTTGCTATGTGCTAGGCACTAGGATTTAAAGAGTGAAAAGAAAGCATGTCAGAGATGACTTTTCTAGAGATCCTGCCCGAGCTGAGGCTTAAAGAGTGAGGCTAGCCTAATTAGAAGGGGTAGGGGACAGGAAAGAGTGAGAGCATGACAGGCAGCAACAAAAGGCAGAAAGAGGCCTGAAAGAGTGTATGTGTTTGCCTGCAGTCGAAGGATGGGTCAGCAGGACAGGACCAGCAGTTCAGTAAGGCCAGAGAAAGGGCACACAGGGGAAAGGGCTAAAGATGGAGAGCTGAGCAGAAGTCACATTATGAAAGCCTTACGTACAACTTTAAGATGCTTGGACATTAATGTTCTCAAGAGTGGTCCCTGGTCTTATTTGCATTGGTGATAGAACACTGTCAATGCCAAAACCAACATCCCTAGCGAACACATTTATTAACGCAAGGTGGTAGCTCATGTGGACACAGCCAAGGAGATACTATGCAGCAAATTCTCAATAAGTCTCATTAATTACTGACTTGGAAAGTCAATTCTATAATACATAAAGTCATAGAAACGATAGGAAGTCACTTAATATTTGCTTTTGGAAGGTGTTTTTTTGTTTTTGTTTTTTGAGACCGGAGTCTTCCTCTATTGCCCAGGTTGGAGTGCAGTGGCGCAATCTCGGCTCACTGCAACCTCCACCTTCTGGGTTCCAGCGATTCTCCTGCTTCAGCCTCCTGAGTAGCTGGGACTACAAGCGTTCACCACCATGCCCAGCTAGTTTTTTTTTTGTATTTTTAGTAGAGATGGGGTTTCACCATATTGGCCAGGCTGGTCTCGAACTACTGACCTCATGATCCACCCACCTCGGCCTCCTAAAGTGCTGAGATTACAGGTGTGGGAAGGTGTCTTTTAAATTGTAGTGCATATAGTTATAACTAACAGCTGTGAATTCAGAGCTGTAAAAATAAAGCAAAGAAACCACATTGTGTTTGAGTCAGCAATCTTTAGGTCTCTACTAAGTTATCCTAAATATAATCCTATGTTAGTCCCTAAACATACTTAGTCCCTATATTCTAAATATAATCCTACTTCCTAAAGAAAATCATGCTTTCCCCTAATTCTCTGTTATCTAGATGTTGCTTTGGTTAAAGGAAGAACACAAATATCCTGCCAAAAAGTATTCTGTTCAGTGCAAAAGGTGAGTAAACACAAAGCACATTTTACCAGAAAAAGTTTTTTTAAGTCAGAACTATAGCTCTATGCAGCCAAGCAGAGGCACTCTAGGACTGAATTCTCTATGCTTCTTTGTTACCTTCTTTGCTCTCTTTGTTTTCTGGTAGCTGTGATTGGCACAGGTCATGGAGAGTATCATTCCCTGAGAGAAGTACAACTCCAGTGTCCATCTTTTCTCGTTCTGTTAAGTTCATCTGTCCCAGTTCTTTGGTTGCTGACTGATTTTCAGGCATTGATGGTGATACAGATGGACATTTATCATCAACTTTCAGATTCTTGGATCTCTGACAAGTCTCATCACTAAGGGTCAAATTAGTAGGATGCCAATCTGAAAAATCCGAAAATGAAGTTTTCATTTTTAGGATGTAAATAACACAATAATTTGACTAACTTGTATACATGCTTTCTTCACAGAAACAGTCCTACATCCTGCTCTCTCCCACAACACACTATGCATTCAGGCTTATTATATTTTACATGTCCTATGCTTACAATTCATTCAGGTAAGTATAATTAACTATCATCTCTCACTTTTCTACATTTTTACTGCTTACTATTACTTACTTTTATTCACTCAGGAGTCTCTAATACATATTTTGCTTTCCATTAAGATTCTTCGTGGATATAAATCTTTTAAAACAGAATTTATGTCTAACTATTTTAAGCTTAAATATACATGACAGCATTGTATGTATGTATTGTAGAGACACAGGATTTACAAAAACTCATAATAAATATACTTTTAAAACTATTTTAATTATAATGAGATGGTCTTTCCTCAATGCACCACTATCTTCAGAATTTCCTTTCAAATACTTGGATAAACTTCATACATTTATTTGCAAAATAAGAGCTGTAAGGGCTCTAACTGTTCCCATGTGAGAACAGGATTAGTCTAGGACCACACTAGATCCAAATAGCACACAGTGCCACGAGACAGGAAAGGAATACATAACAAAAATATTTTCCTTTTTACTATATAAACAAAATTGTTGGGATGTAAAATTTTTTTTTTTTATTTTTTGAGACGGAGTCTCGCTTTGTCACCCAGGCTGGAGTGCAATGGCGCAATCTCGGCTCACTGCAAGCTCCGCCTCCCGGGTTCACACCATTCTCCTGCCTCAGCCTCCTGAGTAGCTGGGGCTACAGCCGCCTGCCACTACGCCCGGCTAATTTTTTTTTATTTTTAGTAGAGACGGGGTTTCACCGCGTTAGCCAGGATGGTCTCAATCTCCTGACCTCATGATCCGCCTGCCTTGGCCTCCCAAAGTGCTGGGATTTACAGGCGTGAGCCACCGCGCCCGGCCTGAGATTTAAATTTTTTAAGACAAGTGAAAGAAAAAAGCCAAAAACACATAAGTGAAACTTTAAAGTCCATTTCACCATAAAGGGTGCATTTATCCACAACCACATATGTGGTTTAAAATGTTGACTCTAAATTATGATCTGAGAATCCCTGGAGTTCAAGATCCAGATGAGGGGCCAAGACGTCAAATAATACAAAATGTTATTTGCCATTTTCACTCTCATTCTGTTTCACGTGTACAGTGGAGCTTTTCATAGACATGGTGTGTCATAACATCATAGCTCTAATGGTGAATGGGTCATAGTTCTAAAGGCTATTGGAATGTATGGCTGTGCGTGCTTGTGTTTTTTTGTTCGTTTGTTTGTTTTTTGAGATGGAGTCTCACTCTGTCACCCAGCCTGGAGTGCAGTGGCGCGATCTCGGCTCACTGCAAGCTCCACCTGCCGGGTTCACGCCATTCTCTGCCTCAGCGTCCCGAGTAGCTGGGACTACCGGTGCCCTCCACCACGCCCGGCTAATTTTTTGTATTTTTAGTAGAGACGGGGTTTCACCGTGTTAGCCAGGATGGTCTCGATCTCCTGACCTCGTAATCCGCCCGCCTTGGCCTCCCAAAGTGCTGGCATTACAGGCGTTAGCCACCACGCCCGGCCGCATGCTTGTTTTTAAAATATTTTAGTTTTTATTTCTAAAATAGTAAATATCAAAAGACACAACTGACTTAAATAAAAGCTCTTTGGAATTTGCAATAATTTTTCTTTATTTTAATTATTTATTTATCATTATGAAGAGACTTTGAGATCCAGTCATTTGATAGAAAACCAGAGCTTCCTGTGTCAATAAGGACTGACCTCAAAAATGTAATGTGACCAGACAAAAGAAAGTTGCAAAATATGTAGAGTGTAAAACAATTTATATACAATTTTAGGACATGAAAACAAATTCTACATATTATTTATGACCATACACATATGTAATAAAATGTTTTAAAAGGGAATGGACATAATAAATTCTTAATTCAGGGTGTTGGTTCCCTCTAGGCAATAATATTTAATCATATAAAACGAACCCCAGGCCAAAAAGTTTCAGAATCAATGTTTTAAAAGACTGTGTCCACCATATAGTTATTAAGGGTAATTAATTGCTTTCTTCATTTTTGATAATCAAAACACACACACACATGATTTGCTGACCAGAATATCTGACTGGCTTAAAATCATCAGTATAGCCACACTATGATGAAATAATTAAACTTAAAGCACAACTAACATATTGGCAAGTAAAGTTTGTCTTATCTGATAAGTTTTGGTGCTGCACGTTCACCTTATATTCTTTCCACCTTTCTAATACCCCACTCTTCTTTTGAAGTATTATCTCATTTTACCACCCTCCATCATATCCACTTGCTTCTTTTCCCTTCATTTACTCTCTGTACTCTCTGCCTTCCACATTCTTTATTCCCCCTTTTACTCTTATCCTCTTCCTTCTATCCTGACACTGCATATCTAGGGTTCAGTACTATCCACACTTCCAGGCATTCACTGGGGGTCTTGGAACATATCCCCCATGGATAAGGGGGGAAAACTGTACATTTTGTTGTGTAGGTCTATGGGTGCTGTGCTGTGTTATGTGGCAAAACATAGGGAAGAGACCAGGGACAAGGATCTTTGCAAAGACTTCTCAGCTGCCAGTGGAGAAGAGCTCAAGGGAGATCAGTGTACTCACTCTCACTAATCCTCTTCTGGGGCAGATGCTGGCAATGTTTACTGAGTTCTAGCTATTTTCCCTAGCACAAACAAGGCTCAAATTCACCTCCCATTTTACCTCCTATGGACAGAACCATTGGAAAGATCACTCCCTTAAAGAGCTTATTCACTCTGAGCCACACCGTTCATTCAGTGAGAAGCTTAAGAAGAAACACTGCCACAGTGGTGGCAGGTTGCCAGGGAGTACTACCTGGTAAGAAAAATATATATGAACAGAACTATCAGCTCACTCAAGCTGCCAGAATGTGCCAACAGTTGTTACTCTCTCTGGTGAAAACAAAATTATTTTTCATTTATTGTAAAGAAAAACACTGGCATTTCCTATGACAGAGCATTTAGTTGTAGATGAGCCATATTATAATAATATAGACTGTTTTCAAGCTCATCCCTAAAAGGAAGAGAACCAGAGAGGAACATATTTATTCACCTGTAGTGTTCACTGCCTGATCTTCTTTTTAAGTGCAAGGTAAGTATGCAAGACTTTGTGATTCTAGTTTTATAAAGTCCAGCTCCTGAGATTATCCCGTCCCATCGCTAGAGTCTATCTGGACCCATCTCCTAGAGCACAATGGTCCAGTTAGTGCTGTGGAATACTGCATGATGCCATTTTTCCCCACCCTCCCCGTTACGTGGCAAACGTCTACAGAGATCACGCTTTCTCAGCACGTCAAATCATATGCCATCAGATCCTGTTCTGATGAACACAACATGAGGAAAACAAACGCAAGGACAAAGAACATCTAAAATGACAGAATCAAATTACCATGGAACTTTATTGTTTAAATATTCAAAAAGATATCCACCACTGTTTTATTCCAACTATATGACTAGTCTGGAAAAAGCAAAACTACTGAGACACCAAAAAGACCAATGGTTGCCAGAAACCAGTGGAGAGGAAGAGACGAAACAGTGGAGGACAGAGGATATTTAGGGCAGTGAAACTATTTTGTCTGTGATACTACAAGGGTATATACATGCCATCACACATTTGTCCAACACCATAGAATGTACAACACCAAGAGTGAACCCTAACGTAGACTGTGGACCTTGGGGGTGATGTGTCTGTCAAGGTAGATTCCTCAACTGTAACTCTGATGAACTCCGATGGGGGGTACTGATAATGAGGGAGGCTATTCATATGTCAGGGGTCATGGGGAATATGGAAAATCTCTGTACCTTCTCAATTTTGCTGTGAATCTAAAACTGCTCAGAAAATAATATTATTAATTTTAAAGCACATACTCACTGAACTTGCTATTACCCTAAATTATAAAAAGACAGAGTCACCTTGAAAATTGCAAATCACTAAAGATCAAGGTAACAGAATATGAGTACTATCTCCCAAATTGAAGCATATAAAAACACATAAAGCAATTAATTTTAATTGTATACTTAGGCAAAAAAAATTCACAAAAATGATTGAATATCTGATCTTATTTCATAATTGTAAACAGGGATCTAGTACAATATGAATCAAAACTGGTCCATCCATGAAAATAAAATGAAAGATAATTTTTATTCTAATTTTAAATCAGAACTTATTATGCCTACTTTATCCCACAATTTTACTGAAAGGTTAATCAGATAAGAAGGACAGATTATAATTACTTAATATTGCCATAGTAACTTATGTACCAATACCTGTTAAGTATTCACCAAATGTCAAAACTGTAAGCAGCCTTGCTATTTAATATGAATGATGCAACTGAAACCAGTACCATGTTATGGTCTGTCATATTATTTGCTATTATATTATATAAAATTTTAAGATAACACCAAAAATTTACTCAGGGGCATAGCTGCTGGGCAGCAAAGATTTCATATAGCAGGCATGAGACACCCATCCTTAGAAAGGCTTGCTTGCAAGGCTAGTCCTTGGCTGGTGTTTGGGACCTTGAATTTGGGAGGGTTCCCAGCATTCCCTAACTTAGAAGAAGGGAGTGGCTCACTGTGCCTAAACTGTTTGTGCAAATGTGGTTTACTATGAACAATTAATTTCCTCCTGGGAGTCTAGAGTTTTGTTACATGTGAGGGAGAGGAGAGGTGGCCTATGTGACTAGCCTCCATCGAAAACATGGGTGCTGAGCCTCTAATGAAACTCTGGTAAGGTAGACAACATTGCACATGTGTCATCAAAATTTGAGGCTGGGGGAATTAAGCATATCCTGCTAGCTACACAGGAGATGACTCCTGTAGCTTGTGCCTGGCTTCCTCCAGACTTTGACACATGCACCTTTTCCTTTCTCGAATGTTGCTTTGTGTCTTTTTGCTGTATTAAATGTAATAAATCAAAGCCCCAAGTATGACTATCTGCTGAGTCCTGTGAGTCCTTCTCAGTGAATTACCAAACCTCAGTGAAGGGGGTCTTGGGAACCCCTGATACAATTGCATTATACAATTTTTTATTGTTTAAGTTGATGTGTTACATGTGACTACAATCAGAAGGTAATTTCACAGAATACCTTTCCCTAATCTGCTTATTTTTTATTTTTTGACATTTGCCTTGGAGATTCCTGTACTGCTATATCCACTGGACTAAAGGCATTAAAAATGCATGAAACTGATGTCAGAAAGTAATTTTAAAAAGCAACAATCCTATTTTAACCCAATTAAAAATAGAAAATCTTAATGACTGACAATATATTCTACAGTATAAAAGTTTCTGGAACAAAAAATTATAAGATCACAGTCAATTTTCTCCCACTAGGTAGGATTTAATTCATTTTTATAATAATTGTGCAGCAGGCCAGGTGCAGTAGCACACATCTGTTGTTCCACCTACTCAGGAGGCTGAGGCAGAACGATTGCTTGAGGCTAGGAACTAAAGCTGCAGTGTGCTATAATCACACCCGTTCAAAAAAAAAGTCCAGGCCGGGCGCGGTGGCTCACGCCTGTAATCCCAGCTACTCAGGAGGCTGAGGCAGGAGAATGGTGTGAACCCGGGAGGCGGAGCTTGCAGTGAGCCGAGATAGCGCCACTGCAGTCCCGCCTGGGTGGAAGAGCGAGACTCCGTCTCAACAACAACAACAAAAAAAGTCCAAAAAACCCTGCAAATAGTGGAACTGATCAGTAAGGATCAACAGGACTTTTAACTTATCTGGCCGGGAGAAGAGACATCTTATGTATAGATGGTTAAAAGTGTGGTAATCCAATTGACCACATATTCTAGTTAAATCACAGATTACCAATTTCTGAAGAAATGTAATACCAGAAAAGCACTTCACATTTAAACTATGTCAGATAAAACAATTTGTATTTGACAACCCAGAAGACACTTAAAATCTTGGCAGACCATCATCATTGTGTCATTGTGGTGCAGATATAAAGAAGTGCATTTGAAATGTGTTCTAATAGTATTTTCTTTAGGAATGGAATTCAAAAGGAAGCAGTAAAAGCAGAAATATCACAAGAGGGTAAATGAAAAGGGAACTGCACTAACAAAAGGAGTCAGGCACTGACTTTTCTCCTGATGTGACCAAAACCCCAAGTACTGAGAACTGCTATATTCAGCATTTCGCTTTATATTTTTCTCCAGGACATTATATTAGTTTCCTGCAATAAAATATTTTTAAAATGTCAGTTTGTCTAAACTGCTGGCCTGTAAACTATTTTTAATCAAAACCTGAAATTGTGTCACAACATGGCTGTATTATGATTCCATGTCAGAGGAAGGATATATACGTGCATCTGGTGGTGGCTTCCAGTTGTTGTTGTCAGATGTTTGTTTGGGAATGCATTCAGAAGAGCCTATCAAGGACTTGAGTACCAAACAAGCATTTCCACAAAAAAGCAGGTAAGAAAGACTACACTTTTCCTCACATATGACCTTAGGTTTAGACAATTCTAGGAAAATGGTGGTACATTAACTCACCAGTCTTGACCATTTTCCCTGATCCTGTACAGGGAGCTGCTGCAGTTACAAAAGTTAGGTAGACTCTTGGTAGGTGTATTCTTCCACATTTGAACATCAGAAGTACTGATCACATAAACAGCGAACCCCACAACTCTATGATTGTTCTTTAGAAGACAGTGCCACTGAAGGCTTTTAAAAGGTTAACTCACTTTACTTTTTAGTAATCTTACTGGTTAGAATTGATACTCCCTCCTTGAAATTCTCACCTTTGTAAATTTTTGCAACATGACTTTATGATTCCTCTCCTCTTTTTCTTTAGCCACGGCTCAGGCTTCTTTCCTAATTCCTCTGGGAAATGCTGATATGCCCAGGGTTCTGTCACTGGCCCTCTGCTCATTCTATACCTTTCCCATCATGGACAAGCTCACTCAGATCTACAACTTTGCCTCAGTTATTCCAAGTCTGCAACTCCAACCTCAGAGTTCCATCTCCAGCCATAAAAATTTTTCCAATTACCTACTGAAAATATCCCACATGGACATTTCAGTAAACTCAGCAATGCAGAGAAAACTGTTAGTCGTGACTGCTGACCTGCTGCTCTCCTCTATACACCTGAAAACTGCCTACTCCCTCGTGTCCCGGTTAAATGCTAGGGCACAAGCCAGAAACCTGAGAATCATCTGAGATTTCTCCCTATCCCCTATCTTTTTACATTCAACAGTCACTAAATCATATTAACTGTACCTCTTTTCTCCATCTGCTTTATATTTCCACTATGACACGTTTATTTTATGTTTATATTTCCTAGTTAAACATGGGCTCTTAAGAATTGGCTTTTATAGGGAAAAAACAACTATTAATGTTATTTCTTAAATGAAAAAAAAAGTTTAAGTAAAATAAATGAAAAAGGCATCATGCCAAGAAAAAGACCGACATTTTTAAATGAATAACTGAGCTCCTTAACCTTACTGATTTCACCATGGATGGGTGAAAACCTCACAACAGACTGACACTAGTCTGAGGACAGCACAAGGAAACTATAGCTCTGATAAATGCAAATGTTTCTTTTGTTTCCCTGTCTCTTTATGTGGTTATCTTCCAGCTGCTCTCCATATGAGGGGTCAGCAAACTACAGGCCATGGAGCAAATCCAGTCTGCCTTATAGTTTTGTAAATAAAGTTTTACCGGAGCTCAGTCATGTATATTTGCTTGCCTTTTTATGACTGTTTTCATACTTCAATGGTACGGTTGAGTAGGAATGACAGACCACATGAAAAAGCCCTGTACAGAAAATGCTTGCCAATCCCTGCTTTATACCATAACCAGATTGCCCTAATACTCAAATCTAATCATGTGACTCCCCACTCCAATGAGTCCCTACAGTAAACATTGCTGTCTCCCTACCCAATAGCGATTCCCTGTTCTGTCTTGCTGGAGAAACACGCATCTATTTGGATATTTATCATGCCAATAGCCCTCCCCACTCCAAAAGAAGAAATGATTATTCTAAGCTCATCATAGTAATTACATTTGCTTCCCCAGTGCCTGGTTTAGGAATGAGCATGTGGTAGGACCCAGCCAATAAAATGTTACAGGAAGTCAACTGCACCCTTCTGAGTCTTCTCCCTAACTAAAAGAAATATGTAAAGAAAAGCCACCCTTTCAGCCTTCAGATATTGTCGGTGAGACCATGATGTTTGGAGCTGTTGCTAATTAGTCAGCCATGAAAACAGACATGAACAAAACACCGTGTTATCACTGAACCATCAAAACAACTCTGGTCCCTACTGTTTTAGCCACTGTTAGTTAGGTCATCTAGTATTTATAGCCCAAAGCATTCCACCTGGTAAATTTCCCATGGCCTACAGGAAAAGTTCTACTCATTTCTTTCTTTTTTCTTTTCTTTTCTTTTTTTTTTTTTTTGAGACAGAGTCTTGCTCTGTCACCCAGGCCGGAGTGCAGTGGTGCGATCTTGGCTCACTGCAGCCTCTGCCTCCAAGGTTCAAGTGATTCTCCTGCCTCAGCCTCCTGAGTAGCTGGAACCATAGGCATGCTCCACCACGTCCAGCTAATTTTTCATGTGTATTTTTAGTAGAGACAGGTTTCACCATGTTGGCCAGGATGGTCTCGATCTCCTGACCTTGTGATCTGCCCTCCTTGGCCTCCCAAAATGCTGGGATTATAGGCATAAGCCACCATGCCCGGCCCGAGATCTACTCATTTCTGTAGTATTAAAAAGTCTGGGCAGGGAGTGGTGGCTCATATCTGTAATCCCAGCACTTGAGAGGCCAAGGTGGGTGGATCACTTGAGGTCAGGAGTTTGAGACCAGCCTGTCAAACATGCCGAAACCCTGTCTCTACTGAAAATACAAAAATCAGCTGGGCATGGTGGCTCGCGCCTGTATTCCCAGCTACCTGGGAGGCTGAGGCACGAGAATCACTTGAACTCGGGAGGCGGAGGTTGCAGTGAGCCAAGAGAACGCCACTGCACTCCAGCCTGGGTGACGGAGTGAGACTTTGTCTCAAAAAAAAGTCTGTCATGAGCTTGCCTTAGGTATTCACTTCATTCCCAACCATTCACATCTCATATGTTTTGCACTGGCAAAACTGAACTGCTCATAAACCCTGCAAAGTTCACTCAAGCATCTTACTTTTGCACTCGCTGCTCCTTCTGCCAAACACACAATCTTCTGCCCACATCATCCTTCTGCCTCTTTACCTATAAAAGTTCTACTCACTCTTCATGCTTACCTTAAATCTTACCCACTTTTTTACAGCTTTCATTCCTCACCACATAAAGTGTCTGGCACATATTTAACATAATAAATGATCACTATACGGTTCCAGAGGGCATCTAACACAGTAGTAGGCACTGAATAAATAATTCATCAAATAATTAAAGTGACAATGATAATAACAAGCTCCTGGGTTTTGTTGGTTTGTTTTTTTTCTTTTTTGAGACAGGGTCTCACTCTGTTACCCAGACACAAGTGCAGTGGCATGATCATAGCTCACTGTAGCCTCAAACAGCCAGGCTCAAGCAATCCTCCCACCTCAGCCTCCCAAGTAGCTGGAAGTACAGGCACCTGGCACCATGCCCAGCTAATGTTTTATTGTTTTTTAAAAAATTTAGTAGAGATGAGGTCTTGTCATGTTGCCCGGGCTGGTCTCGAACTTCTGGGCTCAAGTGATCCTCCCATCTCAGCCTCCCAAAGTGGTGAGATTACAGGCATGCACCACTGTGCTGGCCCCAGCAGTATTTTTAAATGTCTGTATTCTGTAACATTAGAAAAAAAATGCTTAGTACTAAAAGACATTTGATAATTATTTGTTAAGTGGACAAATGAATAAATGATTTCCTTGAAAATTCTGTTGAAAAAAACACAGAAGTTAAATAGAGAAAGCTCTATTCTATTATGAGCACCTCAAAGACCAAAACTATGTCTATTTCATGTTTGTCTCCCATAACGTGCAAAACCTAACTTAGAGAAGTTCTTTGATTAACATGTACTAAATTAAAGGTGTCCTCTTACAGTTCAGATTGTCCAATGCATTAGGCATCACATCTTGGAAGCACAGAAGCATTTTTTGTTATTGTGAAACATTTTTATACTTTCATTATAATTTGTTGAGCCTAGAGTTGGGCTATTTGAATATTTATTGTGATAATCTTTTGGCTAATGGTAACAGCATATCTTGTTCTAACAAAATTACTGTTAACATAGCAATTAACCAGCAGGTAGAAAAACACATCTTGTTCTAATGAAGTAAATATACCTCATTCGATTTCAAATTGGGGGAAAGTCAATAATAGTGACACCTTGTTGGTTTATAAGTATGTAACATGACCTGTTCTTCTCAACAAGGAATTGCTTTTCTGACTTCTGCACTCAGAAGGTCTCTTTAAAAAATAATTTCCCATTAGTATTAGTGCACATTGGGTATGTTTGGCAGGGTTTTGTTTGTGTTTTTGTTTTTTTCTGAGACAGGGTCTCACTCTGTCATCCAGGTTGTGATCATGATCACAGCTCACTACAGCCTTGACTCCCAGGCTCAAGCGATCCTCCCATCTCAGTCTCCCAAGTAGCTGGGATTACAGGTGTGCACCAAAACACCCAGCTAATTTTTTATTTGTTTTTGTAGAGATGTGGTCTCACTATGTCACCCAGGCTGGTCTGGAACTTCTGGACACAGGCGATCCTCCCACCTAGGCCTCCCAACTTGCTGGGACTACAGGTGTGGGCAGCACACCTGGCCATTTCACAGTTCTTATTGCCATTTGTTTATGGTGCCAGAAAGGTATTGCCGAGTTTCCAGTTTTGAAACTAATTTCTTTTTTTTAGTGACACAAATCACTATGTAATATAGTTAGCCTTTGAACAACACGGATTTGAACTGCAGGGGTCTACTTATGAGCAGATTTTCTCCCACCTCTACCACCTGAGACAGCGAAGACCAATCTTCCTCTTCCTCCTTCTCCTTAGCCTGCTCAACTTGAAGACTATGATGAAGAGTTATATAATGATCCACTTGCATTTAATGAACAGTAAGCGTATTTTTTCTGCCTTATGATTTTCTTAACAGTTTATTTCCCTAGCTTCCTTTATTGTAAGAATACAGCATATTAATACATATACCATACCAAACATATCTTAATTGACTGTTTATGTTATCAATAAGGCTGCTGGTCAACAGTTAGCTATTAGTAGTTACGTTCTTGGGGGAGTCAAAAGTTATACACAGATGTTTGACTGCAGAGGGAATCAAGCATCCCTAAATTCCACATTGTTAAGGGTCAATTGTGATTGATATTCATTTACTAAACATAAGTCATTTATTTTAAAAATTAAATAGAAGTTCCAATTTCATAACAAGTCTAATTCATTATAAGGTGACTATAAAGAAAACATACAACTTACTAACTCAAAAATATCTTTTTCTTGGCCGGGCGCGGTGGCTCACGCCTGTAATCCCAGCACTTTGGGAGGCCGAGGCGGATGGATCATGAGGTCAGGAGATCGAGACCATCCTGGCTAACACGGTGAAACCCCATCTCTACTAAAAATACAAAAAATTAGCCGGGCGGGGTGGCGGGCGCCTGTAGTCCCAGCTACTCCGCAGGCTGAGGCAAGAGAATGGCGTGAACCAGGGGGTGGAGCCTGCAGTGAGCCGAGATCGCACCACTGCACTCCAGCCTGGGCGACAGCGAGACTCCGTCTCAAAAAAAAAACAAAAAAAAACACTTTTTCTTATTTATACAAAAATATCACATAGGATTTTAGGGACCATAATTAATTTTTTTTCAGACCAGATTGTTTGAAAAAATAAATGACCTACAATTAACTTTTTAAATAATTGTGACATCTAACCTACCAAGAAATCTAACCTATCAAGAAAGAAATAAAGATTTTTTAAAACTGCTCTTTCATGATCAAAACTTCCTTACTCTTACTTCTTTTTTACCTATGGTAGGACCACCAAAAATAATTCACTATCAGAAGTCTTACCTGGATTGTTATTTTGAGGAAGACTTTCAGGTGTCTGTTTTTCCTTATATTCAGGAACTAGTTGCTGAATGCTATGGATAAAAATGTAATAAATGAAATTACTATTTTAAAACAAATGAAAAATACCAAATATATTAAATTTTTAGAGTATTTCAAACAATATCAGAGTTAATATCAGAACTTTAATTATCCCATATACTTCAATTTGTGAGTTCTACCAACTTCTCTTTAAGCTTCTGAAGAAGAAAAAAAGATGAAGTACTCATGAATTGAAGGGAGTATAGCTCAGTAAATTAACTCACATTAGCTTGGCATAATGGAAAGCGTCCTAGCTCTATTACCAGCAGCTATTTATTCTCTGACAAGTTGCTTCTCTTAGGCTCAATGTATTCTTCTAAAAAGCAAGGATTTTACTGCCTTATTTCACTAGGTTGTTAAAGATTTAACAAGAAAACGTTTTGTAAATGCTCAGAGAAACAGTGAAGCAATGAAATAATTTGTTCTTGAGCTTTATTGAGGAAATGGTTTTGGAATCACAAATAAAACCCAATGTGTATTTTTCCAGAGGTTCTAATATTCAAATGTTGCAGTTTTCCAAAACTGTTATTAAGTTCTAGTTTTATTAGTTCTATTCTTTGTGGCTTATAATTTGGGGCATCACAGCTAGTTCATAGTTTGTAACTAAATTTACTTATAAATATATTATTTCATCAAACTAGATAACAACACTGTCCACTATTACTGAGCTCATCAATCACGCCAAGGGGAGAAAGCTAATAGATGTCAAGACCTAGCTTGGACTACTGTTCCATACAGACTCAAACTCTGAATCGGCAGATCTTTGTTAGAAGGATGCTCAATCCCCATGTTCATCTCCAACTGACATGGAAAACAAAATGCTACTTTTCTTTTTCAGTTCCATGAAAGACATGCAAGTTGACATTCTCTCATTTCTGAGATACATACTGACAATATATTTGCACACAACATCCCACGTGTTACTCAGCTCCATTGATCACCTTACTGCATATTTTTGTAGTGAAAAATCACAATTTTAATATTAGGTGATACCCAGTTTGCTTTGACTCACACTGTCTTTGGAACTAGTCAGCAAATAGTCAAATGAACTTCTAGTGACTGCGCAAAATATGGACCACTTCAAAAATCTGTGCATCATCCTTATGCAGGCAGGGGCCATGCTAATTTCTCTCCATTTTGTTCCAATTTCAGTATATGTTTGCTGCTGAAGCAAGTTTTGTTTGTTTGTTTGTTTGTTTGTTTGTTTTAGACTGAGTCTCGCTCTGTCACCCAGGCTGGAGTGCAGTGGCGCGATCTCGGCTCACTGCAAGCTCCGCCTCCTGGGTTCATGCCATTCTCCAGCCTTAGCCTCCTGAGTAGCTGGGACTACAGGCGCCCACCACCACGCCCGGCTATTTTTTTTTTGTATTTTTTAGTAGTGACGGGGTTTCACCGTGTTAGCCAGGATGCTCTCAATCACCTGACCTCGTGATCCGCCCACCTTAGCCTCCCAAATTGCTGGGATTACAGGCATGAGCCACTGCACCCTGCCAAAGCTCTCATTTTATACATGGATATTCATGAGTCATGGATGAGACTTAGCTCTGTTAAATCCAACTAACATACTTGAGACTCAGAATTCTGGTGATGGCTTCCTGCCACAAATCTGGGAAAGGATAATATGGGACATTCCACGATCTAAGAAAAGGGTCCTCAGCATACAGATCTGGTAGCAATGAAAAAAGGAAACTCCTCTCTTTCTGCAACATTATTTGAACTGAACCCCGAGGGCCTAAAGGATAATTTATCATGAAGGTCTTAGCTAAGTCTAGGCTGAGACAAAAGCATAACAGGCGGGGTTTCACCATGTTGGTCAGCCTGGTCTCGAACTTCTGACCTCGTGATCTGCCCTCCTCGGCCTCCCAAAGTGCTGGGATTACAGGCATGAGCCACCGAGCTCGGCCAACATGAAGTTCTTAAGGATGGAAGGAACCTGAGCGACAGTAGAATATGTCTGCTGTATAATAGGTATTCAGCTTATGTTTGATGAATAAATTGAGAAAATGGATAAACACAGTTGGGAAGTGCAATATTTTTAAAGAAAACTCCTGTAAAGTAGACCAACACTTTTGCAATAGTAATAATCCTTTATATTTGATCCCGTCTCACTAAGAGGCCTGGGCCCCTGACCCCTCTGACGTTTCCCCATCCCGGGTGCCGTGGGGCCTGCGGGCACCAGAAAGCCAGTGTCCCCGACAGGACGGCGCATCCTTCGCCTGGCCATTACCTCTTCTTCCTATCCCTCTTGTCCACGCCAGTGTCTCCAGGAGCTAAGATGTGCTCCACCCCAGGGACGTCGCCCGACCGGGCAGCTCTGTGGAGCTCGCCAAGATCTTCCAGGCGGACGTCGTGCTGGGGCTGGTCTAAGGCGCCCTCACCGTGCTTGCTCTCGCTGCCGACGCTGTTTTTCCACCAGCTGTAGGGGAAGCCCGAGGACCACTGGTCCCCCGGGTAGCCCAAGTACCACTGGTCCCCCTGGCTCCCGACGCTAGGGGTCTTCCTCGTGGCGTAGACTGCCGGCTTCGGAGACCCCTCAGCCCCTCCCCGCTTTTCTCCACCCCAGGAGGCCATCAGTAGCGAGCTACTGCCTCGGCCACAACCTCCCAGCAGGATAGCCCGCGGTTTCCAATCTGCGAAAGGAGGACCGCCAAGCCAGAAATGCCAAGCCAAGCGATCACTGCCACGCCAAGCCAAGCGACCACCGCCAAGCCAACAGCCACCGCAAAGCCTCGTGGGTAAGGCCAAGCCAATCCGTTACAGACCAGTGCGCCTGCCCACCTGTGACATCACGGAACCTGTGACTTCACTGCATCTGCAGCTCCAGCCTCCCAGAAAAAGACTCCTTGGCCTGCAGGTGGCGCTGCAGCTCCAGCCTCCCAGAAAAAGACTCCTTGGCCTGCAGGTGGCGCTGCAGCTCCAGCCTCCCAGAAAAAGACTCCTTGGCCTGCAGGTGGCGCTGCAGCTCCAGCGCCAACCTGGGCTGGCTGGTCCTCCCTCGGAGGTTTCGGGGTGGCGGTGCCCAGCCTGCCTGTCATGAGTGCCGCTTCACAGCGCCGCCGGCGCACCTGCTCCTAGGCTTGCTCGGTTCAGGGGTACGGGTCAGTTCCGCCCCCGGCTTGGCCACTGCAGCAAAGTTGCCCTAGGGTCCGCGCTGCCAGGACGCAAGCGGAGTCAGATGGCTGGGTCAGAGCGGCCTGTCAGCCCGGCTGGAAGGGCCTGCCCGACGCCGCTGCCCGCCCAGCTCCTACTCGGCCTGCGCCTGGAGCCAGGGACCAGCTCTGGGCATTCTGCTGCCTTAGGATGGGGCCAAGCAGCCGCTCCCCGCCGTGTGCCGCAGCCGCTGCGCGCATCTGCCCAGGGTCCGTGCAGCTGGCGACCCGGGCGGGTCGGGGAACGCCTGGTGCCACCAGGATTGCTCGCCTCTAGTCCGTCCTGACCCTTCAGCCCGCGAGCACCAGTGAGATTGAAGAAAAGTGACGGCCAGGCGCGGTGGCTCACACCTGTAATCCCAGCACTTTGGGAGGTTGAGGCGGGCAGATCACTTGAGGTCAGGAGTTTGAGGCCAGCCTGGCCAACATGGTGAAACCCTCTCTACTAAAAATACAAAAATTAGTTGGGCGTGGTGGCGCGTGCCTGTAGTCCCAGCTACTCCAGAGGCTGAGACAGGAGAATCTCTTGAACCCGGGAGGTGAACGTTGCAGTGAGCTGATATCGTGCCACCAAACTCCAGCCTGGGCGACAGAGCAAGACTCCGTCTCAAAAAAAGAAAGAAAAGAAGGAAGGAGAGAACGAAGCAAAGAGAAGGAAAGAAGGAAGGAAGAAAGGAAGAAAGAAAGGAAGGAAGGGTGACAAAGGAGAATCTAGAGAGCACTCAAATACTAATTCTTGAGGACAATTAAGACAGATAGCATTATGAAAAACAGATTTTGTCACTGAAGCCTCAGGGCTTCAGCCTAGATCCTGCGCTGCTCACCCACAGAAAGCCAATCACTGAGATGAGTATTGCAAAGGAAGAAGGCTTTAATCAGATGCTGCAGCCGAGGAGATGGGAGCTCAGTCTCAAATCCCTCTCTCTGACCAACTAAAATTAGGGATTTTTAGTATAGCAAAGAAGAAATGTAACTATGTATAAGAAAACATGAACTAGAAAGGCGTAAGGAAGCAATCATTTACAAAATATCTGTGGCCGGGCGCAGTGGCTCCCACCTGTAATCCCAACACTTTGGGAGGCAGAGGCAGGTAGATCATGAGGTCAAGAGATCAAGACCATCCTGGCTAACATGGTGACCCCTTGTTCTCTACTAAAAATACAAAAATTAGTTGGGCGTGCTGGCACGTGCCTGTAGTCCCAGCTACTCGGGAGGCTGAGACAAAAGAATCGCTTGAACCCAGGAGGTGGAGGTTGCAGTGAGTCAAGATCATGCCACTGTACTCCAGCCTGGCGACAGGGCTAGACTCCATCTCAAAAAAAAAAAAAAAAAAAAAAACAGAAAAAGAAAAAAAGTATCACCCTGCCTCCTCAATCTTGGCATAATTCCCCCTATGAGTGGTTTCTGGGGTCTCAGTTGGCATTTAGTCACACGTATGACATTGCACATATCGTGTGCACATCTGCACAGCTCAGCAGTGTCCTGGGTAGGCCTTGAAGGGTGATCTTCACGTAAGCCTGTGGCCTGAGCAAGAAAGCTGCACACGGGCAGCGGAGGAACCAGCAGGAGCCCAGTCCTCTGTGGAAAATTCCAGCACCACCCGCAAGAGCAGCTGCAGTGGAGACTGTGACCTGACAAGGATATATGCATGAAGATGCTGGTCTGAAAACAGACTCAGTTTAAGGGTGGCACTTTGAAAAAATATTGATACATGTCAGTGAGAAAAAAATAATTAGAAACAAAATATATTTATTAGAAATATTACAGTCATTTATCATACACTTTCCTATGAATAGTTAAATACATCTAATTAGCATGTCATATCCAAAAGTGCTGGGTACAATCTAGTGTGCTCTTTATAGACACAAGGCCACAGATGTATCAACTACACTCAACTAATGTAGTTAAAGTTAGTGTGCTAAAAAAAAAATTAGTGTGCTACTCAGGATGCTACAGATTTAGCAAAACTCTAACCTGGATCAGAGGAATGAAATGCCCCGTGAATTGAGGCAACTGTAGATATTCAAAATGCTTCTAAAAAGGCTGTGAGGTTATGTCCTTTACTGCATGTCATTGGTAGGGCATCTCAAAATGGCACTCGAGCTTTGGAAGAATGAGAACTATTGCTGGATTTGACAGTGGGTCTGCATCTATGGGCCCGAGTCCTCCATCTCCACAAGCCGCCCCTCAGTGGGGAAGAGGAGGGGGAGACTAAGGGAGTCTCCGTAATGTTCGTGGGCAGCAGGGAAGAGAACATGGCAGAGATTCCTCACCGCTGGAGGGCTTGTCCCCTGGGTATGTGTGTTTTTGTTTAATACCCACTGGCATCTACTTGGGTTGGTCTCTACAAAAGCTGTAAAAAAACAAATGAATGAAAAAGGAAAACAAAAGACTAATATTGTTTTTGAAATGAAAGGGGCTAGGACAAGAGAAATTCCTGAGAATGTTATCCCTGCGGGGGGCGGCGGGGGAGGGGGATGGGCTACCATCAGACAAGGAAAATTCAATCCCTGTTCAGTGCAGAGAACAGCGACTTCTCACCTTGAAAAACTCCCCCACTCTACTGAGGCTTGCATTTTGCAGCTGTCTTTCATGTAAAAATTATACATAAAAAAAGGATCTTCAGAACAACCAAAGAATTTTAAATGACTACATACTGACTGAGGGAAGATGGAAAGAAACCTGGCTGTTGTGGCCTCTGAAAGCCTCAGGACAGAAACCGGGAATGGCACACTCTGCTGAGTATAGAAAATGTAAGATGCTGACCTTGTTTTCCCAGTTTACCAACTTTCCACCTTCACCTGGTGCTCTGAGTTCTGTTAAAAACAGACCTAAAAACCCTACCCCTTGGCCTAGCTGGGGTGAGGACTGCCTCCCCCAGGTCCTGCACCTCCACACGCCAGCGGATGGCCTGGGGGAGCCTACTAGCTGCTGTGCTAGAAGGCCTATTCCTGCATCCCTGAGGCCATCAGTCACAGTTCCAGGACCCCAGCAGAACCTTCCCTTCCCTGAAACACCGCCTGTATTTCTTTTCTTTGTGTGTGTGTGTGTGTGTGTGTGTGTGTGTGTGTGTGTTTGTGTGTGTGACAGAGGCAGAGGTTGCAGTGAGCCAAGATTATACCACTCCAGCCTGGGCGACGGAGTGAGATGCTCTCTCAAAAAAAAAACAATTTTTTTTTGTGGAGTCAGAGGTCTTGCCATGTTGCCCAGGCTGGTCCCGAACTCCTGGGCTCAAGCAATCCTCCCATCTCAGCCTCCCAAAGTGCTGGGATTACAGGCATAAGCCACCATACCTGACCACCATGTGTACTTCTAGGGACAGGATATAGCATTCCTCTTCTATATGCACACCCACTGGCAACAAAAAAAATGGTAGTCGGGGAAACTCCTTGAGTTATAAAAATAAATTGCACATGGCCTTTCATGTTTCTTTCCTTCTTTTTAACCTAAAGAGAGCAGGATACAGACAAAAATGGAGAGTTTGGCCACAGTCACTGGCAACTTGGGCTCCCATTGGAGAGGGGCTGGTATGGTGCCAGCATGGAGGGAGGGAAATTGCAACACCATTGCCCAGAGCTGGTTCTAGATGGTTTGCACATAATTACTAAAAACAGAGCCAATCACAGGCCAGGTGTGGTGGCTCACCCCTGAGTGAGCTGAAATCGCGCCACTGGCACTCCAGCCTGAGCAACAGAGCAAAACTCTGTCTCAAAAAAAAAAAAAAAAAAAAACAAAAAAAACAGCCGGGCTCGGTGGCTCATGCCCATAATCCCAGCACTTTGGGAGGCTGAGGCAGGTGGATTATCTGAGGTCAGGAGTTCGAGACCAGCAGGAGCAACATGATGAAACCCTCTCTCTACTAAAAATACAAAAAAAAAAAAAAAATAGCCAGATGTGGTGGTGGGCGCCTGTAATTCCAGCTACTTGGGAGGCTGAGGCAGCAGAATCACTTAAACAAAGGAGGCGGAGGTTGCAGTGAGCTGAGACGGCACCATTCCACTCCCGCCTGGGCAATAAGAATGAAACTCCGTCTCAAAATAAATAAGTAAAAATAAAAATAAAAAACAGAACCAATCACAGAAAACACTCCCACTCCCCCCGTAAAATCAGGAACAAGGCAAGGATTCCCTTTTTCATTTGTCCTATTTAAAACTGTACTGGACTGTAATCCCAGCACTTTGGGAGGCCGAGGCAGGTGGATCACCTGAGGTCAGGAGTTCAAGACCGGCCTGGCAAACATGTTGAAACTCCGTCTCTACTAAAAATACAAAAAAATTAGCCAGGCGTGGTAGCAGGTACCTGTAATCCCAGTTACTCAGGAGGCTGAGGCAGGAGAATCACTTGAACCCAGGAGGCGGAGTTTGCAGTGAGCCGAGACCACGCCATTTGCACTCCAGTCTGGGTGACAGAGCAAGACTATCTCAAAAACAAAACCAAAAACAACAACAACAAAAAACGGCGTTGGAAGTTCTAGCTAGTGCAAAAAGGCATGGAAAAGAAATAAATGACATAAAACAAATGTAATCCCAGCACTTTGAGAGGCCAAGGCAGGTGGATTGTTTGAGGTCAAGAGTTCAAGACCAGCCTGGGTAACATGACAAAACCCCATCGCTACCAAAAACACAAAAACCAGCCAGGTGTGGTGGCATATGCCCGCAATCCCAGATACTTGGGAGGCTGAGGCATGAGAATCACTTGAACCCAGAAGGCAGAGGTTGCAATGAGATCACGCCATAGCCTGGGGTGACAGAGTAAGACCTGTCTCAAAAACCAAACCAAACCAAACCAAAAAAATGTATTACTTGTATGATAAGGAAAAGAATCAAATGCATGTACATGGGTGGGTTTGTTTTGTTTTTTTGTGACAGGGTCTCGCTCTGTCGCCCAGGCTAGAGTGCAGTGGTACAATCTTGGCTCACTGCAACCTCGACCTCCCCAGCTCAAGTCATCCTCCCACCTCAGCGTCCTGAGTAACTAGACTACAGGCATGCACCACTACACCTGGCTAATTTTTTATTTTTTCTAGAAACAGAGTCTCACCATGTTAACCAGGCTGGTCTCAAACTTCTCGGCTGAAGTAGTCAGCTCATTTGGGCCTCCTAAATTGCTGGGTTACAGATGTGGACCACTGAGCCCAGTCTCAAATTTTTTTTTTTTTTTTTAGATGGAGTCTTAGAGTCTCATATCGTTGCTCAGGCTGGAGTGCACTGGCGTGATCTCAGCTCACTGCAACTTCAGCCTCCCAGGTCAAGTGATTCTCCTGCCTCAGGCTCCCGAGTAGCTGGGACCACAGGCGCACACCACCACGCCTGGCTAATTTTTGTACTCTTTAATAGAGATGGGGCTTCACCATACTGGCCAGGCTGGTCTTGAACTCCTGACCCCGTGATCCATCCACCTCAGCCTCCCAAAGTGCTGGGACTACAGGCGTGAGCCACCGCGCCCAGCCTCAAATATGTTTTAATATATATTATGATATTAACTTCATGGAAATTGTTATGTCATTAAACCACTTACATAAACCATTAATCTCTAGTAAACTTAGCTTATTTGGTCACAATAGCCATGGGACATGAACATTTAAGATACTCGCCCACTGAATGTCCATCCCCTGGGTCAGCCTCTCCAGTGCCACGAAGTCCTCTTTGTTGATCACCTCTTTCCCTGCACTTGTCTTCCACCCATTTTTCTTCCAACCTTGAACCCAGTTAGTTATACCATTTATCGTAAACATACTGTCTGTATACAGAACCAGTTTATTGATTTTCTGAGTCTGTGCTTGTTCAATGGCCTTGCAGGCTGCATGAATTTCCGCTCTTTGGTTTGTCTGCCACCCAGGAAGTCTAATGCCTACAGTTAAAGGATAGCCCGGCCCCCAGTAAACGCGGATTCCTGCTCGTGGCTTTCTACGCCCATTACTGGAGCAGCAGCCATCAGCGTAGACGACGACGAAGTCTCCCATGTAGGAAAACGTGTCTCTGCTAACTGGAGGCGCCGGCTTCACGCTCGGCTTCACGCTCGGCTTCACGCTCGGCTTCATGTGCTTGCATATGGCTCTGCGCTTTCATCTCCATCTCCATCCAGTGGCTCACGGAGTCGCTTGCTGGCTTTCGTCTCCGATTCTTGTCCATGTTGATTTTCCTGCCCTTCTGAAACTTCCGGGCTTGCAGATTTCCTGACAAAGTCCCAGGCCTCATCCTCTGTGGCAAACTTCTTAAATCTGGCAGCAGGAAACCGGTCCACCTGTGCTTTGCACTCATTCCCGGTCAGAAAGACCGCGGACTTGCCGCCCCTCCTCACGGCATAGAACATCCCGAACCCGCGAGAGCGGCGGCAGGGCAAGGCGGCCAAGGCGACTCTGCCGCCAGGGACAGAAGCCGGCTCATCGCTCACTCCCGGCACCAGGAAGCATTTTGACTCCCAAGAACCACTAATTTTACAAAGAGAGTTGTCCTAAACTGTGACAAGTTTTCCAGTACTTAATTCTTTTTACAATTCATTCGTTTTTTAAATGACAAATAAAATTGTATATATGTTGTGTAAAACCTGTTTAGAAATAGGTAGATGGTGGAATGATTACATTGCGCTCAGGAACATATGCATACTTACTTTTTGTGGTGAGAACCCTTCTTGATTTTCAAGAATACAATACATTAACTGCAGTCACCATGTTGTGCAATGTATCTCTTAAACTTATTCCTCCTGTCTAACTACACTTTTGAATGATTTCACCGTCTCCCCAAACCCCTGCCTTCCACCCCTGGTAACCTCCATTCTACTCTCTGCTTCTGTGAGTAGAAGCAGGAGGCTGGAGAATTGCTTGAACTCAGGAGGCAGAGGTTGCAGTGAGCTGAGATCGAGCCGCTGCACTCCAGCCTGCGTTACAGAGCAAGACTCTGTCTCAAAAAAAAAAAAAAAAAAAAAAAAAAAAAAAAAAAACAGAGAATCCAGAGATCAGACATTCCTTTTAGTAAGGACTCCAATATGGTTTCTCACCTACTCACTACAACAAAATTGCTCTTCTCAAAGCACAAACGATAGTCATATTGTT
The DNA here is from genome assembly GCF_000001405.40 of Homo sapiens. Classification (NCBI taxonomy): domain Eukaryota; kingdom Metazoa; phylum Chordata; class Mammalia; order Primates; family Hominidae; genus Homo; species Homo sapiens. Next base: position 16,682,771 of record NC_000017.11, on the reverse strand, counting down.
AAATTATGAATTAAAGCATAATTCCTCAGCCTTTGTCTTAATTTATGTATCAGCAGCATTTGACACAGGTGATCTGTCCTTTTTGCAAAACTTTCTTTGATAGAATTCCAGAACACTTAACCCACTTTCCCCTGACATTTTTTATAATTACCCCTAGTCCTTTTTTGCTGTTTTTTTCTCACCTTTACTATTTTTTAAATGTTAGAGAAGCACTAGGCTCAGGACCTGGACTTATCTTTCTTTTATTTACTTTCTTACTAATTTTTGTGTCATTAATTTCCTGATATTTCATATTATACCTCAACACTAGACTACACCCAGCACCGTCTGACTTCTTCACTTGGGTGTCAGTCAGGAATCTCAAAATGAAGGTCCACATGGAGCCTCCAATACTCCCCAGACTTGCTCTTCCCCTATCTGTTTAATGGCAACTCCCATTTTATAGTTTCTCAGCTCAATATTCTTGATATCCCCTTTTAGTTCTCTCTGTATCTGTCTGGTTCTCATTCTCTCTCTCTCTGTCTCTCCATCTCACACACACACACACACACACACACACACACACACACCCATTTTCAGATCTGTCGTGTATGGAAAACCTGCCAGCTTTGCCTTTAAAGTGCAGTAATTCCAAATGGTGTTTTCAAATTCACCTTCCCACCCTCACCACTTGGTAACTACACTACTTCCCTCACACGGTCAGGGCTCTACTGCAGACATTTCTTGGGGGAAATAATGAGAACTATTATAAATTCTTATTTCAGGCACCCTCAAAATTATAGGCTAGCCATATTCTATATGAATTTAAGCTTTTATCATTGCCCTTTTTTTCATTCCAGTCTCTACACAGCAACCACAGTATGCAATTTTTTAGAATTCCAAGCCGTATCATAACACACTTTTTTTTTTTTTGAGACGGAGTTTGGTTCTTGTTACCCAGGCTGGAGTGTAGTGGCGCAATCTGGGATCACCGCAACCTCCACATCCCAGGTTCAAGCAATTCTCCTGCCTCAGCCTCCCGAGTGGCTGGATTATAGGCGTGCGCCACCACACCCGGCTAATTTTTTGTATTTTTAGTAGAGACGGGGTTTCTCCATGTTGGCCAGACTGGTCTCGAACTCCCAACTTCAGGTGATCCACCTGCTTCAGCCTCCCAAAAGTGCTGGGATTACAGGCGTGAGCCACCATGCCCGGCCAACGCTCCTGTTTTAAAGTACCTGCGCTATTACTTCTTTTCTCCCTCATTAGAATTTAAGCTTAACAAACCTGGGTAACTTTACATACTTTTCCACTGATCTGTCTCCATGAGCTGGAGATCACTTAGTGTAAGGTAAATGATCAATAAATGTTTTCAAATAACAGAATCAATTATTAATAGTTTTCTTTCTTTGAGTATACATTTAGACTTTCAAAAATCAAGAAAATAGATTGGTCAAGAGATTTCCATTTGTTTTGATTTTGTTATCCATTGATTAGATTAGCTGTGTTAGTATAGATTTCAGTGTGGGAAGCTGTAAGCATTTCCTAAATTTTAAAATGAAAGGCATGGGATTTAAATATCCATTCCTTTTATTTAAGGAATAAAAAAAGACAAGCCTAGCTTTTAAAATATATTTTATATATGTAAACTATCTAAATTTATTTTTCTCTTTATCCCTGAATACTTTTTCAAGTTATTCATCTCATTTTTAAAAATCTACCTCGATAACATTTTAAAATATATATGCAACTTCATTAAGAATATCTTTGTTCCACTGAATGGCTTGTCAAATAATACATTAGCAGTACAATTTCCTCATGATTCTTAGACTGGTTTGATTAAATTTATAGATTTCCTACTCTCAACTCATAAATTCATTCAAGTATAATACATCCTACTTGATCTTTGTGGGGTTTTCATACCATATAGTTATTATTAAAATTGATTTTTGATATTTGAATCAACTTCATAATTGTATTGTTGGTTAGATTGGTCGGTAGAATCCTTTTTTGTTTTGGTTCTGTTGTTTGTTCATTACAGAGTGGCTTTGCTACTGTAGAGCTTGAAACATTTTTTTTTTGTTTTATTTCCTTCCTTTTTTCTTCCTTCTTTCTCTCTCTCTCTGTCTCTCCCTCCCCCACTCCCTCCCTCCCTTTCTTCCTTCCTTCCCTCATTCCTTCCTTCCTTTTTCTTTATTTCTCTCTCTCTCTTTCTCTCTTTCTTTCTCTCTCTCTCTTTCTTTCTTTCTTCAGGTTTTGCTCTGTTGCCCAGGCTGGAGTGCAGTGGTGTTAACAAGACTCACTTAAATTTTTTTTAACAGAAATTTATCTATCTTACATCAACCAAATTTCAGTGTAACCAATATTTCTTTTAAGTGAAAAATTAAATCTTTACCATCTGTTAGCCTCAACACTTTACCTTCTGCAGCCTCAATTTTTCTGTCTCCAGCAATCCTCCCATCTCAGCCTCTTAAGTAACTGGGACTACAGGTAGTGCCACCATGCCTGGCCAATTTTTGTAATTTTTTGGAGAGATGGGGTTCACCATGTTGCCCAGGCTGGTCTCGAATGCCTGGACTTAAGTGATCCTCCCACCTCGGCCTCCCAAAGTGCTGGGATTATAGGCATGAGCCACCATGCCCAGCCAAAAGGTTGGAACATTTTCTAAATTGGAAAACAAAGCGCATGGCATTTAAATACTTATTCCTTAAAATTTGGAAGACATGTTAACACCATATAAACCCAGAGCCTGTATTTTTAGATTAGTAATATGTAGATATTTTCAATTTCTTCTAAAGTTTAAAAAAAATAAATATTTTGTATTCAGAGAATTCTTTATAACAGAAGGTAAACATTTTTCACTTAAAAGAAATGTGATTACTTTGAAAAGAAATTTGGTTAATGTAAGTTAGATTAATTTTTGTTTAAAAAATAATTTAAGAAAAATAATGCTCAAAGAGCAGTGGTCATGGCATTTATTCCAGAGAGAGGAAGTTTAGCCTGATCTGCCTGTAACAACAAAAGTACATGGATCAAGATAATTCTATAGGGACATAGATTAAAAGATAACATACTTTTTTATTTTAAAAACCATGATAACTTTTTTTACATGTATTAAATGTGAGAGAACAAACAGCATAAAAAATGAACTTTTGGGGGGATATAAACAAGTACTGAGAACAGTGTGAAGAATAAAATTCTCATCCTGGCTTGGTGTGGGCAGAACCTCACAGCCCGAGAACAAGTCCAGTGTGTGGTGGTGTTAAGGCCCCTCTGTGTAAAAGCTGTCCTCATTTACCGAGAATTGAGGTCTCAGGAAAAAAAAAAAATTACTAACCTCAACACGAAATGATTGGTTCATCATTTGATATACCCTGTGCCTTTATAACATATACAATTGTGTTGTCATTCTATAAGGTTTATCATTTGTTACATTTAAAACCAGAATAATTTCAAATTTGAAGTGAAATAAGTCCCTTAGAGAAACAAATTTCAAAATACACCCCCTACCTATCCATATCTATATCATCTATGTCTGTGTTAGGCCATTTTTATATTGCAAAAAGCAAAAACATCCTTCTAGGCCTTCTAAATTTTATAGGATAACACAAACATTGATGCAATGGTGATAGACAAAGATGGAGAAAATCACTTGAGGCCAGGAGTTCAAGACCAGCTTGGGCAACAAAGTGAGACCCCCCCCCGCCATCTCTACAAAAACAACAACAAAAAAAGACAATGCAGGGCGCAGTGGCTCACGCCTGTAATCCCAGCATTTTGGAAGGCCGAGGCGGGCGGATCACCTGACGTTGGGAGTTTGAGACCAGCCTGACCAACATGGAGAAACCCGCCCTCTACTAAAAATACAAAATTAGCCGGGCGTGGTGGCACACGCCTGTAATCCTAGCTACTTGGGAGGCTGAGGCAGGAGAATTGCTTGAACCCGGAAGGCAGAGGTTGACATGAGCCAAGATTGCGCCATTGCACTCCAGCCTGGGCGACAAGAGCAAAACTCCGACCAAAAAAAAAAAAAAAAAAAAACAAATTAGCCAGGCTTGGTGGCACATGCCTATAGTCCCAGCTACTTGGGAGGCTGAGATGGCACGATTGCCACAGCCCAGGAGGTCAAGGCTGCAGTGAGCTGTGATCACACCACTGCACTCCAACCTGGGCCACAGAGCAAAACTCTGTCAAAAAAAAAAAAAAAGAAAAGAAAAAGAAAAAAAGAAGAAAGAACAGAGATTCAAAATTCAGTTCTGTTTCCCCCTTATCTGAGGTCTGCATGCCAGGGTATCCATTTGGTGGGGCTTCGGGTTTCTGAAAAACAACTCAGGGACTTGTGTTAAAATGTTACTATTAGTTTCTATAGGGAACCAAACATCTCACAACTCTAACTGCCTTGGCTATTGTTTTAAGCTACTATTATGATCTTGTTTATCAAGTTGCTCATTACTTTTCAGGGCCAGCTGGGTGCCTGGAATTTCCCTTGAAGGAACTCAAGATTTTCCTTTATTTCCAGTCTTGTTGGAGAGTGGGAGGAAGGAGGCCCCTAAGTCGGATGGCTGCTTTATCTCAGTGGTAGCTTTTCTGGTCAGTTTTCAGATCAGGGGATGTAGAACATTCACAAAACAATCCACACTGCTTTGGGGATAAATTATGAATGGTTTGTACATTAAAACTCCAACGATCCCAAAGCACCTACCCTATTTTAAAGCATAGTAGCCATTATGATACAAGCCAGTTTTACAATGTCAAATTCATTCTGAGTAGAGTGTGGGAAAGGACGAATTAGAAAAACAGAATAGGTTGAAACCAAACCAATCATCCCTTGTTTTAAGTGGAATCAAGTTATCCAATGACTCTGTGGCCCAAAATCAGTCAAATTAATTAATTTATCAAATCCTGATAAATTAGGTGTCATGACACTGATGTTTGCATGTATATACAATTTACCTCCTGCTTTCATTTTTTTTTTTTTCTTTTTTTGAGATAGAGTTTCACTCTGATACCCAGGCTGGAGTGCAGTGGCATGATCTCCGCTCATTGCAACATCTGCCTCCCGGGTTCAAGTGATTAGCCTCCTGAGTAGCTGGGATTACAGGCACCTGCCATTTTGTATTTTTAGTAGAGACGCGGTTTCACCATGTGGCCAGGCTGGTCTCAAACTCCTGATCTCAGGCGATCCACTCGCCTCAGCCTCCCAGAGTTGCTGAGATTACAGGCCTGAGCCTAATCCCATTCATGGGGTCTCTGCTTCATGAAGTAATCACCTCCCAAGGCCCCACCTCCAAAGACCATCACATAGGGAATTTGATTTTAACACACGAATTTGAGGGGGACAATAAGATTTGGTCTACAGCATCCGGTCACCCTGAGCCATCTGCACTCACAGGAAATCTATAACCTTCTATAAGTATTTGCTGGTCCCCTCTGGGTTTAGGGAAATCTTTAATTGCAGCTCTTGATTCAGCTGGGCCCAAGCTTAAATTCTACATTTGCCCGCATAACTTGTTCATGGAACAGACGGAACTTTAGAGGCAACTGACCATTTGGAGTTTTAGGAGAATTGGTGAGGGAGGGCTTGGGATCTGGACTAGAAGAAGTGGAGGGAAGAGAGGACGGACGAAGGTGCAGAAGGAGAGAAGGCAGAATGCAAAAGAGGAAGAGGACATGTGGATATAGGGGTCAACTGGAGGGCAAGGAAGGTAATTTTCTTTGCATTGTAACCTCGGACCACATGTGACGTCAGAATCACCTGAGGGAGACATTTTTCAATGTATATTCCTGGGTTCTGGAAATTTTGATTTCATAAATCTGGAGTTGTGCCCATTTATCTATTTATTATTATAATTTTGGATAATTCTGATGCAATTAGACAACACAGCAGAGTTTGAAAACCAGATGTACAAACCAGATGTATGTTTGGTTTGGGATGTACATCTGGAAGACATTCGATTATATAAAATAATCACAGAACAGTGAGGGGGAATTGTTTATTTTAAAAATGCTTGAATATAATTCAACTCTTCCTGTATATGTGGTTTGACCACAGAGTTTGTTTCTGCAGTACTAAGATTGGAAATGTGCAGAGTGTTTTTAAAAAAACAAGTAGAAGAAAGAAGTTGAAAAGAAAATTGACAATTGTCTGGTAAGAAGAGAAAGGAAAGGAAGCAGCATATTTTTGTACATTATTTGATGGTGTCTAAATTATAAGTCAAAATGCTATTTCTAAAAAAGCCAATTTAATACAAGTTTTGTTTTTTGTGTTTTTTTTTTTTTTTGGAGACGGAGTCCCGCTCTGTCACCCAGGCTGGAGTGCCGTGGCCCCATCTCTGCCCACTGCAAGCTCTGCCTCCCAGGTTCACACCATTCTCCTGCCTCAGCCTCCCGAGTAGCTGGGACTACAGGCGCCTGCCACCACGCCCAGCTAATTTTTGTATTTTAGTAGAGACAGGGTTTCACCATGTTGGCCAGGCTGCTCTTGAACTCCTGACCTCAAGCAATCCACCTGCCTTGGCCTCCCAAAGTGGTGGGAATACAGACATGAGCCACCGCACCCAGCCTGAGAACTATTATACACTCTTATTTCAGGGACTCTCAAAATTATAGGCTAGCCATATTCTATATGAATTTAAGCTTTATCATTGCCCTTTTTTTCAATCCAGTCTCCACAAAGCAATCACAGTATGCAATTTTTAGAATTCCAAGCCTTATCATAATACTCATGTTTTAAAGTCCCTGCGTGGGCCGGGCGCAGTGGCTCATGCCTGTAATCCCAGCACTTTGGAAGTCCGAGGCGCGGGGATCACGAGGTGAGGAGATCAAGACCATCTTGGCTATCACGGTGAAACCCCGTCTCTACTGAAAATTAAAAAAAAAAAAATTAGCTGGGCTTGGTGGCGGGCGCCTGTAGTCCCAGCTACTTGGGAGGCTGAGGCAGGAGAATGGCGTGAACCCGGGAGGAGGAGCTTGCAGTGAGCCGAGATGGGGCCACAGCACTCCAGCCTGGGCGACAGAGCGAGATTCCGTCTCAAAAAATAATAATAATTTAAGCTTAACGAAGCTGGGCAACTTTATGTATTTTTCCACTGATCTATCTCCATGAGCTGGAAATCACTTAGTGGAAGGTAAATGATCAGTAAATATTTTCGAATAAGAGAATCAATTATTAATAGTTTTCTTTCTTTGAGTATACATTTAGACTTTTAAAAATCAAGAAAATAGATTGGTCAAGAGAATTCCTTTTTTTTTTATTTTGTTTTCCGTATGTTATATTAGTTGTGTTAGTATAAATTTCAGTGTGGGAAGCTGTAAGCATTTCCCAAATTTTAAAATGAAAGGCATGGGATTTAAATATCTGCTCCTTTTATTTCAGGAATAAAAAAAAAGACAAGCTTATCTTTTAAAATATATTTATATATGTAAACAACAATCTAAATTTATTTTTTCTCTCTTTATCCCTGAATACTTTTTCAAGTTATTAATGTCCTCAGTTTTAAAAATCCACTTTTTTTTTTTTTTTTCAAGATGGAGTCTTGCTCTGTCGCCCAGGCTGGAGTGGAGTGGCACCATCTCGGCTTACTGCAACCTCCACCTGCCAGGTTCAGGCGCTTCTCTTGCCTCAGCCTCCCCAGTAGCTGGTATTACAGGCACGTGCCACCACACCCGGCTGATTTTTGTATTTTTAGCAGAGATGGCGTTTCATCATGTTGGCCAGGCTGGTCTCGAGCTTCTGGCCTCAGGTGATCCATTCACCTCAGCCTCCCAAAGTGCTGGGATTACAGGCATGAGCCACCACGCCCGGCCTAAAAAATCCATTTCAATGGTAACATTTTAAAATATATATGCAACTTCCTTAAGAATGTCTTTGTGTTCCACTGAATAACTTGCCAAGTAATACATTGGCAGTACAATTTCCTCATAAATCTTCAATTTGTTTGATTAGATTTATAGATTTCCTATTCTCAACTCATAATTTCATTCAAGTATAACACATCCTACTTGACCTTTGTGGGGTTTTCATACCATATATTTATTATTGAAATTGGTTTTGATATTCAAATCAGAAGTTTATCATATTGTTGGTTAGATTGTTTTGGTTCTGTGGTTTATTCATTACAGAGTGGCTTTGCTACTGTAAAGCTTGAAACATTTTCTTTCTTTGGTTTCTTTCTTTCCCTCCTTCCCTCCCTCCCTTCCTTCCCTCACTTTTTCTTTCTCTTTCCCTCCCTCCCTCCCTTCGTTCCTCTTTCTTTCGACAGGTTTTGCTCTATCACCCAGGCTGGAGTGCAGTGGTGCTAACAAGGCTCACTTAAAATTTTTTTTAACAGAGATTTATCTATCTTACATTAAGCAACTTTCTTTTCAATGTAACCAATGTTTCTTTTAAGTGAAAAATTAAATATTTATCATCTGTTAGCCTCGACACTTTACCTTCTGCAGCCTCAACTTTTCCGGCTCCAGCAAACCTCCCCTCTCAGCCTCTCAAGTAGCTGGGAATACAGGTGGTGCCACCATGCCTGGACAATTTTTGTAATTTTTTGTAGAGATGAGATTTCACCATGTTGCCTAGGCTGGTCTGGAACACCTGGGCTCAGGTGATCCTCCCACCTCAGCCTCCCAAAGTGCTGGGAATACAGGCATGAGCCACCATGCCCAGCCAAAAGGTTGAAACACTTTCTAAATTTGGAAACAAAGTGCATAGCATTTAAATACCTATTCCTTAAAATTTGGAAGACATGTTAACAGCATGGGCCTGTATTTTTAGATTAGTACATGTAGATATTTTCAATTTCTTCTAACGTTAAAAAAAATAAATATTTTGTATTCAGAGAATTCTTGATAACAGAAGGTAAATATTTAATTTTTCACTTAAAAGAAATGTAGTTACTTTGAAAAGGAATTTGGTTACTGTAAGTTAGATACATTTCTGTTTAAAAAATAATTTAAAAAAAATAATGCTCAAAATGTGGTGGTCATGGCATTTATTCCAGACAGAGGAATTTTATCTTGTTCTGCCTGTAATAACAAAAGTATATGGATCAAGATTATTCTATAGGGACATAGATTAAACGATAGTATAAAATTTTATTTTAAAAACGAAGATAGGCCGGGCGTGGTGGCTCACGCCTGTAATCCTAGTACTTTGGGAGGCTGAGGCAGATGGATCACCTGAGGTCAGGAGTTCGAGACCAGCCTGACCAACATGGAGAAACCCAGTCTCTACTAAAAATACAAAATTAGCCGGGCGTGGTGGCACATGCCTGTAATCCCAGCTACTCGGGATGCTGAGGCAGGAGAATCGCTTGAACCCAGGGGGCAGAGGTTGCGGTGAGCCACTGTGGCGCCACTGTACTCCAGCCTGGGCAACAAAAGTGAAACTCCGTCTCAAAAAAAAAAAAAAAATGAAGATAACTTTTTGATACATGTATTAAATGTAAGCGAATAGCAAACAGCATAAAAAATGAACTTTTGGGGGGATATTATGGGATACAAACAAGTACCGAGAACAGTATGAGGAATAAAATTCTCATCCTGGCTTGGTGTGGGCAGAACCTCACAGTCTGAGAACAGCCCTAGTATGTGGTGGTGTTAGGGCCCCTCTGTGTAAAAACTGTTCTCATTTACTGAGAATTGAAGTCTCAGTAAAAAAAGAAAATGCTACCAACCTCAACACAAAATGATTGGTACATCATTAGATATAACCTGTGACTTTATAACATGTACAATTGTGTTATCATTCTATAAGGTTTATCATTTGTTAAATTTAAAACTAGAATAATTTCAAACTTGCAGTGAAATAAGTCCCTTCGAGAACTAAATTTCAAAATGTGACCCCCTATCTATCTATATCTCTATCATCTGTATCTGTGTTAGGCCATTTTTTGTATTGCAAAAGCAAAAGCATCCTTCTAGGCCTTCTAAATTTTAAAGGATCACACAAATATTGACACAATGGTGATAGACAAAGATAGACGTTAATATTATTTGGAAAACAGTTCCATTTATAGTATTATGAGCAAATTCTTAGAATTAGACTAGAAAAATATGAAGTCATCTAGGGACTGATTGTACACACAGTGCTTTTCACTGAGGAAACCATCTCATAATTTCTGTTGTATATTTTTACTACAATGATAAATTATTGGTTTTGAGTTTCGATGTGTTCATTAAATATAGGTTAATGTTACTGTGTTTTGCCAGGTTATATAAATTGTTTCCATTTTACATTTGTTTTGTTTCTCACTTTTATTGTTCTAATAGGAATTTATTTTAGGCAAACACAAACATTTCATTATAGAAATTTTGACATGTCCCAGGTTTTCTTGTTTTTGTTTTTGTTTTTTTGAGATGGAGTTTTGCTTTTGTCCCCCAGGCTAGAGTGCAATGGCGTGATCTTGGCTCACTGCAACCTCCACCTCCCAGGTTCAAGCCATTCTCCTGCCTCAGCCTCCTGAATAGCTGGGATTACAGGAGTGAGCCACTGTGCCCGGCCGACATGTCCCAGGTTTATCTGATCTACCAAACATACACATAAAATCAGAGGAAAGAAAATGTGCAATTGATGTCACACATCAGGGATACCAGTAAGGGTCACAGTGACATATTTTACTTCCAATTTGTGAGCAAAGGTGCCAGTAAATTCTGATAGGAGGCAGCAATACTTTCTCTAAATTCCTATTAAAAATCCTTAAGTTCTTTTAAAAGCTGGGAAGTGGCATGGTTGGGGGGATGTGTATTACAAAACGGTAACTCATGAAAATTAGCTATAAATCTAGGCTATGACAGGAGCAGCAAGAATAGATGTAGCTTTACTTAAACTGTACTTGAAAATTATTTCATCATCATTTATAGATCCTTTAACATAATATTTAATTAGCATATATCCTAATAAAGGGCAGAAGTACAGTCAAAATAATTTTTATATAAGATAACATATGTTAATACATATGGTTTTTTCTTGTTTGTTTCAGCCTGTCTCAGAATTGTGAAATAGGTAAGTGAATGACAGAAATAGTCTCATTGTTAAAAATGAGAATGATTATCCCCTTAAAAGGTAGAATATTACCTTAATTTTAGTTTCAGAGGAAAAGATAATATATCCATATCCACCTGAATTTTACTCTGAAGAGTAGGGACCAATATGTCTCCACATATATTTTATTAATCATAGGTGTTTTGCCAGACTGATGGGATGCATCTGGTAAATTCACTGTGAGTGTTTGTGTGTGTGTGTGTCACTGATTTACCACATGTAATGATTAAATGGTACATTTAATTACATTATTTATTTATGGTATTTAAAGAGAAAGTACTACTAAGGTAATTATTGACTTTCCTAATATCAGACCACTTATGCTCAGAGCAGGACACAGAACTTACAGAATAACGCCTATTTTGTAACCCAGAATTTTCTTCTCAAATTTTGAATAAAAATTTGAATAATTTAAATGATATTTTAAATCCTATCATTTTAATGTAACCCTTTAATAATCAAAAAGGTAATGATAGGCCAGGCATGGTTGCTCACACCTATTAACCCAGCACTTTGGGAGGCCAAGATGGGCAGATCACCTGAGGTCATGAGTTTGAGACCAACCTGGCCAACATGGCAAAACCCTGTCTCTATTGAAAGTACAAAAATTAGGTGTGGTGGTGGGTGTCTGTAATCCCAGCTACTTGGGAGGCTGAGGCAGGAGAATCGCTTGAACTCAGCAAGTGGAGGTTGCAATGAGCTGAGATCGTGCCAATGCACTCCAACCAGGTGACAGGGTGAGATGGTGTCTCAAAAAAAAAAAAGTGATAATATAAATATTTTGTATTATTTAAAATACTTCTTTTAAAATTTCAGTAACTTTTTCCAGCATGGTTTCATCTCTAAATTCATGTTCTTAACCACCTTATTATCCTGACTTTATGCTTTATAAAACATGATATGGTATGATGTATGCATTACTTCAGTTGCCTAATTTAAAATTATAGAGGGCGGGGGATGGTGGCTCACATTTTTAATCCCGGCCCTTTTGGAGGCCAAGGTAGGCAGATCTCTTGAGCTCAGGAATTGGAGATCAGCCTGGACACCATGGCGAAACCCTGTCTCCATAAAACAATATAAAAATTAGCCAGGCTTGGTGGCACCCACCTGTAGTCCCAGCTACTTGGGAGGCTGAGGTGGGAGTATCACTGGAACCTGAAAGGTTGAGGCTGCAGTGAGCCCTGTTAGGACCAATGCACTCCAGCCTGGGTGCCAGAGTGGGACCCTGTCTCAAAAAAATAAAATAATATGAAGTAGGTCTTCCTAGTGTTATCATTTTAAAGATAATAAAATCAACATATAGGGATTATACTAAAAACACAAGATTATGTAATCCCGGCTACTCAGGAGGCTGAGGCAGGAGAATGACTTGAACCCGGGAGGCAGAAGTTGCAGTGAGCCAAGATCACGCCATTGCACTCCAGCCTGGGTGACAGAGCCAGACTCTGTCAAAAAAAAAAAAAAAAGAAAAAAGAAAAACACAAGATTATTTATTGAACCACATCAAAGAGATCAAGGAAAACTGCTAAGTTACTGATTTTGTCACTAGTTTTCTTTTCTCTTTACTTTTTATTTTTGAGACAGAATCTCACTCTGTCATCCAGGCTGGAGTGCAGTGGCGTGATCTCAGCTCACTGCAACCTCTGCCTCCCAGGTTCAAGGGATTCTCCTGCCTCAGCCTCCAGAGTAGCTGGGATTACAGGTGGACACCATCATGCCCGGCTAATTTTTGTATTTTTAGTAGAAACGGAATTTCACCATGTTGGTCAGGTGGGTCTCGAACTCCTGATCTCATTATCCACCCCCCTCAGCCTCCCAAAGGGCTGGGATTATAGCCACCGGGCCTGGCCTAACAATAGTTTTCTATAATTTTTGGCATAATATCTACCTTGACTTATGTTAGGGTAAAAAATGAGTGATAACTCAAAAGTGTAGAGAGATGAAGTAGCAGGCTCCATGCTTTGACATTAAGAAGAATGGGGTTACATGTGAGGCTTCTGTGAATTGTCTGATCTATCTAGATACCAGTGGTAATAACCTAGAGGTATGGTGTCCAATAGCCACACATGGCTACTACATTTAAATTTAAATTAATTACAATAATATAAAAATTTGGTTAGTCACACTATCTACCTTTCAACTTCTCAAAAGCCACATGTGGGTAGTGGTTAGCATATTTCGTACATAGACAGAGAACATTTCCAGCATCAGAAAAAGTGTTGGAGAATGCTTGTCTATCCACTTAAGCACACACAGAAATATTAAATTGGGTTAAAATGCTATCAAAAGCTAATGCTCAGACTTGCCGTTAGACAAGTACACATTATCAATGCCCTGCTGATATGAGAACTGAGAATAAAATGTGTGTTCCGGGTGGACTGTAATTAAACAGTTGAATGCCTGACTACAAACATTTAAATCTAAGTTCATGTATTTGGTGATTTGGACCTGGAATGTATCCTTAGTTTGGTTGAAGATGGAAAACATTCTTCTCTTTCTGACCTACTTATTAAACATGTTTGAATGATAGCATTACATATATTATGCAAAATCTTTCTCAAATGTCGCAAGATATATATAGTATAGGAAGCAACTACTATATGACTTTATTAGCATTTTCACTGCTTAATAAATGCATTTTGTATTAAAAAATTAATAAGTACCCAAAAGATAATTATGATATTCCTCCAAAATATTATAAATAATAAAGTTAAACAACTATGGAAACGGAAAGAAAGGGTCAGCAGTGTGTGTTATGGCATGAACATTTGTTTCCCCTAGAATTTATGTGCTGAAGATCTAACTCTGAGTGTGATGGGATTTGGAAATAGGGCCTTTGAAGGTAATTAGGTTTACATGAGGTCATGAGAGTGGGGTCCTTATGATGGAATTAATGCCCTTATAAGAAGAGGCCAGAAAGCCTGTTCAAGAACCAAATCAGCCATTGTCTTGGTCATAGACTTCCCAGCCTCCAAGGCTGTGAAAAATAAATGTCTCTTGTTGAAAGCACCCAGTTTATAGTATTTTGTTATAACAGCCTGAGTAGACTAATACAGCATGTAAATACTATATAATGACAACAGAATAAACAATGTGGCTATAAAACAGATAACAAAAGAATCTGGGACCATTATATCCTAAAGTCTGTTACAACTAAATAAAAAAATTAAAAAATTAAAAATGCACTTTCATTATGTCAAAAGCAGGTAGAAAAAAATAACAATTATTTAAGAGTGTTTGTGTCCAAGCACATAGTATAAAATCTCTACACAATATATCATTGAATCTTCATAACGAAGTAGTTTTATGCTCACCTGTCATAAATGAATAAATTATAAACAATTGAAGCTTAGGGAAAACTATCAGCATTCTAGTTAATAATTAGAGGGCCTAGAATCAGGAAAATAAACTTAAATATGGTATAAGTGACTAAAGTATATTTAATTAAAAAATACATTAAAATACTGAAGACAGAATGTTGCTCCGTAAGCTTGTAACGCAGCAATAATCAATTTATATAAATTATTCCCAATATTAATGAACGTGGAGAAATCAGTGAATAACACATTGAAAAATGAATTGCCTAGGAGATGAAGTAAAACTTCGGTCTTTTGGGAATATTTAATAAATTCCTACTTTAAACTAATGATGAAAAAATGAAGACAATTCCAAACATGAGAAACGAAAAGAGACATACAAAGAGATATACGAGACATTTTTTTATGTCGCAAAATGGTGCATGTTAACTCTAAGTTGGAAAACACGGATCACTAAGTGATTTTGCGAAACAAACAACAAAATCATTAACACAGAAGTGATACCAAAAATGCAAAGGAGTCTTCCCACCTCTGCACAAAACAACAAAAGCACAAAAGTTGTTAGGCTGAGACATTTCAAAGTAAATTATTTTATTACCTCAAGAAAAAGATCATATAAAAGCTATCAGTTCCAGGAAAGTTTCCAAAATGTTTAATCAAGTCAGCATAAAAATGATACCAAAATCTAGGAGAAAACGCGTAATAAAACAAAATGCTGCAAAACACAGTTCATCCTCAGTTATATCAGTAAAATATCCTAAATAACATTCTTGCCAATAGAATGCAAAAACAGAGACAGAGTAAGAAAGGACACCGAGCAGGAGCCCACGAGGTTCACAGTGAGAAAACAAGTGGCTGAGCAGCCGGAGAGAAAGCAGCCCCGGGATTCTGCCACGTGACGTGCGGTGGACCCAGCCGCAGGGACCCGGCACGCTGCCCGCCCTTCAGCCTTTCAGCCCCTCAGCCCCTCACCCGCGTCAGCCCCTGAGCCACCTCAGCCCCTCAGTCCCTTCAGCCGCGTCAGCCGCCTTATCCGCTCGGCCCCTCAAGCCCCTCACCAGCCTCAGCCCCTCAGCCGCCTCAGCCCCTCAGCTCCTCAGCCGCCTCAGCCTCCTCAGCCTCCTCAGCCCCTCAGCCGCCTCAGCCGCCTCAACCCCTCAGCCCCTCAGCCGCCTCAGCCGCCTCAGCCGCCTCAGCCCCTCAGCCTCTCAGCCGCCCCCGCCGCCGTTAGCTCACCCGCCCGGCTGCCTTAGGGATTGGCGCTGCCCAGCGGGGTCCAGCGCAGCCTCCTGCCGGTTTTCCCACCGGTGGCTCCCGCCACTGGCTCCTGGCCGCCGGCTGCTACCCGCGCTCCGTGGGCAGGGCCAGTCCGGGGGAGCGGACCCCGAGAGGCGCGGCGGGATGGCAGGCGGTGTCCAAAAGCCTCTGAAAGTCGCAGCCGGGCGCGAGTCGCTGACCGACCGGGAGGCCCCGATCTGTCCCAGCCAAGGCCTCCCGGCGCCATCACCCACCAGGAGTCCCGGGCGGGGGCATCGCTCCCTCCACGCTGTCGCGGGCTTCTGCCAGGCGGTGATCTGTGCCCAACGCCACCAAAGGGCAGCTTGTGCCCAAGAGTGGGGGAAATGCATCCTTCCCGGGGATCTGAAAGCTCCAGGTCCTCCTGCCAGGAGCCCACGGCCTCAGATGGCGCCCAGGACGCGCCCGCGCTGGGGAAGCGCCCCCTGCACCTGAGCCCGAAATTGTCCCCAACAAACCCCACACCCGCAGGGCTGACGTTTGGACTCCGGGGTGCGGTGTCGATGAAATGGGCACCGCGTGCTTTCCATGCAAAAGACACGGAGTCTGGAGTTTATGGAATTATTGAAGGAAAGCCGCGCCAGTGCCAAGAGATCATGGCCCAGAGCTGGCAGAACTGATCAGACCAATGCTGAGCAAAAGGCCTGAAGAAGACCATCTGGAGGAGCATCCCGAGGGCTTTCCCCAAAGCACCAGATCGCCTTCCTTTCCGAGGCCACAAAGGCGAGAACTTCCAGAAATAGCATGAAACACGGTGACTTGGTGACATCCAAGCCTGCTGCCACCGTGGTTTCCGGGAAGGCAGAATCAAGGCATGAAGTAATCCACGCCAACCACGCTCCTCTGAGGGCTGAGCAAGACATCGATAGTGGGTGAAGGCAAGTGTTTGTCCCAGGAGAGGCCCAGGATGGTTGGTCCCTTGAAGTCACCCGCCAGTCTGAAGGCCCAGGGGACTTGAGCAATACCAAGAACTGGCCACGGTCAGTAGGGTAAATATTGGCATCTTACCTGCAGAAGGGAGGGATGCAGCGAGCGAGGGCAGAGGCTGCAGTGAGCTGAGATCGCACCACTGCCCTCCAGCCTGGGCACAAGAGCGCGACTCCGTCTCAAAAAAAAAGAAAACGAAAGAAAAAGAATAGAGGAAGAAAGCAAATTTATTGTCTTCATTGGTTTGAAATAACAAAAGCTGATTGCCAAATACAGTATGTGAAATAACTCCTGCTTAAATTGTTTAAGAAAGAAATGATACAGGGCAAACACAATAAGTCTTGTGTGACATTTTTTGAGTACCTGAAACTTCTTCTATTTAAAAAAGGAAATTTGAAAAAGGAAAAGGAGTTTTGATTCAGCTTGGCCAGCATTTAAAACACGAGCATGGCAGACACGGTTCTGCAGCCTCTTCCCAGTGAGGGTCTTCAGTGGCATTTACTGCAGTTGTCAGCTGATGCTGTGTCTCTCCTGGGCCTGGGTAACTTCAGGGACCTCCACTGACAGCTTCTCCTCTCCTCAGGCTTCCAGAAAAGTAACAGCCAACCAGGGAAATAGAAATTCTCATTTTAAACAATCTTGACAAATTGTAGAAATTGCATTGGTACTACTCACATCTCTAGGTTTTTGAGCATTTTTTTTTCCATGGAGATTAGATTATAAACATTGCATCTATGCTTCTACATGTGTTCATGACCCAATTGGCCTCTTTGATACTCGAGTAGTAACACTATTCTGAGGAAGTGAAACTGTTAAAATATATTATAAATACATATATTCTTATCTATAATTTATTAACATACACGTTCAACAATCTGAAATCTTTAAATTTTGGCAAACTTCAATGCTGACCAGTATAACATTCAATGAAATAGCTTCTTTAATTTTTAATTACTTTCTATTTATGGCTCGTTTGTTAATTTTTATGTTTTCATGCTGTTTTAGTATGTGAACATATTGTATATATATATTTTTTTTTGAGACATAGTTTTACTCTTGTTGCCCAGGCTGGAGTGCAATGGCACGATCTTGGCTCACTGCAACCTCTGCCTCCCGAGTTCAAGCAATTCTTCTGCCTCAGCCTCCCAAGTAGCTAAGATTACAGGCATCCGCCACCATGACCAGCTAATTTTGTATTTTTAGTAGAGATGGGGTTTCTCCATGTTGGTCAGGCTGGTCTCAAACTCCCGACCTCAGGTGATCCACCTGCCTCGGCCTCCCAAAGTGCTGGGATTACAGGCATGAGCCAACGTGCCCAGCCTCTGCCACCTATCTTTATCCAGATGCACATAACTGTTATCCTCTGCCTGTCCACTAATGTATATTAGGATTGTTGGAGAAAATAACTTGTTTCTTTAGCATCACAGGTCCACAAATTGAAAGTGTGCCCCCAGGAGCTGCACTGAATGATTTGTACCCATCTGCACCTGATTTAGAACATTTAGAAGTTAAGATTCTAAACTTCAAGTTTGTGATGTTTAGGGGCCATTCTGGACTTTGAGCTGATGAGATGATACAATTTAGATAATAATACTTTGGATTTGAGCTGATGATGAGATGAAATCTTTGGAAGGGAGTAAATGTATTTTGCCTTTAGGGAGAATATGAACATTTGAAATTTAGAGGCAACTGTATGGTAGGTGATATGAAGATTTCTTGTAAGATTTTCTTCCACGGTAAACAATTACCATGCTGTAGGGAAGGCTGCATGCCATAAAATGGTGGGCCACCTCTAGGATTTGAGAACAACTCTCCATTGACAGGCAAAAAGAAACCAGAATCTTCAGTCCTGTGACTATAGGAACTGAATTCTGACAAAAACCAATGAGCTTGGAAAATGGCCTGAAATAAAATAATAGCCCTGCATCCAACTTGGAAAGGAAAAAGTCCAATTTTCTCTGTTTGCAGATGATACAATCTTCTGCTTGGAGAAACCTAGAGACTCCACCTCACCATCTCACGGGGACACAGACCATCACAGCGCGACAATAGCCTGCAGGAAGGTTGCACAGAACCCTGGCAGCTCATCCTGGGGACAGGTCTCTAGTCTGGGAAAAGGCTTCTCAGAGAAAGGGGCCTGTTTTGTTTTTATTTTTTCATTGTAGGAAGAACACACAGTTTAAGTGTTCAACTTGATGAACTTTTACCCACGGGTGCACTCAGTCTCAGCCCCCAGACCAAGCTGGACAAGACCAAGCCCAGCCCTTAGAGGGTTCTTTTGTCCCCTCCCATCCAATACTTCCCCCCAGAAGTAACCACTCTTCTCAGCCCTTTGCTGTAGATTAATTCTGCTTCTTTTTGCCTTCTATAGATGCATGAGGAAGGTGCTCTTTTGAGTCTGGCTTCTTCACTCAACAATGACATCTGTGAGATCCTCTTATATTGTTGCATGTGGTCATAGGTCATTCTTTTTCATTGCTGTATAGTATTTCATTGCATGAATACACTGTCATTTGTTGATGTTTTCTGTTTATGGACATTTAGGTTGTGCTAGACAGTGATAGTTTTGACTGAGTAGAAGTTACCTTGCTATGCAGCAGCAGAGAGGATAGGGAGGAACATTTGAGAAGGCAGGAACAACATGTGCAAAGGCCTTTGGCAGGAGGGAGCATGCCTGGGGCCCTGAAGGCTGGTGTGGCTTCCTGGTACCCCGCTTCTAGGCCACTGTGTTCTGAGTGCCTGCTGCCCTGGCCTGGTGTGTGGCCCTCCACACCCATTCCCACCTCCTCCTCCTGTGCCTTCCTGACCTGCAGGGGCTAGGAAGCTGAAGGGGAGTGATGTAGCCACAGAAGAAACACGTGGAACCACAGCAGCTGGAGGCGGTGAGAAATGGCATCCCCCTAGGCCCTTTGTAGGAAGCAGGGCCCTGCCAACATCTTGATTGAAGATTTCTCACCTCTAGAACTGTGAGAAAATTAATTTCTATTGTTTTAAGCCACCAAGTTTTTGGTCATTTGTCACAGATCCACAGGAAACTCATGTGTCTCATGCATTAGTAAGCAGCATGGTATTCTGGATCTACTGGAACAGTCTCGCAATGAGTTCAGACAAGAATTACTAAAGGCAATTGGTGAAATTAAACATCTTTCCAGCCTGCTGGCCAAGGTGAGGAGAGATAGCTTTTTACTGGTATTTGCCCATCCTTGTTCACATTTCTACCCTTAACCTCTAAATTCACAGAGCACAGAGAAGCATTTGCTCATCTATTTCACTCATGAAGCCAGCATTCCAGCTTGAAGACCTGTTAGATTGCAGACAGATTGGCACTGGGATACAAAAAGGAAACACCCAAATTTCTGGTGGTAGACAGTTCAAAGTGTAGTTGAGATGTAGAGAATCAAAGCAGAGAGTACAATGCAGTGATAAAGAATATCAGCCAGGCACAGTGGCTCACACCTGTAATCCCAGGACTTTGGGAGTCTGAGGTAGGCAGATCACCTGAGGTCAGGAGTTCGAGACCAGCCTGGCCAACATGGCAAAACCCCATCTCTAATAAAAATACAAAAATTATCTGGGAGTGGTGGCGGGGGCCTGTAATCCCAGCTACTTGGGAGGCTGAGGCAGGAGAATTGGTTGAACCTGGGAGGCAGAGGTTGCAGTGAGCTGAGAAGATCATGCCACTGCAATTCAGCCTGGGTGACACAATGAGACTCCATCAAGAAAGAGAGAGAGAGAGAAAGAGAGAAAGAAAGAAGGAAGGAAGGAAGGAAGGAAAGAAAAAAAAGAAAAGACAGAGAGAGAGAGAAGGAAGGAAGGAGGGAAAGAAGGAAGGAAGGAAGGAAAGAAAGAAGGAAAGAATATCATAGAGTTATGCCCAGACTCTAGTCTAGTGCAAAGCAGAACACCTAGTGTAATATGGTAGTGAGTAGTACAGGAGGACTTCCTGGAAGAAGTGACAACTGAGCTGAATTCTGAAGATTGAGTGGGAGTTTGCCAGGTCTATTGGCATGCTTTTAGCTGCTAGTAACAGACAATTAAAATCACTCCCAATTTTCCCTCCAAAACATTGCCACTATTTTGGAGTTTTCTTCCAGATATATGTGTGTGTATGTTTATCTCATAAGTTTAAAAAGTTTTAGAATAGACCGGGTGCAGTGGCTCACGCCTGTAATCCCAGCAATTTGGGAGGCCATGGAGGTTGGATCACCTGAGGTCAGGAGTTCGAGACCAGCCTGACCAACATAGTGAAACCCTGTGTCTACTAAAAATGCAAAAATTAGCCAGGCGTGGTGGTGGGTGCCTGTAATCTCAGGTACTTGGGAGGCTGAGGCAGGAGAATTGCTGGAACCTGGGAGGTGGAGGTTGCAGTAAGCCCAGATCACTCCATTGCACTCCAGCCAGGGCAACAATAGCGAGACTCCATCTCAAACAACAACAAAAAAATTTAGAATAATCTTGTACATGTTATTAACTTTCATTTTGCATTTAACTTTTTTAAAATGATTAAACTTTTCTCAGCATATTCTCATCATTAAATATTATTTAAAACATTATTTTAAGGTTAGATAGTATTTTATCATATAAATAATTCATATTTACTAGTCCCCTGTTGTTGAACATATATGTATTATTGAACATTTATGTTCTTTCCAGTCTTTCAATATTGTAAATACTTTTTTTCATCTCTCTCTTATTACTGATTTAGGAAAAATTCCTAGATATTGAATTACTGAGTCAGAGCATAAACATTTTAAAGACTTCTAACATATCCAGCCAGATTGCCCTTCAGAAATATTATACCAATTTGTTCCAGCAGTCATGAGAACACACACTTCCCTGAGCTCTTGCCAGCACTTGATATTACATTGTTATTGCATTTCAATCTGTTAATCATTTCTTTTTCTTTCTTTTTACCCTTTTTGCTTGGAAATATCTTCCCTAGCCCAAGATTCAATAAACAATAACTTTTCTCATTAAAAAAAAATAATTATCTAATCAGTCTAGAATTTTGGTTTTTGATATAAGAATCGTGATGACTGTATGATATTCTGCCCACCAACCAGAGCAGTGCTGGAGAGGTGCAGAGATGGCCTCCTGTTTCCTGTTTCCTCCAAGTTCTGGGTCTGTGATTTAGGGATCTGCTGCTGAGAGAGGTTCAAAACATCTTCCCACCTTATTTCATGGACTGTCATTGTTTCAAGAAGCAAATTATACCATCAGCTCCAGGAAGATTTTTTTCTACTGCTTCATGTGTTTTAAGATCAGTCCATTGCAACCTGATTCTGCATTCTGCCATCTGATGGGCTTCATGGTGGGTCATGTGAGGAGTTTCTATCTTTGTCTGTGTTCTAAATTTGCAGGTATTTTATTTAAAGTATGGAAGCAATTTTATTAGAAGTCACTAGCCAAGCTTTGCATTAGGTTTTAATATCCTGTAGAATAAGATTACTTTCCCTTTTTTTGCTTTAAGATTCCTCATTACTCTTTTGCATAACGTTTAATCTCCCATGTGGCCCTTTTTGAAGTTCTTCCCCAGTCCCTCATTTGTCTCTCTGGTATTTTGATTGGCATTTGCATTATACGTATTAATGAGAGGTAATTTGGTATTTTTTAAATGTCTTATTTTTTCCTGATCATAAAATTATATGTTCTTTACAGAAGATTTAGAAAATACAGAAAAGTATAAAAAAGAAAAGTATTACCTTTAATCTCACCACTTAAAGGAAAAAAACTGCAAACATTTTGCTGTATGTCCTTTCAGACTTTTTCTTAGTTTATACATGTTTGAGCATGCATAAAACTTGCATTGATATGATTATGATATTTCATCTTCCTATCCAGAAGAATAGAGTATGTCTTTCCACATTCCATTACAAAGAACCAGTTGGATTCATTTATTTATTCCACTGCTAATCTGTTTTTATTAATTCTTGTATTCTACTTTTTGGACATTTCTTTGATTTCTCACTAGTTTCTTGAGTAAAATTCTTTGTTCATTTCACTTTCTTGATTGATAATGAAAGCATTTAAAGATATTAATTTGACCTTTCTTGTAGCTTTGGCTAAATAGAGACAATAAAATCTAGAAACTTCTGAAATAAATTAAACCTAATTTAGAGAAAAAAGGAAAGTGTGCATTTTCTGTAGAGTACAAGGCACAACATATATATTTAAAATTAGGCTGTTATTAATATTATAAAATCAAGTTATACATATATTCCATATCTTATTGCATGCTACCTAGAATTATCAAATACTAACAGCAGGACAAAAAAGTCCTCACTAGTAATTTTAGGTGAGAGTTTGAGGTAAAGATGTGGACATGATATCACATAGGTTTGCTTTCATATCTGTCAAGACCCTAGGTCTGTGATTTTGTGCTTTCTTATATGTACAGAGACTGATTTGTAATTGCAGTGAACTTGTAACATACTAATCTTCCTGCCCTTTTACATTACCATAGAAAAAGCAAAACCCAGACCTAATCAAACTGATAGCTTATTGTATCTCTACCTCAGAATATCAACTAATCCACCAGCAACCATGATGATATGGTTTGACTGTGTTTCCACCCAAATCTCATCTCAAATTGTAATCCCCATGTGTCAAAGGAGGAACCTGGTGGGAGGTGACTGCATCATGGGGGCAGTTTTGCCTATGCTGTTCTTGTGATAGTGAGCAAGTTCTCACAATATCTGTTGTTTTTATAAGTGGCAGTTTCCCCTGCTCTCCCCTCTCCTCATGCCTTATGAAGAAGTTGCTGCTTCCCGTTTGCCTTCCACCATGATTGTAAGTTTCCTGAGGCCTCCCCAGCCATGCAGCATTGTAAGTTGATTAAGCCTCTTTTGTTCATAAATTACTCAGTCTCAGGCATTCTTTATAGCAGTGTGAAAATGTACTAATACAGGAAATTGGTACCAAGAGTTTGGGGCACTGCTATAAAGATACTTGATAATGTGGAAGCAACTTTGGAACTGGGTAATGGGCAGAGGTTGGAACAGTTTGGAGGGCTCAGAAAAAGACAGGAAGATGTGGGAACATCTGGAGCTTGCTAGAGATTTGTTGAATGGTTTTGACCAAAATGCTGGTAGTGATGTGGACAGTGAAGTCCAGGCTTAGGTGGTCTCAGATGGAGATGAGGAACTTATTGGGAACTAGAGCAAAGATCACTCTTGCTATGCTTTAGCAAAGAGACTAGTGGCATTTTGCTCCTGACCTAGAGATCTGGGTGAACTTGACAGAGATGATTTGGGGTATCCGGCAGAATAAATTTCTAAGCAGTAAAGTGTTCAAGAAGTGACAGCATGAAAGTTTGGAAAATTTGCAGCCTGACTATGTGGTAGAAAAGGAAAACCCTTTTCTGGAAAGAAATTCAAGCCGCTGCAGAAACTTGCATAAGTAACAAGGAGTCAAATGTTAATTGCCAAGACAATGGGGAAATGTCTCCAGGGCATGTCAGAGATCTTCACAGCAATGCCTCCCATCACCCAGAGGCTTAGCGGGGAAACATGGTTTTTGTGGGCCAGGCCCAGGGCTGCTCCTCTGTGCAGCCTTGGGATATGGTACCCTGCATCCCAGCTGCTGCAGCTCCAGTCGCGGTTAAAGAGGCCAAGGACAACTTGGGCTGTTGCTTCAGAGGGTGCAAGCCCCAAGCCTTGGCGGCTTCCATGTGGTGTTGGGCCTGCAGGTGCACAGAATAGCTGAGCTTTGGGAGCCTCTGCCTAGATTTCAGAGGATGTATGGAAGCACCTAGATGTCCAGGCAGAAGTCTGCTGCAGGGGCAGAGTCCTCACGGAGAAACTCTGCTAGGGCAGCACAGAAGTGAAATGTGGGGTTGGAGCCCCCATACAGGGTCCCTGCTGGGGGATGGCCTAGTGGAGCTGTGAGAAGAGGGCCACCATCCTCCAGACTCCCAAATGGTAGATCCATCAACAGCTGTACCATGTGCCTGGAAAAGCTGCAGGCACTCAGTGCCAGCCCATAAAAACAGCCAAAGGGGCTATACCCAGCAGTGCCACAGGGGCGGAGCTGCCCAAGGCCTTGGGAGCCCACATCAGAATGCCCTGGATGTGAGATATGGAGTCAAAGAAGATCACGTTGGAGCTTTAAGATTTAATGACTCCCCTACCAGATTCTGGACTTACATGAGGCCTGTTGGTCCCTTTGTTTTGGCCAATTTTTCCTGTTTGGAATGGGAACATTTACCCAATGCCTGTACCCGCATTGTATCTTGGAAGTCACTAACTTGCTTTTGATTTTACAGGCTCATAGATGGAAGGGACTTGCCTTGTCTCAAATAAGACTTTGAACTTGGATTTTGGGTTAATGCTGGAATGAGTTAAGACTTTGGGGGACTATTGGGAAGGCATAATTGGTTTTGAAATGTGAAAAGGGCTTGAGATTTAGGAGGGCCCAGCAGCAGAATGATATGGTTTGGCTCTGTGTCCCCACCCAAATCTCATCTTGAATTTTAATCCCCATGTGTCGAGGGAGGGACCTGGTGGGAGGTGATTGGATCATGAGGGTGGTTTGCCCCATGCTGTTCTCATGACAGTGAGTTTTCATGAGGTCTGATGATTTTATAAGTGGCAGTTTCCCCTGCTCTCCCCTCTCTCCCGCTGCCTTGTGAATAAATTACCTGCTTCCTCTTTGCCTTCCATCATGATTGTAAGTTTCCTGAGGCCTTCCCAGCCATGCAAAACTGTGAGCCAATTAAACCTCTTTTGTTTATAAATCACCCAGTCTCAGGCATTCTTTAGAGCAGTGCGAAAATGAACTAATATACATGAATTCAAATGATAATACATAAAAGACTCATGTCCAAAGGGTAACAGGAGCAGTTTTAGAACAAAACTAAAATGAAGGATCTAAAGTGCTGTACTGGGTTCTCTTGACTTACCCAGTGAGCAATGTTATGATCTTGGGCAGGCCCCTTTACATTCTGCAATGTGAAAATGAAATGTGATGGTGGATGGAAACTCATCTTGAACCTAATTCTATGGGAAGCATTTAACATTTAACATTTCATCATGACATATGTTTGTTGTAGGCATTTGATACATAAGTTTTATTACCTCATGCAGGTATTTTGCTAAAAGGGGTTTGGTTTTTTTTTTTTTTTTTTTTTTTTTTGAGACGGAGTCTCGCTCTGTCGCCCAGGCCGGACTGCGGACTGCAGTGGCGCAATCTCGGCTCACTGCAAGCTCTGCTTCCCGGGTTCACGCCATTCTCCTGCCTCAGCCTCCCGAGTAGCTGGGACTACAGGCGCCTGCCACCGTGCCCGGCTAATTTTTTTTTTTGTATTTTTAGTAGAGACGGGGTTTCACCTTGTTAGCCAGGATGGTCTCGATCTCCTGACCTCGTGATCCACCTGCCTCGGCCTCCCAAAGTGCTGGGATTACAGGCGTGAGCCACCGCGCCCGGCAGGGGTTTGGTTTGTTCGTGGTTTTTGGTTGGTTTGTTTGCTTGTTTTTTAGAGAGACAGGGTCTCGTTCTGTCACCTAGGCTGGAATTCAGTGTTGCAATCCTCACCCACTGCAGCCTTGAACTCCTGGGTTCAAGCGATCCTCCCACCTCAGCCTCTGAGTAGCTGGGACTACAGGCAAATGCCACCATGCCTGGTAAATTTTTAAATTTTTTTTAAGAGATGGGGTCTCACTATATTGCTCAAGCTGGTCTCAAACTGTTGGTTTCTAGCAATCCTCCCACCTTGGGCTCCCAAAGCACTCGGATTACAGGTGTGAGCCACTGTACCCAGGCAAAAGATAACTTTTGAACACCAACTGAGGATGTTACTTACAATGAATCTTATCCTCATTCTCATTTACTTATTTGGATGGAGTTTCCTGAAATTTGTCTCACTATCATCTAGGATCCTTTTTCTTTCTCTAACTGGGAGATTGTGTCTGGTTTGGGAACTGCAAGCCCTGTTCGGGAAAAGGGAAATAGAACTTCACTATGTTGGTGACAAAAAGCCATTCCGGAGTTCTATGTGGACATAATCTTTTGGAAGGCATGATCAATATAGGGAGTTCCATATGATTACAAAGGTAGTTGGGAGGGGTCAAATATGTGCTCCCAAGAATGGTAAAATATGCTGCATCACAGAACCAATATAAGTTAGCCAAAAATATATATTTTTCTAATTTTTTTAAAAAGGCAGAATTGAAGTACCTGAAAAGAGACTTTAAAAGAGACAGTCCTAGGTCTGGGGGATTGTCCTCAGGTAGAGTTTTCAAGATATGCTGATGAAAATATAAATTTTTCCCTTTACAAAGAGTAGAGTTTTTACTTGGAAATGGAGATAGAACTACTCCATAAGGGTTCATAAGATATCATAAATCCCTGAATCCTAAGGTCCATTTGGTCCAACAGAAAAATAGCGAGTCACAACAAAACTCTTCTTACCCAGAGAGACCAGGTTCCTGTAGTTTCCCAATATCACACCCTTGTGCAGAGTCCTTTTGAGGAATCCATTAAGTTCCACTCTTCCCAGACGAAGTCATCCCTTAATGTCACTGATTCCTAAGTATTCCATAACACATTATGATGATACAAATCTATTCATTACCTGGCCCAATGGGAGGAAAAATAAATGTAATGAAAGGAATATTCATGTAAACACAAAATGCTTATGTGGAAGAGAGCTTGCAGGTCATGCAATCAAATTCCCAAGAGGACATTTAAAAATTCTAAGCAAGGATTCATCTAATCTCTGCCTGAACTTCTCCAAAGAATTCAAATTCATTATTGCACAAGGTAGCCTACTCTATTTTCTAAAGCTGTTCGTTGTTAGCATAAAGTTATACAATCTGAATCAAAATCTATCTTCAAGTAACTTTTAACCATTGGTTTATTATTTGAAGCCAAAAAGCATTAGTTTCTTCCTTCACAGAAGAGTTCTTTAAGAGTTTAAAAATTACTAAATATAAAATGCACACAAAATTGCCTATAACAAATATCACTACAAATTGAACAGTGTACTCCTACCAAAATTAAGAAATAAAACACTACCAATACCTTTGAAGTCACCTGTGTGTCTGTCTTTCCTGGACTTTATCCCTGTAGAAGTAATAATCTACCCTAAATATTGTGTTAAACATTTTTTTTTAATAGTTTAACGAAATGTGTATGTTTCTCTAAACTTTCCTGGTGGCTTATTTTACATTCTGTTGTTTGTTGATAATGTTTTTAATTCCATCTATCATGTCCTTAAACATTTTAAATGTAATAATTTTAAATTTTTAATCAAATGAGCTCTGCCTCTGAAGTTTTGGGGGATATATTTCTGCCGTTTATTGTTTGTGCTGATTTTCAGTCACAGTGTCTTATTTTATTATTTGTTTTGTAATGTTTAAGTTTTGGACTTCTGTTTGGCTCATCTTCATCTGTGGGGAATGTGAGGGAACTGGGATCTCCAAAAGACATTTGCTTAGTTTCTAATTTCAGAGTGTATTGAATAAATATTTTGAGTAATCTTTTTCACTGGAAATTTCGTTTTATTCCAGTCCTCCTGTGAATATCCTGTTGTTTTGATTACTCTTCAATGCCACTCTCCTTAGAAGATGTACCTCATTCCGTGTGCATTTCGATATGTGGAAGTGTGTTGGGAGGTGGGGTCCCAAATTATTCATTCATTCTTCCTTCGTTTCATTCAGTATGCAAGCAGTCTCCTAAGTAGGCACTCTGAGTGATAAACTCCATGAGATGTAGTTTCTATCCTCAAAAAATACCGCCTTTGGTAGGGATAAAGTAAATAGACCTTAATATAGCTCTTGGACGAGCAGCCCTTGAATAAGTGGTCAAATAAATTTGTTGCAAATAAATACTTTCAGTCATTGTGTTTTAAGAATTATCATTTGTATGCATTGAGGAGAACTTCTACAGCTATTTGTCTTCAGAAAGGTTTTTTCTTTGTATTTCGAAGAATTTTGGCCTTAAAATTTCCAGCTTATTTTCAGACATTCATATCCATTCTACTTAATTGGCATTATAGTCATCAATTGTTGTCTCTTCCAACTCTGAGGGAATTGTCATAAAGGGAATTGTTCAGAAATATGTGTTTCCAAGCACTTGTTCACATATTTGTCTGGATCACATCTATCTGTTCTCTCGACGGCTTTCTTTAGTCGCACCTAAATGTTCCAAGACAAGGGTTGTGTCATTATTTGTATCTCTAGTGCTATTGCTTTTGACACATAGTCAAGGCTTCTCAACAGAAGTGTATCCAATTGGAATTTTTTCTCACCCTCGAAGAGCCAATTCCTTCACTAACGCAGACAAAAGGGGCGGGGGGCTCAGGCGCTGAGGATTCTGGGCACTGTAGTTCCGACGCTCCGGCTGCGCAGGCGCAATGCCCTGCCTGGAGGCCGGCACCGCCGAGCCGCCGCCATTGCTGGAAGCGTTCCCGCCCTGCTCTGCGAGTTCCCTCAGTTGTCCTCAGTTCGGCCGCCAGGTACTCGTTGTCCCGGGCGCCTGGCCTCGGTTGCCCGCCGCCCCTCCCTTGGCGCTTGGCTCCCGGCGGCGTCCGGGGCGTGGCCGTTCCCTCTAGAGCCCCTGTCCCTGAGCGGACCCGCCCACTCCTGAGAGGCGATTGGGGCTGGGCCTCCTTCCCGAGTGTGGGTTCAGTCTCCAGCTGGCCTCCCTCACAGGTAGGGCCGCGTGCCCTATGCGGCCTCCTAGTCCGGGTCCAAACCCGGGAACCCCCTCCCTGCGGGCCTGGCGGCGCTGGGGTTAAAAAGAGCCGGGCGCAGGGCGCAGGGAGTCGAGTAGGGCGGGCGGGCCCCTGACCCGACTTTCCCGGTCTTCCCAGCCCCGCGCCTTGCAGGCCCTGAGGAGGGCATACCCGAAGTGGGTAGAGGAGAGCAGTTAGGGAAAGAAGGCGAGGTTGGCAGGAGCATATCCGCTCTGGCTTCTGAACTGGCAGGGATGGAACTAGGTTCCACATCGGGGGACCTGCGCTACTCAGTAACCGAGGCAGCTTTTCCTGAAATGTCACATTTCAAATACTGTAATCACCTTTTAATCACTTGTCACTCCCTGACATGACAATGGTATTATTGCATTGGTTGGGAAATGCTGGACTGGTACATGGCGCTGAGATTCTCAGCAAAAACATGGACCCTTCATTATTTCTAAATAACTGCACTGGCCAAGGAAGCAAAACAAGTAAAGTTTCTCCTTAAGTCTCTGGATACGTTTGCAATAGTTGGAAAGACAGAGCTTGTAAATAGGGAAATTATAACTGGGGAATAGTGGCCTAGATATCTTCTGCATAATGACAAAGGGGACAGTAGAAACATATAAGGTGGCTACTGTCATGTACTAATAGCTGATTCGTTGTGCTCAAGTGACTTGCCTGTGGTCACAGTTTTACGGTAGCCAAAGCAGGGTTAGAACCTGGGGATGTGGCCAGCCACTCTGGGATTTTATTCCTATTCCACACTCCTATGTATAGGTAGATACTTCTTCTTGTCTGCTTGGAGAGTACAGAAAAGCAGAAAGAAGGGTAAACATCACAGCCCCAGGTCTCAGAGGTCTCAGTAGAGTTTTGGGTTACTCAGTCTTTTTTTCTATGCATTACATTTGCACAATTGAGATCAAGCTGAATATATTAAATGTTAAATATTGTTTATTCTAATTATAAAATAAAACAAGGGATTTATTGTAGTTTGGTTGTTAAACATATGTTACGAGCATAATCTACATAATCTACATAAAGTATTGCCAAAGAGTTTATTAATATTTACAAATATTTTAAAAATGATGACTCAGCTCACTCTTGATAAATGTTAAAGATGCAGAAAACCATTACTCTAGACCTTCGGAATTGAAAATGCCTTATGTTGCTCTTTGTAGGTCTGCTTTAGTGTTCGGGGGTTGCGGGATGGGGCAATATTCTTGGCTCATTTTTTTTCTTTGCAACCTTGTAAAACTTGGGGGTCAGTGTATGGGCTTGGGAGGGAGAGTCAGTTTTCAAGCTCTCTGAAGTAATATGCAACATCATATATGCATGTGCATTATTTTGTGGACAAGGTCAGATTCTCAGATGGGTCCGTACCCCCCCAAAAATTAAGATTTACTGGTATGCATAGATTGTGTAGTGGTGAGATCAGGGCTTTCAGGGTATCTGTCCCTAGAATAACGTACATTATACCCATTAAGTAATTCCTTATTCTCCACCCCCCTCCCACTCCTTCACCCTTCAGAATCCCTATTGTGTAACAGGCAATATTTCTTAAAATATTACACTAAAACTAAAACATTATATAATTTAACATTATATAATTAACATGTTAACATTATATTAAACTAAATATTTCTTAAGGTGTACTTGTTCAAGCTGTATATTTCTGTGCCTCACATCTAGAGATCCTGATTTTGATCTTGGATGGGGCCAAATAATTTCCTTTTTAATAAGCATATCCAGTGAGTTTTTTGCATTCTCAGATTTGAGACCCCTCTAGTTATACATGTGGCGTTTTCATTAGAAAACAGGAGAGGAGTCATAATTTTCATTAGATTTGCAAAAGGCTCTATGACAGAAAAATCTAGAGAAACACTGGCATAAGGCAAAACCACTTACTGGTTACCTTGAGGCTTCAATACAGGAATCCCCTCAGACTATTCTTTCTTTACCTCTTTTATCTCCACACTGTACCGCTTTCCTCCCTCAACTTCTCATTGTTTCTCTTCCACCAAAACCTTTTCATTGTGCCTAGGAAAGCCCCAGTGTCATGAAACAGGTCACTCTACATTTTTAAGATACTCACTTTTTTTTTTTTTTTTTGAGATGGAGTCTCGCTGTGTCGCCCAGGCAGGAGTGCAGTGACACAATCTCTGCTCACTGCAACCTCCACCTCCCAAGTTCAAGCAATTCTAGTGCCTCAGCCTCCCGAGTAGCTGGGACTACAGGCGTGCACCACCACACCTGGCTGATCATTTTGTATTTTTTAGTAGAGTCAGGGTTTCACCGTGTCAGCCAGGCTGGTCTCAAACTCCTGACCTCAGGTGCTCTGCCCGCCTCGGCCTCCCAAAGTGCTGGGATTACAGGTATGAGCCACCATGCCCAGCCAAGATATTTACATATTTTCTTGATTTAACTAACCCTGGTCTCCTCCTTGAGTTAATACATTAATCTGACAGTATATGTTTCAGTATACCCATATCTAGTTAATTTTTATATCTCTAATATTCTTTGCATTCTTGATAACCTTGCTTTATATATTCTTGTTTTTCAGAGAATAATGGTTAAGTA
This sequence comes from Homo sapiens, assembly GCF_000001405.40. Lineage (NCBI taxonomy): Eukaryota > Metazoa > Chordata > Mammalia > Primates > Hominidae > Homo > Homo sapiens. The sequence continues at coordinate 16,650,961 of NC_000017.11, read as the reverse complement.
CTTCAAGTATCTTTTCAGATGAGCTTCTGATTGTTAGACACTGTAAGGTTAGATTAAGTTCTGCTATGTTTATTGAGCAAAGCTACTGAACGTTATGAGAAGCAAGGTGCACATTCAGGGAAGGAGCAGATTCCACATGTTTAAGCATAACAAAGGCCCTACTTGCAGGACCATATAATTGCTTATAACACTTTTTGTACAAAAACTTAATACTTATTATGTCACTGCCCTCATGAATAAAGATTCATGAGGCTAGTATTACCATCCTAGAAGAATTTATATTGACAATCTGTACTGTTTGATATCCTACATCAGGCACTCCTGGTTCTTGAACCAAACTCAGCCTCAGCAAGGCCATACATATCATTAGCCAAAGGTAGAAAAGCAGGGCCCAAGCATCCCTGGAAAAGATCTCTGCCACCCTGTTGCTCCATAGGATAAAACTTTTATTAGGTATATACTTTTTTTTCAATATAAAAAGACTATAGCTTAATGCTTTGTGCACTGAATTTCATGTCTCTTCTATTATTATTATTATTATTATTATTATACCTGCTTCCTTTTTGTTTAAGTTTGCCTGATATAGAAAGGATAAAGATCTATTTGAATATCAGATTCGGAGGGGTAAATCAAGATTTCCAATATCATTTAAATTTTGAAGTCGTAGTGTTCTCTTTACATGAAACAGATCTCTGAAAATGTTAGGAAATAGACTCTTCGTGGGAAAGGCAAGAAAAGGAGATTCTTAGAATATTTAATTGTTAGATGAGTAAGTGATTGTGGCAAAGAAAGACTGAAGTATTTTTTTTCGTACTTCACACAGCATGTTGATTCAGTGGAAAAGGTATGGGCTTTGGAATTAGATTGATTTGGGGTCATGTATCTGCATGGCCTTGGGTACTTTAATTTTTTTAGGTTCAGTTTCCTCATCTATGGAATGGGAATATTATTCCTACTAGGTTGATGTGAAAATAAAATGAGAAAGTATTTTAAAACCTCCTTGTACAATGGCTAGCCTGTTAGTTGTGACTATAGTTAACAGTGCTAAAATCTTGAGCTCTGCCGGAGCAAGGGTCTTTGTCCCTCACTGATCTTAAGGGTTACTCTTGTGCTTCCTTAGGGAGGTCATGCTCACTTGTATGTCAGGATTCCAACTTGGTGAGTCTGAAATTCCCCAGGCAGGATTGGTTTCCATGGCTTATTTCTCTTCCTTAGGTATGTCTTTGCAAGACTCCACTCTTTCCAGAGAGGGGAAACCAGAGGGAGAGATTATGGCTGCTGTGTTTTTCTCAGTTGGACGCCTGGTAAGTTGGGATTCCCTGTTTTTGACCTACTATCTTGGTTTGAGAGCATGTTTACTTTGCCTGAAGGCTTGCGACTTCTCTACTTCCCCCGACACCCCTTCTGGGAACTCAACTAAATAGACCCATGAAAATTGGGTTCACAGTAAGGGTAGTAAACTATGGGACGATTCACTATACTTACTTAACCAAATATCAGGACACATGATCTTTCAAAAAATATCTGAGCTGTCGTTAGTTATGACAGGCATCTTTAATTTTGATATTAAATTTGTATTGTTCCCAGGAAATTTTAGTTATTTGTGGGACAGCAAAATGGAATATTTTTCAATTGGAAAATTTTATATAGGAAATTATGGGGAAAATATATGTACACAAACACATACCCCAGCCCTGATTCACAGGAACCATTCCCCTTGTGCCACTCTCAGTGATCTCTTTTCTACTCATTAAGAAGTGATTAGATTTAATAGATTACATTGAGAGAATATGTTTAAGACAGTGCTTGGCTCTAGGGAATTTACAGTTTCATTGAGGTAAAATGTACAAAAGTAATAATTACATTATTTGGGTGAACAGTAGTTGCTTATCGGTATGATAAAGATGAGTGCTATGTAAAGAAAGAAATGGGATGATAGTGTGGGCTAAACTGGTCATAGAAAGTTCATAAGGATAGTTAGATTTAAGCTGGTACTGAATTACAAGTGAGATTTTAATTGTCATAAAGTATTTATGAAGATAGTTCAGGTGAGAAACGGGTTTAAGGGCAAGGCTTCAGAGGCAGAGAACAGTGGGTGAGCTTGTGATTCAAGTTGGAAAGTTGTGACAGATAGGGCTGGAAGTTAGATATTTAAGATGAATCTTTTAATGTTTCCCTGAAGACATTTAAATGTGTGTGTGTGTGTGTTTGAGTGTCCTTGGGATTATTATTAATGTGATAAAAGCTGTGTTTTAGCAGTGACTTTAAAATAGATTCAGAAGAAAGAGAATACCAACAAATATAATTTGTTATAGTAATGATCTGTAATAACCCGTGATTGTGGTCTTTTATTCTTTGTAGCCAGAATATGTAACATGTAAATAGTCCTTTAAAATACCCTTGAAAAGATAAATAAAACCAAAATGTTGCCCTTGATCACCAGGTATAACCATATTTGTCTAATCGTGTATCACGGGATCAACCCGTCTCTATCAGAGATAGAAGATTCACATCATCATTAATTTTCTGGAATCTGAATATTTGTGCATTTTTAGACAAGATGTTGTTGAGGGAGAGTTAGCATAACATTTTTTCATAGTGATCTTTATGTAGTTTTATTATCCATAATTTTTTTAAATGGCACAGCATCTGAAATGGATAACTACAACTAGAAGGTAAAGTAAAATTTCATTGCATTCATAAAATCAGGCCCTCATGGGCTGGGCGCAGTGGCTCATGCCTGCAATCCTAGCACTTTGGGAGGCTGAGGTGGGCAGATTATCTGAGCCCAGGAGTTCAAGACCAGCCTGGGCAACATGGTGAAACTCTGTCTCCACAAAAAAAAAAGAGTACAAAAAATTAGCCGGACATGGTGGTGTGTGCCTATAGTCCCAGCTACTCAGGAGGCTGAGACAGGAGAATCACTTGAACCTGGGAGGCAGAGGTTGCAGTGAGCCAAGATCGCCCCACTGCACTCCAGCCTGGGCAGCGACAGAGTAAGACTCTGTCTCAAAAAAAATAAAAAATAAAAATAAAAATAAATAAATAAATAAGGCCCTCATGGAGATACAGTTTCTAAGTTTTGGAAGAAAACAATGTTATGAGAGGTTGCTGAAATATTTCCTGAGTGACTGTTGAGCCACATCCCCCCACCAAACACTGTAATGATTTTTCAATTGTAGAAAACAGATAGTGTTAGTAGGTTTTGAGTGTTATTCTTGAGCAAGATAGATACTTTCTGAGAAATAGATTTCATCCCAATATGAAAAAGTAGAATTATGTAGTGTCTGAAGGCACTTTATTATAAGTTTATTTTTGTTTTGATAGGTTCTTTTTTAAAAGCAGTTATATCTTTTTCAATCTTACGTGTGTTTGTCATTGTCCCAAACAAAGTGAAAGATTATGATTGCATGTTACAATGGGACTTTGATTTCAGCCCTAAGTAAAACAGTAGGTGAGGTCATCCTGTATACACTGCATCCACAGTGGATTGGTGGTGCTTGTTGAGGCTCTGCTGTAAGTCATAGGCAGCCTATCACTGAATGATCTTATCCTGTATCCCATCAGAGCCCTGAAGTTACCCAGCCAGATGAAGATCTTCACCTTCAGGCAGAAGAAACACAATTGGTAAAGGTAATACCTACTGTTGTACATATAATGAATACAGAGAAAATGCCTATTTTACTGCCTCTGATTCTCAATGTTCCCAGTTAATTGCAAGTTCACAATGATTATTTGATTGGTGTGGTAGCCCCAGGGCTGGTGGCATCAATTTAACAGATTTCATTTCTCTCAGAGGTGGCAGCCGTAATCTAGCCAGATAGTCACATCGTGATTACTAATGGTAAAATATCCTATCATTACGTAGTCTGAAGCTTGTGCTGCATTGTAAGACCCAATACTGTGCCATTAAAAAATACCAAGAGTACATCAACATTGTGGAAATAGTGTTAAGATGAGTTTAAATTGGTTTAGATATTTTATTTCTTCAGGATTTCTTATATGTGAGTAGTGAATCCACTTCATTTTTCCAGAAAAAATAAAAATCAGAAATTTGTTGTGATAAGAAAAATTATCCAAAACTTAGAAATAAATAAAAGATAAATGTAGGCCATTTCAGAGTCATATTAGACCATTGTCTTAACAAGCCTGTCTAAGGGTTATCTGACATAGCAGGGGAGGGTTATGTTGTTTGACTTACCATTTACTATTAATTAATATTTAGATCCTAAAAGTTAGATATTAACTTGTAGAAGATTGAAACATTGCAATTATTTTTGCTAGGATAAAAGATAATCCCCAAAGTTATGGTATTACTGTCCTGTAGGACATTAACCAGGTTTGTATCCAATTTTGCAGTCTTATTCCAGCATTCTTTTTTCCACTATCTGTACATCGGTTTCTTGCATCTCCTTTAAACCTGTCTTGTCAAGCTTCTGATCCCTCATTAATGACTTATGTAAATCTTTGGCAAGTATTCACTATGCTTTTAGAAGAATTATGTTTTTAAGTTTTTTAAAATTATCCTTTGAAAGTTGGTTTTATTCCAGAGATGTTTTTTGTAAAATGTGGTTTTTACTTTTGCTTCTATGAGAAAATACATTCTGAGATTCAGTTTTATACATAGTATTTTTGAAATGATTTTTTAAATTCTTTTTAACATACGATAGCTTAGATTCTTAAAAACTTAGAGTAGAAATATTCATAGTTTTAGACTTTGAACCATAAACCTTAGAAAATGCCATACTTTTTGACATGGTGTACAATTCATATGGTTTATTTTTGTTCTGACAAAGGGAGTCCCTGGTAGAAGATTAATTCTGTCTGGCTCTTCCCTAAATTCTGCATCCTTTTTATTATACATACTAAACATAGCTTAGTTTAATTTTACTTTTAATAGAACCAGTGATTTGATAATAACTATCAATAAGTTATTAATTTAATTTAATTGGTTTTGTATTTGCTTGATTTTCTTATAACTATTGCTGACATTTTCTTTTTTTTTTTTTTTTTTTTGAGATGGAGTCTCGCTCTGTCACCCAGGCACAGTGGCACAATCTTGGCTCACTGCAACCTCTGCCTCCCGGGTACAAGCGATTCTCCTGCCTCAGCCTCCCGAGTAGCCGGGATTACAGGGACCTACTACCACGGGCGGCTAATTTTTGTATTTTCAGTATAGATGGGGTTTTACCATGTCAGTCAGACTGGTCTTGAACTCCTGACCTCAGGTGACCTGCCTGCCTCAGCCTCCCAAAATGCTGGGATTACAGGCATGAGCCACTGCGCCCGGCTGACATTTTCAATTAGTGTTTTGTTTTTTTTTTTTTTGTAGCGTAGTCCTTTAAAAGAAGAAATTTCAGTGCTAAATGTCTTTTATTTTACAGGTACATGTTTTTTAGTACAAACGTCTAACAAAGAAACTATAGAAGATTGATGAAGAACTCTTATTGCATGATTATTATAATCAGACCAAAAGGAACACATCAAGACAAAGAGTCTTGATATTTTCTGAGTATCATAGTGCCAGTATATATGTTGTAACTTTTGGTAAACAACTTAATTTACCAACAACAAACAACTAGATAAGCATAGCCTCAAGATGAAGAGGAGATAATAAGCCTTTAAAAGCCTCCCAGTAACCGGGACTAGGCACCCACCACCATGTCCGGCTAATTTTTGTATTTTTAGTGTACGGGGTTTCACCGTGTTGGCCAGACTGGTCTTCAACTCCTGAACTCAAGTGATCTGCCCACCTCAGCCTCCCAAAGTGCTGGGATTACAGGCATGAGCCATGGCACCCAGCTGGGTTATTATATAATCTTGACGAAGGAGGGAATTCTGATGAAATTTTAATGAGATCAGGGATGTGATAGGCTTACAGCAAAATAGGCTCTGTATAAAAGAGTCAATACCATGTCCAGACTGCATAATGGATCTGGAGTCCTATTTCCTTGGAAAATACAAAGTTAAATGTAAAATGACATATTCAGAAACCCCTCATGTGAAAGTCTGCATCTGGGTTGCAAATAACTGCTTCTCAGCATCAAAGTCACTTTCATTCTTTCTGATGTGATTTCAGACTACACAATTTCTGACAGTCTATGACTTTAAAAGATGAGGTGTCTAATGAGTAAGAAAGCAGTAGTTGCTCAAAACGGGTAATTATGACATTTTACAGCTGCAGAATGACTTTAGAAGAAATATTGTTTGCCGTTAACTTGTCAGTTGGTTTTATCTGTATCTCTATTCTAGCTTGAGGTGTGGAAGGGCAGAATTTTACTTTCTCAGTATAAGCTAATTTTTACTTTCTCGAACTCTATCAAAAAGAAACTTTTACATCAGTCTGGCTTAATGTTATTTGCCCAGTGTCTTTGAGGTAGAGAATATGAGGCTTATGATTTCTGGTTTCCATTGTATGCATCAGTGTATTATCTTAGAATCAACAATTTTTGGGTATTATATATTAGGTTTCCAATTTTATTTGTCTAAATTATGAATAGAGTTGGTCTGGGATGGTGAAATTTGAAATAAATGGGTACTCTTTTAGCTCCCTAGGAACTTTTTGCAATAAAAATAAAACTTTAGTTATAGTAATAGTTTCTTCAGTTTGACAAAGTTCAGTTTCTGAATAAAGGATACTTAAGTGAATTTACTTTCACAAGATCAAAATGCCCTCAACATTCTTAGAAGTTGTTTTAGTGTGTTTGTTGCCATATAAAGGCATACCCAAGAGTGGGTAATTTATAAAGAAAAGGGGTTTATTTGGCTCACAGTTCTGCAGTTTGTACAAGAAGCATACTGCCAGTATCTGCATCTTGTGAGGGCCTCAGGCTGCTTCCATTCACAGTGAAAAGGAAAGAGAGACAGTGTGTATAGAGACTACATAGCAAGAGAGGGAGAGGGGAGGGGCCATGCTCTTTTTAACAGCCAGCTTTCATGGGAACTACTAATAATAGAGGGAGAACTCACTCATTACCATGAGGATGGCACCAAGGCATTCATGAGGGATCCAGCCCCATGACACAAACACCTCCCATTAGGCCCCATCTCCAACATGGGGATCAGTTTTGAACATGAGGTTTTGGGGGAAGGCATCCAAACTGTCGCAGCAGTTTTATGTTTCAAAGTTAACTCACACTTCTACATTCTACAATCAATTTTTCATTCGTTCTTCACACAACACAAACCTTTGATTTTTTATGATTATTTATTTACCTGATTTTCCCCTGGGAGGGAAGAAAAAGATTGTCCTTCTGGCAGTATTTTTAATGACACTTTACTAAGATGTAATTAATATATCATAAAATTCATAAAGTATACATTTCAGTGGTTTTTAAATATATTCACAGAGTTTGTAACCATCACTGTATGGAATTACAGAACATTCCATCACCCTGAAAAAGAAACCCCATACCCACTAGCAGTACTCTCCATTCCCCCTCCTTACAGCCTCTGACAACCACTAATCTTTTCATCTGTATAGATTTGCCTATTCTGGACATTTCATATAAATGAAATGATATAATATGTTGTCCTTGGTGACTGCTTTCATTTTAGCATAATATTTTCAAGGTTTATGTGTGTTGTAGCATGTGTCAGTACTTTATTCCTTTTTATGGCCAAATAATATTCCAGTTGTATGGATATAGCTTATCCATATCACTTATCCGTTTGTCAGTTGATGAGTATTTGAGTTGTTTCCACTTTGGGGCAATTAATAATGATGCTAATACATTTGTGTATACGTTTTTGTGTGAGCATGTGTTTTCATTTCTCTTGGTATATACCTAGGGTTGGAATTTTGCTGGATCATATGATAATTCTATGTTAAACCATTTGGAGAACTGTCAGATTGTTTTACAAAGCAGCTGCCCCATATTACATTCCCACCAGCAACGTATGAGTGTTGCAGTTGCTCTACTTCTTCAACAACGCTTGATATTGTCTGGCTTTTTTGATTATACACATCTTATTGGGTGTGAAGTGGTAGCTTACTGTATCTTAGAGACTTTATTTCCCTAATTACTAAGAACTTCCAGCATCTTCTCTTGAGCATACTTATTGGCCACTTGTATATCTCCTTTGGAGAAATATCTATTCAAGTCCTTTGCCCATTTTTTATTGGGTTATTTGTCCTTTTATGTTTGACTTGTAAGGGTTCTTTATATGTTCTAAATACAAATCCCTTTTCAGATAAATGGTTTGTAAATATTTTCTTACATTCTTCGGTTGGCTTTTTGAGTTTTTGATGATGTCCTTTGAAGCACAGAAGTTTTTAATTTTAATGAAGTCCTAATGATCTCTTCTTGTCTTTTGTCTAGTGTGCTTTTGGTGTCATATCTAATAATTCATTACCAAATCGGAGGTCATGAAGATGTTCCTCTGTCTTTCCTTCTAACAGTTTTATAGTTTAGTTCTTACATTTAGGTCTATAGTCCATTTTGAGTTAAGTTTTGTTTATGGTCTGAGGTAGAGATTCAGCTTCATTCTTTGGCATGTGAATATTCAGTTGTCTCAGCACTGTTTGTTGAAAAGACTATTCTCTACTCATTGTCTTAGTACCCTTATTAAAAATCAACTGACCATTAATGTAGGGATTTATTCCTAGACTGTCAGTTCTATTCCATTGATGTAAATGTCTATCCTAATGTCAGTACCATACTGTCTTGAGCACTGTAGCTTTGAACTAAGTTTTGGAAATACCTTTGAAGTACGTTTTGAAATTAGGAGGTATGAGTGCCTCACCTTTCTTCTTTTTCAGTATTGTTTTAAAAAAACAAATTCACTTCCAAATGAATTTTAGGATCAGCTTTTCCATTTCAGGAAAAAAAAAGCCAGATGGAATTTTTATAAGTCTTATGTTGAATCTGTTGATCAATTTGGAGAGTAATGCTATATTCGCAAGATTAAGTCTTCCATACTTGAACATCGATTGTCCTCCCATTTATTTATGTATTCTTTAGTTTCTTTCAGTTTTGTAGTTTTATAGTTTTCAGTGTGCATGTTTTACACATCTTTTGTTAAAACTTCATTCCTGTGTTTTCTTATTTTTGCTATTATAAATGAATTTTTTCTTAATTTCCTTTTGAAATAGTTATTGATAGTGTATACAGATAATTGACTTAAACACACACATATAGATCTTGTATCCTGAACCTTGCTGAACTAGGTTATTCTAATAGAACTAAATTGTTTGTGTATATGTGGATTTATTAGGGTTTTATATGCAAGATAACATTAACTGTATAGAGAGATTATATCATTTGCAAATCAAAATTTGCTTTCTCCTTTCCTGTCTGGGTACCTTGTATTTCTTTTCCTTTTCAAATTTCCCTTGCAAAATGTACGATATAATGTTGAATAGAAGTGAGAAGGAATGTCTGGGCATGGTGGCCCATGCCTGTAATCCCAGCACTTTAGGAGGCTGAGGTGGGTGGATCACTTGAGGCCAGGAGTTCGAGACTAGCCTGGCCAACATGGTGAAACCCTGTCTCTACTAAAAAATACAAAAATTAGCCAGGCATGGTGGCACACACCTGTAATCCCGGCTACTTGGGATGCTGAGACGGGAGGATCCCTTGAACTGGGGAGGTGGAGGTTGCAATGAGCCAAAATTGCACCACTGTACTCCAGCCTGGGCGATGAGCAAGATCCTGTATCCAAAAAAAAAGAGAGAGAGAGAGAAAGAAAGAAAAAGAAAAGTGAGAAGGGACATTGTTGTCTTTGTGATCTCAGGAAGAATGCATTCAGCTGTTTACCATTAAGTATGAGGCTAGATGTAGGTTTTCATAGAGAGTCTTTATCAGGTTGATGATGTTTGCTTCTATTTTTAGTTTGTTGAATTTTGTCAAATACATATTTGAATCTATTAAGATGATGTGCAGTTGTTGTTCTTTGTTCTATTGATTGATTTTTTTGATATTACATAAACCTTGTATTCCTAAGATAATTCCCATTTGGCTGTAGTATATGTGGCATTTTAGTTGTTGCTGAATCCACTTTGTTAGTATTTTGTTGAGAATTTTGTGTCCATATTCATAAGGATGCTGGTCTGTGGTGTTCTTCTGAGGTCTTTGTCTAGTTTTGGTAATATTGGTCTCATAAAGTGGGTTTGGAATTTTTCCCTTCCATTTTTTGGAAGAGTTAGTGAAGGATTGGTATTAATTCTTCTTGAAATGTTTGGTATAATTCACATGAAACCATTTGAACCTAGGCTTTTCTTTGTGGGAAGTGTACTTGTTATAGATCTATCCAGATTTTCTGTACACTGAGTCAGTTTTGGTAGTTAATGCCTTTCTACGAATTTGTCCATTTCATCTAAGTTCGCATACCATGGTTCATAGTGTTCCTTTATAATCCTCTTATTTCTTTAAGGTCAGTAGGAATGTCTTCTTTTTCATTCTGATTTTAGTAATTTGTGTCTTCTCTCTTTTTTTTCTTAGTCACTCTAGCTAAGGGTTTGCCATTTTTTTATCTTTCCAAATAACCAATTTTTGCCCTTTTTTATTTCCTCTGCTGTTTTTCTGTTCTCTATTTTATTTCCATTCTAATATTTATTATTTTCTTCCTTCAGCTTCCTAAAAAATTTAGTTCACTCTTCCTTCTCTAGTTCCTTAAGGTATAAATTTAGGTTACTGATTTCTTCTTTTTAAATTGTAGGCATTTTATAGCTATAAATTTCCCTCTGAGCACTGTTTTCACTTTGTCCAGCTACTACCGTTGAATTATCTCTTTGCCCCTTCAATTTTATAAATTTTTACTTCTTGTCTTATGGGACTCTTTTGTTAGGTGAGTATATGTTTAAATTTGTTATGTCTCACTGGTACATTTATTTCAGTTATTATACTTTTCAACTCTAAAATTTCTATTTAGTGAAATATCATTCTCACAATTTCTTTTAAATCTTTATACATGGTTTTCTTTAGGTCTTTGAACATATTTATAATAGCTGCCTTAATGTCTTTGTTTAATAAGTACAATGTCTTGACTTCCTCGGAGGTAATTTCCATTGATGCTTTATTTTTTACTGTGTATGGGTCCATGCTTTCGTGTTTCTTTGTGTGTCTTATAATTTTTTGTTGAAAACCAGCTAGTTATTTTAAATAATATAATGTGGCAACTCTGGAAATCAGATTCTCCCCTCTCTGGGGTTTGTTGTTGCAGTTGTTGCTGGTGCTGTTGCTTTGTTTAGAAACTTTCCTGGACCAATCTGTAAAGTCTGTATTCTTTATCATGTATAGCCACTAAAATATCTGCTTGGTTAACATGGTGATAGTTAATGATTAGACAGATTTCTTTTTGCCTTAAACCAGTAAGTCTTCAGCGACTGCCAAAGGGGCCTTTGTATGTGTTGGGCATACATTTCCCTCTTAGGCAGGCAGGTTGCAACTCTGCCTTAGTCATTTCTTGCTTGTACAGAGCCTCAAGGTAAGCTATAGATGAGAGATGAGGGCCTTCTCAGATTTTTTCCTGGGGCTGAGTTCTTGGTGAAGAAAGAAAACAAAACCCAGTACATTGGTTACAGACACATGTCAAGTGATTAACAATAAAGTTTATGAACTCAACATGTCCTACATTCGCCATGTCTTATTATTAGCAGAATTATCTAAAACAAGCTTCAAAAACCTAAAGGTTCAAAACTACAAAGGGATATATATATACATAAGACATGTATGACAAGCATACATATCTAAATGGTAGAAAAACACCCCAGAGGAAATCTTTCTTCTGATCCAGAACAGACCTTAGCCAAATATGATCTAAGTTGACTTCTTTGCCTGAGTAGTCAGCTAATCAGGGCTCTTAGTTTACTAGATCATGGATCAGAATGATTACAAGGTTACAAGCTGGAATTCTCAATATAGACTGCTTGGATTTGAATCTAGATTCTTCTGCTTCTTTGACTTTGGGCAAGACATCTAACATCTCTGTGCCTCACTTTCCTTATTTGTAAATAGCACCTTCCTTATTGTGATGATTCATTCAGTACATTATAAGCCCTTAGAGCAGTCTCTGATACATAATAAGCATTATACTCACAGAAGTGGGGAGAGTAGTTTACATCCCTTAAACCTGTTCCCCCTCTTTTTATTTTATTTTATTATTGTTATACTTTAAGTTTTAGGGTACATGTGCACGATGTGCAGGTTTGTTACATATGTATACATGTGCCATGTTGGTGTGCTGCACCCATTAAGTCGTCATTTAGCATTAGGCATATCTCCTAATGCTATCCCTCCCCCAACCCCACAACAGTCCCCCGGAGTGTGATGTTCCCCTTCCTGTGTCCATGTGTTCTCATTGTTCAATTCCCACCTATGAGTGAGAACATTCAGTGTTTGGTTTTTTGTCCTTGCGATAGTTTGCTGAGAATGATGGTTTCCAGTTTCATCCATGTCCCTACAAAGGACATGAACTCTTCATTTTTTATGGCTGCATAGTATTCCATGGTGTATATGTGCCACATTTTCTTAATCCAGTCTATCGTTGTTGGACATTTGGGTTGGTTCCAAGTCTGCTATTGTGAGTAGTGCCGCAGTAAACATACGTGTGCATGTGTCTTTACAGCAGCATGATTTATAATCCTTTGGGTATATACCCAGTCATGGGATGGCTGGGTCAAATGGTATTTCTAGTTCTAGATCCCTGAGGAATCGCCACACTGACTTCCACAATGGTTGAACTAGTTTCCGGTCCCACCAACAGTGTAAAAGTGTTCCTATTTCTCCACATCCTCTCCAGCACCTGTTGTTTCCTGACTTTTTAATGATCGCCATCCTAACTGGTGTGAGATGGTATCTCATTGTGGTTTTGATTTGCATTTCTCTGATGGCCAGTGATGATGAGCATTTTTTCATGTGTTTTTTGGCTGCATAAATGTCTTCTTTTGAGAAGTGTCTGTTCATATCCTTTGCCCACCTTTTGATGGGGTTGTTTTTTTCTTGTAAATTTGTTTGAGTTCATTGTAGATTCTGGATATTAGCCCTTTGTCAGATGAGTAGGTTGCAAAAATTTTCTCCCATTTTGTAGGTTGCCTGTTCACTCTGATGGTAGTTTCTTTTGCTGTGCAGAAGCTCTTTAGTTGAATTAGATCCCATTTGTCAATTTTGGCTTTTGTTGCCATTGCTTTTGGTGTTTTAGACATGAAGTCCTTGCCCATGCCTATGTCCTGAATGGTATTGCCTAGGTTTTCTTCTAGGGTTTTCATGGTTTTAAGCCTAACATGTAAGTCTTTAATCCATCTTGAATTAATTTTTGTATAAGGTGTAAGGAAGGGATCCAGTTTCAGCTTTCTACATATGGCCAGCCAGTTTTCCGAGCACCATTTTTTAAATATGGAATCCTTTCCCCATTTCTTGTTTTTGTCAGGTTTGTCAAAGATCAGATGGTTGTAGATATGTGGCATTATTTCTGAGGGCTCTGTTCTGTTCCATTGATCTATATCTCTGTTTTGGTACCAGTACCATGCTGTTTTGGTTACTGTAGCCTTGTAGTATAGTTTGAAGTCAGGTAGCGCGATGCCTCCAGCTTTGTTCTTTTGGCTTAGGATTGACTTAGCGATGTGGGCTCTTTTTTGGCTCCATATGAACTTTAAAGTAGTTTTTTCCAATTCTGTGAAGAAAGTCATTGGTAGCTTGATGGGGGTGGCGTTGAATCTATAAATTACCTTGGGCAGTATGGCCATTTTCACGATATTGGTTCTTCCTACCCATGAGCATGGAATGTTCTTCCATTTGTATCTCTTTTATTTCATTGAGCAGTGGTTTGTAGTTCTCCTTGAAGAGGTCCTTCACATCCCTTGTAAGTTGGATTCCTAGGTATTTTATTCTCTTTGAAACAATTGTGAATGTGAGTTCACTCATGATTTGGTTCTCTGTTTGTCTGTTATTGGTGTATAAGAATGCTAGTGATTTTTATTTCCTTCTCCTGCCTAATTGCCCTGGCCAGAACTTCCAACACTATGTTGGTTCTGTTTATATGCTGGATTACATTTATTGATTTGCACATGTTGAACCAGCAAAAACTGGAAACATTCCCTTTGAAAACTGGCACAAGACAGGGATGCCCTCTCTCACCACTCCTATTCAACACTGCACCCGGCTGAGATTTTGATTTTTTTTTTTTTTGAGACGGAGTCTCTCTTCGTGTACCAGGCTGGAGTGCAGTGGCGCAATCTCGGCTCACTGCAAGCTCCGCCTCCCAGGTTCATGCCATTCTCCTGCCTCAGCCTCCCTAGTAGCTGGGACTACAGGCACCCGCCACCACACCCGGCTAATTTTTTGTATTTTTAGTTGAGATGGGGTTTCACCGTGTTAGCCAGAATGGTCTCGATCTCCTGACCTCGTGATCCGCCCGCCTTGGCCTCCTAAAGTGCTGGGATTACAGGCATGAGCCACGGCGCCCGGCCCTGAGATTTTTGATTTTTAAAATATTTTCAGCAATGTCATTGCATATTGCTGGTATATACCACTAGAAGACATATACTAGCTAACTGAGGCCTTTCTTTTATGTTAGCAGCTGCTGATGATTCTTTAATTCATTAGTAGTTGCAAATTGTGATGTTCTAATTCTTTTGTTCCTTCTTCATTCATTAGCTAAAATACTTCCATAAAGAGAAACCTTCCCTCAGCAACTATTTAATTATGTTTGATTACAATACAAACTATATGTACTTTGCATAGGTAAGAAAGGACAAAAGTTTGATTCTTTCTCTTTACTTACCAGTTTCCAGGTATTCTCCAAAGATAATAGATGAGATTTTTAAAATAATGTATCATGAATGTAACTGTATTAGATGCTTTTGAAATCCATTGCAGTTATTATCCTTATTGATGCTCAAATTGTCATATCATTGGCCAGTGGAAGCCTCTTCAAGTTGTCTCCTGTGTCTTAGATATGACCCTAGTAGTCTTTCATAGCTTCCTTGCTTTTTAATATGTCAGGGTATTCTAGGCCCTGGTTCCTTTTAGGGGGAAGTAATATTTAGAGCCCACAGTCTGGCTTGCATAGTGCCACCTTATTGGTTATGGTTTCTGGGCCTTTTCAGTGGCTGAAGCTAGGAAATGTGTTTTTTTTTTTTTTTCTCTTAAAATGCTTCATGAATCTCTAGTGATACTTCCTATTCAAACTCAGAACTATGGAGTTTTTAACCTCATCTCATCAATATTACATTTCTATCTTCTTTCTCCCATGCCAAATATATTAGTTATCAATGATGTCAGTATGCTAATTTGCTTTATCAAGCACTACACGCACAGCAGTTAAACAATAACATGTCTGTCACTGTAATTAATATGATTATTTACTGAAAACATTGTGGTTTTGTTTTTATTTTGCAGTTATTTTTCTCAGGGTATATCTTGTGCAATGTATACAGAAAAATTACTGTTTCAAAGTCACTCAAAATAGTTCCTCTCTAATGAGTGAGTATGCTACCAGCTGGTTTCATGTTACTCTTAATTTTCAGGGATTTTTTTTTTAATTTTTTATTTCATTTATAATATATTTACATGGTTCAAAAGTCAAGTCTACAAAACAAATATTCAAAGGAGTCTAGCTGTCATTCCAGTCCGCTCTACTCCCTCTTTTCTCCGATAGGTAACATTGAAAATGTTTATGGCCTGTTCTTCCATTTTTTAATACATATACATATCCAGACCAAAGAACTTACCCAAAGTTCCTCGATTTTTTTTATTTTTCTTTTTCAAAGAGAAAGCTTATAATATTCTATATCCACAATACAAATGATAAAATGTATCTTTTAGTAAGTCATAGTCTATAGATTAGAACTGAAAGAAAATTGATATTTTAGATAAGCCAGGGTTTTAAGGAAGAAAGATGATTTGGATGGAAACTGCTGGCTGTTATCAAGTATTTTAAATACTTTCTAGGGAAGGAGGAAACCGTGCTGTTTGACTCCAGATAATATAGTGGAGCCAATATTTATAATTTATAGGAAGCCAGACTTGGTCTGAAAAGAAATTCTGCTATCAGATGAAACTCTGAAGATGATATAGGCAGCATATTATGGTTTCAAGTTCTTGTCACTGGAGAGATTTATACATCCTATAAAGGATGAACTGGTTGACCTACATGATCATTTGGTGATTCTGGTTTCTGGGGCTCTTCCCCAGTTTTTTATGTATAATTCTGCCTAACAAGTCTAATTGTATAGTTTCTAAGTGATCACAATGTAATTGTTTTAGGAATCGGTGACATTTAAGGATGTGGCTATAGACTTCACATTGGAGGAGTGGAGGTTGATGGACCCTACACAGAGGAACCTGCACAAGGATGTGATGCTAGAGAATTACAGGAATCTGGTCTCCCTGGGTAAGGATAACTTCTCTTCTGTGTTGATTGATCTGCCCATTTGACCAGGTTTGCCAAAGATAAAGGGCCTCTAAAGTACTTAACTGAAGTACTTGATTTTAGGGGCACATTGTTGGGTTATGCTATTCCTCACTCTTAACTACATGATCTGCCCATTGTAGAGTAAGAAACACACATTTCACTGGAATCTTGGAGATTGTTGACAACCCCACAGATTTTGGACCAAAGTTTTTTCTAGTCACTGCCTTAAATGGAAGTTATCAGTACCTCTAGAAGAAAGAAACAAATGTATTCAATTTCTTTCTAAACTCAGTTTATTTCCACAATCTATTATCCCACCAAACCAGAATCATAGCATTGAGTTCCTTTGAGATGTCTTTGTAATTGTCTAAAACATCACTGTACAATATGGCAGGTACTAGTCACTTGTGGCTTTTGAGCACTTGAAATTTGGCTAGTCCATCTGAAGAACTGAATTTTAGATTTTACTTGATTTTATTTAAATTCAAATTTAAATAGCCATATGTGACAATTGGCAACTGTATCAGACAGTGCAGCTCTAGAACTTCCTGTAATGGTCATTCTGCCCAGAAGATTAAGAACTGAGACTGAATTTGGCAGGAGTTCTTGCTCATGGCTCCAATCAAATCCTATTTATTTTTCTCTGGACAGGGCTTGCAGTTTCCAAACCAGACATGATATCTCATTTGGAGAATGGGAAAGGACCATGGGTGACGGTGAGAGAAATTTCAAGAATTCCCTATCCTGGTGAGTTAAACAGAACCAAGAAGATGGGATTTATTTGAAGTAACAGACTATAGGGGGATGTTCACCAGAACATCTGAAATAATTTTGAAGATATATTTGTTCAACGCTGTCTCAGAGGAAGAGATCCCCCATCTCACTGCCTGTCCCTCTCACCCCCATCTTCTCTCTCCCTCTCTCTCTGTCCTCCACTTTTGGGAAACATCTCATCCTATTCTGCTTTCCTGGGGACGTGCTTTTCGTAATTATTATTTTATTTCTTCTTCATTCAAACTTGCATAAAATATCCCTTTCAGGTCTGTCTTCTCCAGTTAACTTCATGTTTCTCATTTGTTTCATTATCTGACATTTCTTCCCTCATTTACCTGAAAATGCTTCCATAAGGGTCCCCACTGATTTCTCTTAAGGCAAACTTATTTACTCATTATTTAGTTTTCTTCACCTGCAAGGCTACAGAAACTTTGGAGGAACCCACCACCTCTCCTCCAGGTTTTTAACTAATTGCTAATACAAACAAGGAAGCAGTTGAGAATCAAAATATAGTATTGATGTATTTAATCAATATTATACATCTATATACTGTGAACTGGCTTAGGTACAAGGGCTATAGCAGCTAATAAAATGGACCAGGTCCCTGCCTTCATGAAGATTAAATTTTGAGAAATAGATAATTTGGCAAACAAATAAAAACAAACTAAAATGGTGGTTGCCATACCTCCCAGCTATGAGATAAATTGGAGGATAAGAAAGAGTAACTGGGGTGGGATGAGGACACCTGCTTCAAACAGGGTGGTCAGGGGAGCTTCTGAAGAGGTGACATTTAAGCCGAGACCTGAAGGGTCAGAAGAAGAAAACAGTAAGGGGAAGAGGAAAAGAGAAGTATTCCAGGCTAAGGGAACAACAATGCAAAGGATCTGATACAGCAGAGAATGCCATGTGTTCTGGAAATCAAAAGGAAGCTGCTGTGACTAAAGTGAGGGGAAACTGGTACAGAATAAGATTAGAGATGTAGCAGCCTGCCTGTGCAGGGCTTTGTAGATGATCTAAGTGAGTTCCAAAGCATGGAGAGATTCTACTGCAGGGTTTTTAGAAAATAACCCTGTTTATAGAGATTGAACTTGAGGCATAAAGCAGGCAGTAAGTTAAAAGGTTGTTACAATAGTCTATCCAGGAGATGATAGTAACTTTGATTAGGGTGATGGTAGTGGAGATGGAAAGAAATAGATTCTGGTTCATTTAAGCATTCATTTTATTATGATGCCATGAACAATCCACACATGAATTACGTATTTTTATATATCAGATATTATTTATACTTAAAAGAGTGAGTGAAAAGTAGACATTAGAGATAGTTTTAGATAACTTTTTAGAGAGGGATTTTTTTTCCCCTACGAAGAGGGAAAGAGAAATGGAGCAGTGGCTAAAGGAAAGAATGGAGTCAAGAAAAAATACTTGTTTTATTTTTGAAATGGGAGCTGCTATGACATGTTTGAGTGCTGATAGGATTGCCTTAATGGAGAGAGAGACATTGATGTTGCAAGACAAAGACGAAGGACTAAAGTGTTTGACAGGGTTAAAGGAGATAAAATCTAGAAAGGAAAGGGGGATTTACCTTGAATAGGTACAGAGGTCACCTCCTGTGTTGTAATACTGAGAAAGGTGGAGAAGATGGGTGCACCTGCATGTCAGTTGAGGGCAGGAAGATTGAGGCCACTATTATGATAGCTGCCATAGTTTCTAAAATGTGAGGCAAGATCATTAGCTTATGGTGAGGGAAGAAAAAATTGTGAGAGAGGGAAAGTTATTTTTTATGGTAGTGGAATTCACCAGGGAAGCCATCTTGGCCTGAAGCTTTTATTGGGAAAAGTGTTTAATTATAGCCTCTATGCCTTTAGTACTTAGGACTGTTCATATTTCCTTTTTCTTTTTGTTTCAGTTTAGCAAATTATGTTTAGGGATTGTTCCGTTTAATCTAATTTTAAAATTTATTGGCATACTATCGGTTTATCATTTAAATGTTTGTATGGATCTGAAGTGATGTGCCACTTCTTATTCCTGATACTGGTTTTTTGTGTTTTCTTTATTTTGTCTTACTCAGTCTTGCTAGAGTTTATCAATCTTACTTGACTCTTTTTTTTCTTTGAGACAGGGTCTCATTCTATCACCCAGGCTGGAATGCAGTGGTGTGATCATAGCTCACTGCAGTCTCAAACTCCTGGGCTCAAGTGATCCTCCTGCCTCATCCTCCTACATAGCTGGGAGTAGAGGCACACACCACCACACCTAAGATTTTTATTTTTTGTAGAGGAAGGGGTCTCACTATGTTGACCAAGCTGTTCTCGAACTCCTGGGCTCAAGCTATCCTCCCACCTCGTCCTCCCAAATTGCTGGGATTTCAGGTGTGAGTCACCATGCCTGACATTACTTGGCTTTTAAAAACATTACTGTTTTTAGTCCTTTTTCTTGTATGTTTGAGTTTTATTACTTTCTGTTCTTTATTATTTTATTCCATTCTTAGAGCTTAATTTGTGGATCTTTTCTAACCTCTTGAATTAGGTACTTAGATCGTTGATTTTCAGCTGTTCTTCTTTTCTAATTGTTTAGGGCTATCAGAACTATATCACACTTTTTTATGTAGCATCTTCATAATTTTTGAGTGGAAAATATTTTATAATTTCTATTGTGATATCTTTTATCCTTGGGTTATTTTTAAATGTTTTTCTTAATTTTGTGCCATTTGGGAATTTTCTAGCAATCTTGTTGACTTTAATTCTACTATGGTCAGACAGGATGCTCTGAATTATGTCAGTCTTTGCAGAATTTTGTAAACATTTTGTGCTCTTGAAAAAATGTACAGCCTATAGGTAGGTATTGAGTATTGAGTACAATTTCTAGATGTGTCAGGAGATTAAGTTTGTTAATTATGTTAAAATCTGTATACTTACAGCTTATTCTATCAATTGAGAAAGATTTTTTAAAGTCTGCTAGTGAGACTATACATTTGCTTCCTATTTAGTTCATTTAATTTTTTTCTTTCTGTATTTGAAGCTGTGTTATTATGTAAATACAAAGTTATAATTGTTATCTGTATGGTAAATTGGCTTTTGTCGTTATGAAGTATCTCATTTCTTAAAAGTTTTTGCCTTAAAATCTGTTTTGTCTGATACTAATATTACTACAGCATCTTTCTTTTGGTTGTTATTTGTATAGTATATCTTTTTTCATCTGCTAACTTTCACTTTCTGTGTATTCTTGTACTTTTTGTCTTTATTTTTAAGGTAGTATATTGTTAATTTTTTATTTTTTTGAGACTGAGTTTCACTCTCGTCGCCCAGGCTGGAGTGCAATGGCGTGATCTCGGCTCACTGCAAACTCTGCCTCCCAGGTTCAAGCGATTCTACTCGCTCAGCCTCTTCAGTAGCTGGGATTACAGGCATGCACCACCATGCCCAGCTAATTTTTGTATTTTCAGTAGAGATGGGGTTTCACCATGTTGGCTAGGTTGGTCTGGATCTCTTGATCTCAGGTGATCCACCCACCTCGGCCTCCCAAAGCGCTGGGATTACAAGCAATAGCCACCACGCACAGCCTCTTCTCTTTTTTTTTTCTAAAAATATCTTCATTTGGCCTTCATTTTGGGAGGATATTTTTGGTAAGTTTGAAATTTTAGATTGGCAGTTATATTCTTTCAACATTTCAAAGGTATCATTTATTGTTTTCTGTCTTATGTACAATCTGTGGAGAAGTGAACCATCTGTCTAAACTTTTCTATAAAAGGCAGGGCAGCAATATTTTTGGCTTTGTTGGATCATAAGGACTCTCTGCTGTGACTACTCCACTCTGCCATTGTAGCACCAAGGAATCCATAGGCAACATATTAACCAAGTAATGTGGTTGTGCTCCACTAAAACTTCACTTATGGACTCTGAAATTTGAATTTCATACATTTTTAATGTCTCACATTCTTTTAATATATTTTTCAACCATTTTAAATGTAAAAATTGGCCAGGCGTGGTGACTCATGCTTGTAATCCCAGCACTTTGGTAGGCCAAGGCAGGCACTGGAGGCCAGGAGTTTGAGACCAGCCTGGGCAACATGGTGAAACCCCGTCTCTACTAAAAATACAAATTTTAGCTAGGCATGGTGGCACTGGCCTGTAATCCCAGCTACTCGGAAGGCAGAGGCACAAGAATCACTTGAACCCAGGAGGCGGAGGTTGCAATGAGCTGAGATTGCCCACTGCACTCCAGCCTGGGTAACAGAGTGAGACTCGGTCTCAAAATAAGTAAGTAAGTAAGTAAATAAATAAATAAAAATAAATATAAAAATCATTCTTATCTTGCTGGCTATACAGAAACAGATGATGGGCCAAATTGGTTATAATTTGTAACCTCTGATCTAATTGTTGCTCATTAAAGGACATCTATCTGTCTTTGGCCAGGTGTTGGGAGGCTGAGGTGGGTGGATCATTTGGGGTCAGGCGTTCAAGACCAGCATGGGAAACATGGCAAAACCCCATCTCTACTAAAAATACAAAAATTAGCCGGGCGTTGTGGCACAGACTTGTAATCCAATCCACTGCACTCCAGCCTGGGTGACAGAGCAAGACACTGTTTAAAAAAAAAAAGAGAGAGAGACAGATTTTTTTTTTTTTTTTTTTTTTTTTGAGATGGAGTCTCGCTCTGTCGCCCAGGCTGGAGTGCAGTGACGTGATCTCGGCTCACTGCAACCTCTGCCTCCTGGTTTCAGGTAATTCTCCTGCCTCAGCCTCCTGAGTAGCTGCGACTACAGGCACCTGCCACCACGCTCAGCTAATTTTTGTATTTTTAGTAGAGATGGGGTCTCGCCACATTGGCCAGGCTGGTCTCGAACTCTGACCTCAGGGGATCTGCCCATCTTGGCTTCCCAAAGTGCTGGGATTACAGGTGTGAGCCACTGTGCCCTTCCCTGTCTCTCTTTTTTTGGCTGCTTTTAAGAGTTTAGTTTTCAACGGTTTTACTACTGTGTACTTTAATATAGTTTTCTTCATATTTCTCATGCTGAAGATTCATTTGGCTTCTAAGACTTGTGACTTGATTTTTTTTTTTTATCTCTTGTGGAAAATTCTAAGACATTATTTCTTTGACTTAGCTTCTGTCCATTCTCTCTCACTTCTCTTTGTAACCTTCTAGGACTCTGGTTACATCTGTGATAGACCTTTTCACCCTATCCTGGATGTCTCTTCTGCTTTTCTAACGTTTGCAAGTTTTTCATCATTTTGTGTTTCAGTATGGATACTTTGTACTGACCTATCTTCCATTTCCCTAACTCTCTCATGTGCTGTCTCTATTGTGCTCTTAGCCCATAGTTTGAGTTAAGTTACTATATTTATTTTTCAGTTCTAGAATTTTCATTTGGTTATTTTATACTTTACAAATCTTTGTGAGATTGTTAATCTTATGTTCTTGAATATAGTTATCCTAGTTATTTTAAAGTTTATGTCTGAGGCCTCAATTATTTGGATTCATTTTAGATCTGTTTCTGTATATTTGTTTTCTCTCTTGATTTTTTTCCCATGTGACTTTTGATTTTTGTCTCCCTTTTTTTTGGGGTCGGGGGAGGCAGACAGAGTCTCGCTCTTTTACCCAGGCTGGAGTGCAGTGGCGCAATCTCAGTTCACTGCAACCTCCACCTCCCAAGTTCAAGTGATTCTCCTGCTTCAGCCTCCTGAGTAGCTGGGACTACAGGCATGCACCACCATGCCTGGCCAATTTTTTTGTATTTTTTAGTAGAGATGGGGTTTTGCCATGTTGCCCAGTCTGGTCTCGAACTCCTGGCCTCAGGTGATCTGCCCTTGTTGGCCTTTCAAAGTGCTGGGATTACAAGATGTGAGCCACTATGCCCAGCGTGGTCTCCTTTTATGCCTGTTATTTTTTACTGGGTATCAGGCATTGACTATGAAAATCTATAGTAATATTAGGAGGTTCTAGATTATGTAATCTTTCCCACAGAGGATTAATGTTTGCTTTTGCCAGACTGCTAGGCTAGGGACTATAACAATCTTCATTCACTTTAATTCAATGAGAAATTTAAATGAGGTGGGTTTTAGTCCTTCAGCCAGCCGATCTATTTCTTAGTCGTTCTATTTGTAGGGCTTATCACCTTAAGGTTCCAGCCAAACCCTAGTTGTTCCAGAATTGTCCTCCTTAATGGACCTAAATCCGTCTCTGTCTTTCTTGCCCTATGACTTTATTAAGAGTTCTGCTTACTTATTCAGCCTCTCAGTCATTTCTTAGAGAATTAACAGGCATTTGAAGGGGAAAATGGCACCAAATACCAGGATTGTTTTTCTGGGTTTCATTCTTCTCCTTGTAATTTGTTAAGTCTTTCTAGCTTTCAGATGCTTTCAAACAGACTGTTCTTTTGTCCAACATTTCAAATTGTTCTCAGCAATAAAGTTGGTCCAAATGACTTCCTCTGACATCCCCAAAGTGCAGACCTCTCAAATATAAAAGTTTTTATTCTGTTTTTTATGCTTGTTGTCTGGGAGTAACATTTTACTTTCACTCAAGAAAGATGAGAATTTAGTGCATATAAATTAAGTTTCTACAAATAAATTTATTGAAGAAAATTTCTAATTACTAATATAACAACAACCTTTATGTACTCTAAGCTTTTATAATTTTAGTGCATTTTGCAGCAAATTTTTCTGCTTTCCAACTTCATATTCTTTTGACCTTTTAAATTTAATATTAGTTTCTGAATTCCAAATTGGTGCTATAGATATGTTTTATATAGCTTTTCTTCTTCTTTTTTATTTATTTATTTATTTGAGATGGAGTCTCTCTTGTCTCCCAGGCTGAGTGCAGTGGCGTGATCTCGGCTCACTGCAACCTCCGCCTCCTGGGTTCAAGCAATTCTTCTGCCTCAGCCTCCCGAGTAGCTGGGATTATAAGCGTGTGCCACCACACCCAGCTAATTTTTGTGTTTAGTTGAGACGGGGTTTCACCATGTTGGCCAGGCTGGTCTAGAACTGCTGATGTCAGGTAATCCGCCCACCTTGGCCTCCCAGACTGCTAGGATTACAGGCGTGAGCCACTGTGCCCGGCCTTCATTTATTTATTTATTTATTTGAGACAGGGTTTCACTTTGTCACCCAGGCTGTAGTGCAGTGATGCAATCATAGCTCACTGCAGCCTCAACTTCCTGGGCTCAGGGGATCCTCCAGCTTCAGCCTTCCAAGTATTTAGTACTACAAGTGTGTGCCACTATGCCCAGCTCATTTTTAATTTTTTATAGAGATGGGGTCTCACTGTGTTGCCCAAGCTGGTCTTAAACTCCTGGGCTCAAGCAGTCTTCCTGTCTCATCCTCCCAAAGTGCTGGGATTATAGGCATGAGCCACCACACCCAGCCTTATAGCTTTTTTTCTGAGAGCAAACTTTTTTTTTTATCAGATACTGGCAATATAATATCCTATGACAGCAAAAAATATGCTCAAACTAATTAAAACTATTTAAAAGTAAAAGAATGATAAATAGCAACAGCATGACAAAATATTAATTTAAATTTTATAAAAGTAAAATAACATAGACAAATCATACTGCTTAAAAGTGGGTTTTAAAATCATAAAATTGGCTGGGCACAGTGGCTCACGCCTGAAACCCCAGCACTTTGGAAGGCCGAGGAGGGTGGATCACTTGAGGCCAGGAGATGGAGACCAGCCTGGCCAACATAGCAAAATGCTTTCTCTACTAAAAATAAGAAAAATTAGCTGGATGTGGTGGCGCATGCCTGTAATCCCAACTACTTCGGAAGCTGAAGCACAAGAATCACTTGAACCCAGGAGGTGGAGGTTGCAGTGAGCTGAGATTGTGCCACTGTACTCCAGCCTGAGCAACAGAGCGAGACACTGCCTCAAAAATTAAAAAAAAAAAAAAATCATAAAACCATTCTATCATGGACAAGAGTTTTTATTGAACTTATATTTAAATATTGAGGCATAATTACCTGAAAATGAATTACAAGTTTTAAAAGGCATTAAAGTGTCTTAAAAATAAAATATTAAATTGCATACACAAACACATTGTAAGACCAGTATCCCACAGTGTAATTTTTTTAATGAATTTTTGACAAACTGTCAGAAATGTTCTTAGGGCCATAAAAAAGTTGCAAAATCTACCCTTAATTAAACAATAATTACCACTATTTGAAATATCAGTAAGTATAAATATTAACTTTTGACTAGTTTGTTGTTCAGTTCTTTTTGAAAATCAAAGTTTTTTTTCCATAAAAGTTTTATTAAAAGGTATGTACAAAGACTTGAATAAACTACTCTGCCAGTGAATTTGAGAAAGCCCTCACAACAAAGCTAGTCAATCAAAAATGAGAACAAATAGAGGCCAGGCATGGCATGGTGGCTCAGGCCTGTAATCCCAGCACTTTGGGAGGCTGAGGTGGGTGGATCACCTGAGGTCAGAAGTTCAAGACCAGCCTGGCCAACATGGCGAAACCCCGTCTCTACTAAAAATACAAAAATGAGCCGGGCGTGGTGGCACATGACTGTAGTCCCGGCTACTCGGAAGGCTGAGACAAGAGAATTGCTTGAACCCAGGAGGTGGAGGTTGCAGTGAGCCGAGATCATGCCACTGCACTCTAGCCTGGGTGGCACAGCAAGTATCTGTCTCCAAAACAAAACAAAACAAATAGAAAGTGTGATTGGGGACTAAAGTCTGGTTTGTGGAGTAAATAGAAAGCAAGGAAGTATGACAGTTTTTGAGATTGTCAAAAGTTGAAGAATACCATCTAAAATAGTTGGCTCTAAACTATGAATGGGCTTTTTTTTTTTTTTTGAGACAGTCGTGCTCTGTCACCCAGGGTAGAATGCAGTGGCACAATCTTGGCTCACTGCAACCTCCACCTCCTAGAATCAAGCAGTCCTCCCACCTCAGCCTCACAAATAACTGGGACTACAGGTGCACACCACCATGCCTGGCTAATTTTTTTTTTTTTTTTTTTTTTTTTTTTTTTTTTGTAGAGACAGGGTTTTGCTATATTGCCCAGACTGGTCTCGAACTCCTAAGCTCAAGCAATTCTCTCACCTTGGCCTCCCAAAGTGCTGAGATTATAGGCATGAGCCACTGTGCCCAGCTGAATGGACTTTTTTAACGGGAAAGTTTCATTGAATTTGCTACTTTAGTTTTTGCTAAACCAGCCTCCCTTAACCCTACCTTCTTCTCACTAAAAAACAAGTCAGTGTGAAAGCAATTAAAACCATATATTCATTATCCATGTATTTATTGCTTTTATTATTCTGTTTAGTGAGATTGCCCCAGCTTAGGAAAGGAATTACTTGATTTTTCTCTTTTTTGCCCCAGACATGGAGCCCAAACCTGCAACCAAGAAGGCTACACGAACAAAGGCTATTTCTGAAGATTTATCACAGGAGGCCATACTAGAGAAACTTACAGAGAATGGTCTGTGGGATTCCAGAATGGAAGGGTTATGGAAATGGAATGATAGGATATTGAGATTACAAAATAATCAGGAGAATCATTTGAGTCAAAGAATAATTCCACTCAAGAAGACTCCCACTAGTCAAAGAGGCTTTAGATTTGAATCTATTCTTATTCCAGAACCAGGCATTGCCACAGAAGAGCTTCACAGCAGATGCCAAACACAAGAGGAAAATTTCACAGAGAATTTAAATTTGATTACAGATACCCATTTGGGGAAGATAATTTGCAAGGAGATGAAAGGCAGCAAAGCCATAAGGCAGACTTCAGAACTAACTTTGGGGAAAAAATCCAATAATAAGGAAAAACCCTACAAATGTAGTACATGCGAAAAGGCCTTTCATTATAGATCATTGCTCATTCAACATCAAAGAACTCATACTAAAGAAAAACCTTATGAATGTAATGAATGTGGGAAAACATTCAGCCAGCCTTCATATCTCAGTCAGCACAAAAAAATCCACACTGGAGAAAAACCCTATAAATGTAATGAATGTGGAAAGGCCTTCATTGCTTCTTCATCACTTATGGTACATCAGAGAATTCACACTAAAGAGAAACCTTATCAGTGTAATGTGTGTGGGAAATCTTTTAGCCAGTGTGCCCGTCTTAATCAGCACCAGAGAATTCAAACTGGAGAGAAACCCTATAAATGTAGTGAATGCGGGAAAGCTTTTAGTGATAAATCAAAACTTGCAAGACATCAGGAAACTCACAATGGTGAGAAACCCTACAAATGTGATGATTGTGGGAAAGCCTTTAGGAACAAGTCATATCTTAGTGTACATCAGAAGACCCACACTGAAGAGAAACCATATCAGTGCAACGAGTGTGGGAAGTCTTTTAAGAATACCACAATTTTTAATGTGCATCAGAGGATTCATACTGGAGAGAAACCTTTTAGATGTAACGAATGTGGAAAAGCCTATAGAAGTAATTCAAGCCTTATCGTACATATAAGAACTCACACTGGGGAAAAACCCTATGAATGTAATGAATGTGGGAAAGCATTCAACCGCATCGCAAATTTCACAGAACATCAGCGAATTCACACAGGAGAAAAACCCTATAAATGTAATGAATGTGGGAAAGCATTCATTAATTATTCATGCCTTACTGTACACCACAGAATGCATACAGGAGAGAAACCTTATAAATGTACTGAATGTGGAAAGGCCTTCATGCGTTCTTCTTCTCTAATTATACATCAGCGTATTCATACTGAAGAGAAACCTTATCTGTGCAATGAATGTGGGGAGTCTTTCAGAATAAAATCACACTTAACTGTACATCAGAGAATTCACACTGGAGAGAAACCATATAAATGTACTGACTGCGAGAGGGCATTCACCAAAATGGTAAATCTCAAGGAGCATCAGAAAATTCATACTGGAGTGAAACCCTATAAATGTTATGACTGTGGAAAGTCCTTTAGGACTAAATCATACCTTATTGTACATCAGAGGACCCATACTGGAGAAAAACCATATAAATGTAATGAATGTGAGAAAGCCTTCACTAATACATCACAGCTTACCGTGCACCAACGAAGGCATACTGGAGAGAAGCCCTATAAATGCAATGAATGTGGAAAGGTTTTCACAAGTAACTCAGGCTTTAATACACATCAAAGAACACATACTGGAGAGAAACCATTTAAATGTAATGACTGTGGGAAAGCATTTAGCCAGATGGTACATGTCACAGAACATCAGAAAATCCATAGTGGAGAGAAGCCCTATAAGTGTGATGTCTGTGGAAAAGCCTTCAGGAGGGGTTCTTACCTTACAGTGCATTGGAGAACACACACTGGAGAAAAACCCTACACCTGTAAGGAATGTGGAAAGGGTTGTATTACTCTATCACAGCTAACCCTACATCAGAGAATTCATACTGGGGAGAGGCCCTATAAATGTGAAGAATGTGGAAAAGCCTTCAGAACTAACTCAGACTTTACTGTACACTTGAGGATGCATACTGGAGAAAAACCCTATAAATGTAATGAATGTGGAAAAGCCTTCAGGAGTAGTTCGAGCCTTACTGTACATCAAAGAATACATCAAAGAGAAACTCAGTTAATATAAAGAACAATAAGTCATTCACCTAGATGTCAACTCCACAAGATGAATCTTATAAACTATATTTTATGAATATAGGAAAATCTTCATTAGGAATTTATCAGAAAGTATACAGAGAAACTATAAGCAATTATGTGGGAAATCATTTAATAATATTAAATCTTAGAAGTTATAAGGAAACTCTCACTAGAGGAAAATAATGAACAAATGAAAGTGTTCATCCAGATTTCATACTTTACTCATTTAACAAATTATCTTTAGTTAATTGCCTATATATGTATTTGCCTATTTTTCTATTCATTTATCTGTCTTTTCTTATAAACCTGGAGGTGCTTTTTATATATTTTTGATATTAATCCTTTGTCATTATGTAGCAGATGTTTTTCTTAATCTAGCATTTGTCTTTATACTTTATAGTAATGCACAACATTTTTATAGGAAAATATTTGTATCATTTCCTTTTTAGATTTTTTATTTTACTCATTTTACTTAAAAGAGATCTCCTTAATCCCTAGGTTATACGTAGTATCCTAAATGTGTTTTTAAGATTTTTATGATTTTATTTTTTACACTTAAGTCTTTAATCCCTCTGGACTGGATGGTTCTTCATAGGAGAGCAACTGTAGGTGATCATTATCCTGTGAAAATATTTTGAACCTAAAAAGCACTCAGGGAAATGCAAATTGAAATGCTCAGTGAGATGAAACTTCCCCTTCATGGATCTGGCAAAAATTAAGAGATCTTTTGCTAGCTATTGGGGTTTGGGAAACCATGTACTATTACTTAAAGGTTGTGTAACATACTTCCACCAGCAGTCCAACAATATATGTTTAAAAATTTAAAACATATATACTCTTAGACCCAGCAGTCTCACTTTTGGAATCTGTCCGTTAGAAATAAAAGCAGCATCAATGCATAAGAATGTAAATAAACATGTTTGTTGAAGTACTGTTTGTAGAGGGGGGCAAAGCCCCAACTGCAAACAAAGTGAATGCCCATTAATAGGGAACTGGTTAGATAAATTGTGACATACCCATATTATGGAACAGTGTGAGAGTAATTTTAAAAACGACTTATATCTATGCTAGCTGATTTCAATGTATTTCCACAATGTATTGATAAATAATTGCTTTATAACAAATGTATATATACAATATATCATTTTTGTTAAAATAATCACACCCATTTATTTTGTGTTTATGTGTGTGTGTGTGGTTAGATGCACATGGAGACAGGTATGGAAGAATATACACCAGGCTGTTAATATTGATTACCTTGAGGGGAGTGAGAAAAGGAGAAGTAGAGATAAGGGAAGGGGAGACTGTAAAAACAGAAAAATGTAAATGCTGCCTTTATGGTATAAAACTGTAAATGTAATATTATGTAATTATGTGAACTTTTGAGAGAGATGAAAGGATGGTCTCCAAAAAATTAATGATGGTTATTTCTGTTTTAGTGGTTCATCAATTTTTTGTTTTTTACTTTCTTTTCTGTGTTTTTAAGTTAATTTTTTCCTTGCAATGAACCTGTAATATTTACATTAAAAGGAAAAATATTTTCGTTGTGCGTTTTATTTATTGGACACCTTCAATGTGCCAGGACCTACCCTCAGTGCTGGATATACAATGAGGGGGAGAGGTGCTCATGCATCTTAGAGCATGGAAATTGGTTCTGATGTTACCTAAATTCCAAAAAAAGTTACTTAGCATCTTATTCCTACCACCCACTGAGTTTCATTTGTAGGAGGTGATAGAAATTCCAGATAGATGAAAAATGTGCCCAAGAATATCTGGAACTTGTGCCCAGGCTGTAGACCAGAAGACCTCAAGCCTCAGAAAGAAGTTCCACTTTCAACATGCCACCAAAGAAAAGGTCACAGTGGCAACAACAGGTGTCTTTATGGAAGAGGCCGTGTAAAGCTTCTGAACTTTGCATGATGAAGTGTAGAGAGAGAAAATAGCCAATAACTCCCAAGTCTATAAATGAGGGCTTGGAAGTTCTGGGAACACTATGAAATACTTCTGCTAGGAGGGGCCTAGAGTAACAATGGGAACCCAGAAGCTGTGTCCCTGATACCAGAAGGCCCTAACAGACCAAAGACCTGACATCCAAAAAGAACAAGGCATGATGAGTTACACTTCAGGGAGGATAAGAGGATCAAATACCCTTTCACGATGCCAGGGTAAATATGTATTTAACATTGGGAAAGACACTGATGTGAATTATCTTCCATCATAAATGAACAATTTGACATTCTGGTTAAAATGGCCATTTTTGATTGAAGTTTAATAGTGAAACATTAACTATTACTAAGAGACCAATCCTCATTGAGGATAGTTAATGTGCCACTTTCTGACTGAAAGGTTTGAGAGTCAGACCTTTAAGAAGCCCTGCTGTCACAGAGTTGACATCGCATGGTGCCAACTTTGTTGGTCCCTCCATTCTGCCTCCGAATCCTCACTACATCTAAACCCTCCCTCCCATTCCTGCCTTAGAGGCAAACGCCTCAAGAAGAGGAATGTGGTCAGCAGGTTCAAATGACAAAAGAACTGAAAAGTATCCATTGGGGAAGGGGTTGGGGATGACCCACACCAACCTGACTAGAGCAGTTTCAGTGGCACGGTGAGCTCCCAGGGCCTGGTTCTTGTGCATGCCGCTATTCCATTATGGGTTTAATTTGCACTTCCTCAGTGGATAATGCTGTTGAGCCCCTCCTTTCGATATGTGTTGGCTTTTTAAATATCTTCTTTGGGAAGTACCTGTTCAAGACTTTTGCCATTTTTTAGCTGGGAACTGATTTTTGCTCATTTGTAGGATTCTTTATATATTCTGGAGACGGGGTTTTTTTAGATGTTTGTATTACACATATCTCATCTGCAGCTTACCTTTTCACTCTCTAAATGATGTCCTTTGATGAACAGAAGTTCTTAATTTTGATAATAACTTTTCTTTATGATTAGTGCTTTTTTGCCCAGTTTAAGAAATATTTTCCTAACTCAAGGTCATAAAGATATTTTTCTACATTCTCTTCCACATATCTACTATTTTATGTGTATGATCCATCTGAAATTAATATTTATGGTATGGAGTAGAGGTCAAAATATTTTTCATACAAATAAGCAATTTGTTCAACATCATTTATTGAAAAGGCCATCTTCCTCTCTCTCCCTTGTTTTGCAGTTGAACATTTATGATAAATCCGATGATCATGCATGTTAGTGTCTTTTGGACTATGTCTCGTTGTATGCTTTTATTATTGTAACAATACCAAATATTTTAAATGAAAACTGATAGTACAGTTGACCTTTGAACAATTCGGGGGTTAGGAGAACTGACCCCTTACACAATAAAGAATCATTGTATAACTTTTGACCTCAAAAACTTAACTACTAATAACCTACGTTTGACTAGGAGCCTTACCAATAATATAGTCAATTAACACATATTTTGTGTATGTATTAGATACTGTACTCTTACGTAAGCTAGAGAAAAAATATGATTAAGAAAATAAGGGAGAGAAAATATATTTACTATTCATTAGGTAGAAGTGGATCATCATCAAGATCTTTATCCTCATCGTCTTCACGTTGAGCAGGCTAAGGTGGAAGACGACGAGGGGTTGGTCTTGCTGTCTCAAGTGGCAGAGGTAGAAGTAAATCCATGTATAAGTGGTCCCACACAGTTAAAACTTGTGCTCAAGGGTAAACTGTATGTTTTCTAATTTTGTTCTTGTTCAAAATTGTCACTATTTTAGGTCCTTAGCATTTTCATATACATTGTTGAATGATTTTTTTTTTCAATTACCCCATACCAAAAAGCTAGGATTTTGTTGGCATTACATCAGATACATAGATTAATTCTGGAAAAGTGAAGTTATAAACATGAATATTGAGACATTTAATCTATGAGTATTCCAAAACATTTCATTTATATAGATACTTTAAACATTTTGGGATTTGGTTTTGTTGTTGTTTGTTTTTGAGTTGGATCCTTGCTTTGTCACCCAGGTTGGAGTGCAGTGGCACAATCTCGGCTCACTGCAACCTCAGCCTCCCGAGTAGTTGGGATTTACAGGTGCCTGCCACCACACCCGGCTAATTTTTTGTATTTTTTTTTTAGTAGAGATGGGATTTCCCCATGTTGGCTAGGCTGGTCTTGAACTCCTGACTTCAAGTGATCCACCTGAGGCAGGTGGATCCTGAGGAACTAACCTCAAAATTTCAGCAATTCTTATATTTTTGCAACAATTTTTTCAATTATAGAAGTTGCTAACCATTGTGTGGCTGGACTCGGCCGCCACTATGGTGTGAGGCGCGTGTTCGGGCTCTTGCCGTCCCCGCACCCGCACCGCGGCTACTGGCTTGCGGTCCGCCGTTCCACAACCAGCCCTTGGGCCCCCGCCCGCCACGGACATGCCGCGCGTCTACATAGGACGCCTAAGCTACAACGTCCAGGAGAAGGCCATCCAGCGCTTTTTCAGTGGCTATGGCCGCCTCCTCGAAGTAGACCTCAAAAATGGCTACGGCTTCGTGGAGTTCGAGGACTCCCGCGACACCGACGACGCCCTTTACGAGCTGAACAGCGAGGAGCTCTGCGGCGAGCGCGTGATCGTAGAGCACGCCCGGGGCCCGCGTCGCAATCGCGACAGCTACAGCTACGGAAGCCGCCGTGGTGGAGGTGGATACAGCAGTCGGAGACATCTGGCAGAGACAAATACGGACCACCTGTTCGTACAGAATACAGGCTTATTGTAGAAAATCTTTCTAGTCTGTGCAGTTGGAGAGATTTAAAGGATTTTATGCGACAAGCAGGTTAAGTAACCTGTGCGGATGCCCACAAGGAAGGAACAAATGAGGGTGTAATTGAGTTTCGCTCCTACTCTGACATGAAGCGTGCTTTGGACAAACTGGATGGCACAGAAATAAATGGCAGAAATATTAGGCTTATTGAAGATAAGCCACGCACAAGCCATAGGCGATCTTACTCTGGAAGCAGATCCAGGTCTCGATCTAGAAGATGGTCACGAAGTAGGAGTCGCAGGAGCAGCCGCAGTAGATCTGGAAGTGTCTCAAAAAGTCGCTCCCGTTCCAGGTCGCGGAGCAAAGGTCGATCACGTTCTCGATCAAAAGGCAGGAAATCTAGATCAAAGAGCAAATCTAAGCCCAAGTCTGATCGGGGCTCCCATTCACATTCTCGAAGCAGATCTAAGGATGAGTATGAGAAATATCGAAGCAGGTCTCGGTCCGGATCCCCCAAAGAAAATGGAAAGGGTCATACAAAGTCAAAATCCAGATCAAGGAGCCAGTCCCGTTCCAATTCGCCGCTACCTGGTCCACCCTGAAAGGCCCGCTCTGTGTCCCCTCCACCAAAAAGAGCTACTTCAAGATCCTGTTCTAGATCTCGCTCAAAGTCAAGATCAAGGTCCAGGTCGAGTTCCAGGGATTAACTCAGAACTCTCTTGTTGTCTGCACACTATTATGGAACACTTTCCTGCTTAGGCAGTTACTCTTCCATGTTTATACTTGGTCTCTTCTGCAAGAGGAATCTCTTGAAAACAGGGGCACACAGAAATTTGATATGTGGCCAAATTGGATGAAAAAGATGAGGTTTAAGGAAATGGTGGCATGAAGACCCTCTCCCTTCTTTGTAGAATTAAGATAACTATGATTTTATAGCTTTTGAGCTAACATAACTTTTGTAAAGATTAAGCTCATTTAGTTTTTGTTTGTTTGTTTGTTTGTTTTAAGTATTTCAGCCAGATCTGCTGGCAGGGTTTTTTTGTTGTTTTATTTGTTTGCTTATTTTTAAATTAACTGTTTTGAGCTTTGAATGCTTAAGGCTTTAGAGGGAGAACCCAATTTTCAATTATGTTGGCTTTTTATAAAGCTTGAGTTATGTAAGATTTAAATAGAAGTTTGCTACCAAGATGATTGCCTTATTGAATAGGTCACTATTAAATTCCTTTAAATGTTGATATCTGCCATTTGTGGAAACAACGTAAATTCTACTTTAGTGTAAACAAGGCAAGCCTCAGACCAGCAATAAATTATTCAGTTTGGATAACATTATTTTGTGCTGTTAATCAAATTTGCCAAAGTCTTTATCTGCCCCTTTAACAAGTTGAGTAAAAATAAAAGGTATTTAAAAAAAAAAAAGGAAGTTACTATATTTTTTCAATTGTAGAAGTTTTGTTAGATTAGTACTATGCATTTGATGTTTTTGATGTATAAATGCTATTATTTTAATTTCATTTTCTGATTGTTGCCACAATATAGGTATATGGTATATCTCATTCATATATATATATATATATATATATATATATATATATATATATGTATATGGAATAGATTTTTTAAAGTTGATCTTATATCCAGTGACCTTGCTAAATTCACTTATTTATAATTGTTCATTCTTTTTGACTTTCTGTGTACACAGTATGTCATCTGTGGTAAAGTCAGTTTTACATCATTCTTTATAATCCTCATACCACTTTTTTCTTGCTTTATTGCACTGGCTAGGACCTCCAGAAATAGGATTTGTAGACATCCTTGCCTTTTTCCCAGAATCTAAAGGAAAACAAAACATTTTACCATTTGGTATGACTTGAGGTGTAAATTTTAGATAGTCTCTATCACTCAAATTACTTTTCTGAGGTTTGTTATCAGGATGGGTGTTGAATTTCATCAGACATTTTTTGCCACTATTGAGATGATTATAGTTTTTCATTCTGTTACTCTAAATTATGTGGTTTGATTTTAAACATTTAAAAAATTGTCATAAAATACACGTAGAATTTATAATCCTAGCCATTATGTGTACAGTTCAGTGCCATTAAGTCATATTGTGCAACTATCCATCTCCAGAATGTGTTTCATCTTAGAAAGCTGAAACTGAGGCTGGGCACGGTGGCTCATGCCTGTAATCCTAGCCCTTTGGGAGGCCGAGGCGGGCAGACCACGAGGTCAGGAGATGGAGACCATCCTGGCTAACACGGTGAAACCCCATCTCTGCTAAAAATACAAAAAATTAGCCGGGCGTGGTGGTGGGCGCCTGTATTCCCAGCTACTCAGGAGGCTGAGGCAGGAGAATGGCCTGAACCCGGGAGGCGGAGCTTGCAGTGAGCCCAGATCGCACCACTGCACTCCAGCCTGGGCGACAGAGCGAAACTCCATCTCCAAAATAAAAAAGAAAGCTGAAACTGAATACCCATTAAACAATGACTCTCCATTCCCCACTTCACCCCCTAAACCCTGGAAACCACCATCCTATTTTCTGTCTCTATGAATTTGACTGATCTAGATAACCTCATATAAGTAGAATCATACAGTATTTGTCCTTTGGTAACTGGCTTATTTCCCTTAGCATAATGTCCTCAAGATTCATCTATACAAATTGATTTTTAGATATTAAAGCAATTTGCATTCCTGGAATAGATTTCATTTGGTCATTGTGGGTAATATTTTTAATATATTATTGAATTAAATTTGTCAAAATTTTGTATAGGATTTTATGTCTATGTCCATATTGTCTTCTGTGTTTTCTTTCTTGTAATAGCCTTGTTTGACTTTGTATCAGAATTATGGACTCATAACATGAGTTGAGGATTCCCTTTATTTTGTTTTTGGTTTTTTGTTTGTTTTTGGTCCTCTGGAAGAGTGTGGGTAAGATGTGTAAGATTGGTATTATTGGTTTTGGTATTATTTTGCCATAATTTTGTGTGTAAAAATTACCAGAGTAGCACCTGGGAAAATTTTTAGCTATGTAGTCAATGATTTGATAGACATAGGATTAATCAAATTTTATATCTCTTGTGTACATTTTGGTAAATTCTTTTAAAAATTATGTCCATATAATTTCACCAAAATATCTAATTACTGGTTTTAAATAGTTTATAATATCTGTTCTATTTTTAATATCTTTAGGATCTAAAGTGATGTTCCCTTCTTCAGTCCTGGTGTTGGTAATGTATGTACTCTGTTTTCTTGATTAGGTTTTCTAGGACTTAACATTTAATTTTTTTTAAAAACCCACCTACTTTTATAGAGCTAATTTCTTTTTCACTAATTTATGCTCCTTTATTTTCTTCTAAATATTTTATTTGGATATGATTTTCTGGGGTTTTTTTTCTAGCTTCTTGGAATGAAATCTTAGATAAGCAATGTTCAACAATTCTTTTTTGCTAATAATTGTATTTAACGCTATACGTTTCTTTAAAGTACCTATTTAGCTGTATCAAATAGATTTTTATCACCTTTATTGAGACATAAATGATATATAACAATTTGTACCCAGTTTAACTTTACATTTTGATAAGTTTTGGCAAACTTATACACCTGTGTAGCCACCACCACAATCAAACAACATTTTCCTCACCCCCAAAATTTCCTGCATTCTTTCCCAGACAATGCTTCCCACCTCTGTCTCCAAGAAATCATAAATCTAGTTTTTGTCAGTATAGATTAGAATTATCTTTTCTAGACTTTCATATAAATGGAATGATACAGCATACTCTTCTGTGTCTGCCTTCTTTCTCTTAACATAAAGTTTTGAGATCCGTTAATATGGTGTGTATCAGTGTTTCATTCTCTTATTGCTGAGTAGCATACTGTTATGTTAATATATGACCACAACTGATTAACTCACTCGATGATGGACAGTTGTTTCCAGTTTGGGGTTATGATGAATAAATCTGCTATGAACAGTCATATACAACTTTTTGTGTAGACATATATTTTTTTCATTTATATTGCATCAATTTCTGGGTTTGGAGTTGCTAGTTCATATGATAAATATATGTAAAACTTTATAAGAAACTGCCAATTGTTTTCCAAAGTATTTGTACCATTTTACAACCCCCCAACAATGTATGATTGTTTGAGGTACTTTCAGCCTTGCCAACTGAATTGTCAGGTTTTTGTTTGTTTGTTTGTTTTGAGAGACAGAGTCTTGCTCTGTTGCCCAGGCTGGAGTGGAGCACAGTGGCGAGATCTTGGCTCACTGCAACTTCCCCCTCCCAGGTTCAAGCGATTCTCCTGCCTCAGCCTCCCAAGTAGCTGGGACTATAGGTGCGTGCCACCACACCCTGCTAATTTTTTGTATTTTTAGTACAGATGGGGTTTCACCGTGTTGGCGAGGATGATCTTGATCTCCTGACCTCGTGATCCGCCCGCCTTGACTTCCCAAAGTGCTGAGATTACAGGCGTGAGCCACCAAGCCCGGCCAGGTTTTTTTTTAATTATTTTGTAACTTTTCTAATATATGCAGCAGTGCTTCAAGGTGATTTTGCTTTGCGTTTCCCTGACGATTATTTTGAACATTTTTCATGTGCTTAATGGCCTTTATATCTCTCCATTGTGAAGCATCTGTTTATTTTGCTCATTTTAAGAATTAGGTTATTGGTCTTGTTATTAAGTTGTAATGCTCTTTATTTAGATACAAGTCCTTTATCATATATACATGTTGGGAATATCTTCTGTCAGTCTTTAACTTCCTTTTAAATTTTCCTAGTGGTGTCTTTTGAAGAGCAGATGCTTTGGATTTGGATGGATATCAATTTGTCATTTCTTTTTTTTGTCATACCTTTTTGGTTCTATTGAAGAAATTTTTACCTACCCTAGGATCCTGAAGTTTTTTTCTCCTGTTTTCTTTGGAAATTTTATGGATTTATATTTTATGTTTAGTCCTACATGCAATTTTGTGTTAATTTTTCTGTCCATGGATTATGTTGTATTTTATCATTCAGTTAAAAGCATTTTCTAATCTTTATTATAATTTCTACCTTGACCCTTGACTATTTAGAAGTATGTTAATTGGTTGTAAAGCATTTGTGGATTTTCTATTTATCTATTATAGATACCTAGTTTAATTCCAATGTGATCAAAGAACACACTATATTATTATTATTATTATTATTATTATTATTATTATTATTATTTTATTATTATTTTGAGACAGAGCCTCACTCTGTTGCCAAGGTTGGAGTGCAGTGGCACAATCTTGGCTCACTGCAACCTCTGCTTCCTGGGTTCAAGTGATTCTTGTGTCTCAGCCTCCTGGATAGCTGGGATTATGGGTGTGTGCCACCACAACCAGCTAATTTTTTTGTATTTTTAGTAGAGATGGGGTTTCACCATGTTGGTCAGGCTGGTCTTGAACTCCTGACCTCAAGTGATCCACCTGCCTCGGCCTCCCAATGTGCTGGGATTACAGGTGATGAGCTGCCGTGCTCGGCCTCATACTATATTATTTTAATCCTTAAGTTTGTTGAGACTTACTTTATGGCCCAGCCTCTATTTTTTGGTTAATGCTCCATATTCACTTGAAAATAACACGAAAGTAAGAATTTTCACTTGAAAATTCTGCAATTAGATGTTAATGTTCTATAAATATTAATTAGATCTAGTTGGTTAATAGTTTTCTTCAAATCTTCCACATTCCTAGTGATTTTTTTTTCTTTGAGATGAAGTTTCGCTCTTGTCATCCAGGCTGGAGTGCGATGGTGCGATCTCGGCTCACTGCAACCTCTGCCTCCCAGGTTCAAGGAATTCTCCTGCCTTGGCCTCCTGAGTAGCTGGGAGGTGCATCCCACCACATCTGGCTAACTTTTTGTATTTTTATAGAGACGGGGTTTCACTGTGTTAGCCAGGATGGTCTCGATCTGCTGACCTCGTGATCCACCTGCCTCGGCCTCCCAAAGTGCTGGGATTACAGGCATGAGCCACTGCACCTGCCCAGTTTTTAAAATAAATATTTTTAATTTTTCCCATTTTAATTTCAAGTACAGTAAATATCAATAGATATAACCTATATAAAAAAACTCTTTGGGTTCCTCAATAATTTTTAAAAGTGTAAAGCAGGCCGAGTGTGGTGGCTCACGCCTGTAATCTTGGCACTTTGGGAGGCTGAGGTGGGCGGATCACCTGAGGTCAGGGGTTCGAGACCAGCCTGACCAACATGGAGAAACCCCATCTCTACTAAAAATACAAAATTAGCCGGGCGTGGTGGCACATGCCTGTAATCCCAGCTACTCAGGAGGCTGAGGCAGGAGAATCGCTTGAACCCAGGGGCAGGGAGGTTGCAGTAAGCTGAGATCATGCCATTGCACTTCAGCCTGGGCAACAAGAGCAAAACTCCGCCTCAAAAAAAAAAAAAAAAAAAAAGTGTAAAGCAGTCCTGAGACTGAAATGTTTGAAAATAATAGCCCTTTAAATTCCCTATGAATCTTTGACTCATTGGAACACTCTTGAAATTAATATTTTGCCATTTCAAAGCAATGAAAAAAACTGACAATTTAATTTCATTTACTCCTTGCCTTTTGTTCCATTGTTGTCATAGATCTTTATTTCTATATTTATTTTAAACTCCCGAAGATATTACTATTATTGTTTTTAAGCAATGTCTGCTTATATTTACTCACATATTTAGCTATTCTCGTGCTCTTAATTCTCTCCTGAAGCTCCTTGTTCCAGTTGCTGTCATTTTCCTTCTGCCTGATTAACTCTTCTGGCATTTTATTATAGTCTTCCAGTGGATTCTCTCAGCTTTTCAGATATATATTACATTCATTTAGGAGGATAATTTCTCTTGAAATAGAGTTCTAGGCTGTCATTTGGGGTTTTGTTTGTTTGTTTTTGTTTGTTGGTTTTTGTGGGTTTTTTTGAGACGGAGTCTTGCTCTGTCGCCCAAGCTGGAGTGCAGTGGCGCGATCTCGGCTCACTGCAAGCTCCGCCTCCCGGGTTCACGCCATTCTCCTGCCTCAGTCTCCCAAGTAGCTGGGATTACAGGCGCCCGCCACCACTCTCGGCTAATTTTTTGTATTTTTAGTAGAGACGGGGTTTCCCCGTGTCAGCCAGGATGGTCTCGATCTCCTGACCTCGTGATCCGCCCCCCTCGGCCTCCCAAAGTGCTGGGATTACAGGTGTGAGCCACCGCGCCTGGCCGGGCTTTTTTTTTTTAAGCATCTAGAATAAAATGACATCCCATTGTCTTCAGCTTCCAGAGTTTCTACTAAAAGGTCCATTGTGAATTGTGAGTCCCATTGTTTTCTCTCTAGCTGCTTGTCAGATTTTCTCTTTGCTGTTAGCTGTCATAGGTTTTACTGCAATGTGCCTGGGTGTGCAGGGGTTTTCTTTGCTTTTGAATCATACTTGGGGTTTGTAGAGCTTTTTGAGACTGTGTTATGATGTCTTTCATCAGTGTGGGGAAATTCTCACCCAGGTTTCTTCAAATATTGCTTTACCTCGTTTTCTCTCTCTCTAATTCTAGGTTTCCAGTTACAGATAGCTTAGGACTTTTCACCATGTTCCAGATGGCTCTTACGGTTTTCTGTATCTCCCATTCTTCTCTATCTATCTGCATCAACCTGGATACTTTCCACTTACCTGTATTTCTGTTATTATCCTGTTTTTAATCTATTAAAACCATATTTTGAATTATTCATTTTACTCAGATGTTTTATTTCTGGAATCTTAGTCTTCTTTTTATATGGATTCTATTTATTTGCTAAAATTCTTCATTCTTTTTTCTCTTTTGAATATATTATTTATTTTAAATAATATTTATTTAAAAATCCTTGAGTGTTAACTGCAATAGATGAATTGCTTCTGGGTCTGTTGCTATCTGGCCAATTGATGCTTTCTTTTCCCCTGCATGACTTCTAATATTTCATTTGATGGCAAACATTATACTTGAAAAAATTATAGATGTTCCTGACTTATGTTCCTCTAAATAGAGCTAAGTCTTATTTTAGCAGATGGTTAGAATACCAGTAGATCACGCTGATCGACTACAGATGGTCCCCAACTAATGATGGTTTGACTCACAATTTTTTGACTTTATGATGGTTTATTGGGGTACTAAATGTATTTTTGACTTATTTTCTACTTAAGGCAGGTTTATTGGAATGTAACTGCATCGTAAGTCAAGGGACACCTGTGCCTTTATATGGTTGTGTTCCTATAAGCAGCATCTACAGCCTGGGAACCAAGGAGTGGGAACAGGAGAGTCCTTGCTCACCATCACTTCCAGCCACCCAGCTGACGGTTATGTGCTTCCCTATCCCACGAACCTCCGTTCTGTAGCTTTAGAGGTCGAAACAATTCCCTTGGGAAACACATCAAGCGTTCTTTTGAGCTGTAAACTACAGCTGCTGCCAAGGAGCCAGCCAGCAAGCAGAGGAGTCACCATCCCGACAGGGGTATTTGATCCTGATGATTAGAAGGAAGTAGGGCGATTAACACACAGTGTTAATCACAGTGGGGGAAGGGAGAAATATGTTTGGCACCCAGGTAATGCACTTTAATACTGGAAAGCTCCCTGTACTACCTTGCCCCATTTTCATAGTAAATAGATAAGTGCAGTAGCCATAGCCTGAGAGGCACATGGTGACCAGGGGCTCAGGGATGAATGTCTGGATCATGCCACTGGGAAGCCACCAAGACCAGCAGAGGTGCCAGTGGAGGTTGAGGGGCACCTGGAATGGACAGCAGAGGACAGCAGCAATCACTGTCAACTGCAGGGTTAAGACCAACTGCAGTGGGGACGGTGGCTGCAGTCCATCCCTTGGCCTCTTACAAGTTTCTTCCTGGAAAAAGAGACCCACCAGGATCCTAGAGTTGTTTCTCCTAAAACTTATATGAAGAAGTGAATCCAAGTGGTGGAAGGTGTGGCCTGCAGTGGCTGTCAGGTGGTGCCACCCACGACCCCCTTTCAGAACTGAGGAATTTGTTCTCCAGCTGCTGGGAGTATGGCTTGCAGACAGCCCTCAGCTGAAGGGCATCCCGTCGCCCTGGAACACACGTCGTTCCTGGGACAGCCACAGCCAATGACTAGTTGACATAGGGGCAAAGTTCTGGCCCTTCCACTCAAAGTTGGGGTAATTTTGAAGGGCTGTCTCAGTTCTGCAGCTCTTCCTGGGGTCAACTGGCACCCTTACTGAGACTGCATAGCAGCCTAACTTCTCCCTCTACCCAATCCCACTTTCTTCTCTTCTATTCTGCAGGTTGTGATATGAAAGCCTCCATACAAATCTCCATCTCACAACTTTCTGGGGAACCCAACCTGAGTGTCCTTCCCCACCTGTCATACCTCGAAAATATAGACTTTATTTATGGAACCAAGAGCTAAAATTGCTTCTAATTTTTCACTATTATAAATACAATTTCGATAACCCTGCAGGAAAGTCTTTGCAAACAACCTTAATTGTTTCCATGGGATCATAAAAAAATGGAATTTCTTAGGCAAAGTAACACATATTGATAAGGCTTTTTAATTCACATGCCCAAAGCCTTCTGAAAAGCTTTGCACACTCAGCAGCTGCATGTGGGAGTGCGTCCTGCTCCTGCATCTGTTGCCTGCCTTGGGCAATCACATCCTTACAATTTTGACATTGCCTTCTCTGTATTTGAGAATTTTTGCATCCCATAGAAATCAGAGAAGGAGGCCTATTCTTTCCATATAAAATCCCTAGAAGAAAATGAGCTTTTACCTCATAATAACTGAGGTAAGCAGGATTCAAAACTTTCAAACTCTGTCATCCCATCTGCACCAGGAGTTTCTCCTAATCTTTTCACAGGAGCAGTGAACTACTCTGTCCCTTATGGCCATATTATCGCCAGGAAAATCCTGATGCTCCAATTCCCCAGGCTGTGGGAGTCCCAGGACAATCCAGGTCTATCTGGAAATGTGAGCGGAGGATCAGCGTAGCAGGATCACTATTCTTTTCCTATGGTGAGAAACACCTTCTGGGCAGATTCTGGACTCATGTTTTCTGAGGGAAAAGCTGCTATCTCCCTCCTGGTAGCTTTTCTGTGTGGCCAGTGCTCGGAGCGTTACAAGTCAGAGGGAAAGAAGTTAGAGTATAAATCAGGCTGAAGCTGGATCCAGCCCACAGACTTGTGGTCCTTGATGCCTTCCACACTCTCTGGGAACTCTGTGTCCACTGCAGATATGTGACCAGTAAAACCGGAGTAGCACAGAGAAAAGTGGTGAGAAAATGCCCTGCCTGGGGCTAGCTCTGTCCAATTTCCCAAGAGCTTGCTCCTGGAAATTCTGCAGGATATCTTGGAATTCTCATGGTTCTTAAACTCCTCTACGATGAATGGTGACAGTGAGATCACCACTTTCACATCCATAGGAGCCTTGCAGAGAAGAAAAACTCCTTCATGGGCCAAAGGAATCTAATCCTAGCAGGATTTCAGACACGGGGATTTGGGGTGTGAGAAAGTC
The DNA here is from genome assembly GCF_000001405.40 of Homo sapiens. NCBI lineage: Eukaryota > Metazoa > Chordata > Mammalia > Primates > Hominidae > Homo > Homo sapiens. The sequence goes on along the minus strand of NC_000017.11, from coordinate 16,607,065 downwards.
TTGGAGAACTGGAGAGATACTCTCGAAACCTCTCAGATTTCCTTCCTGGGCCACCACCTACTACACCTCTGGATGAGATTGACTTGTTCAATAAGGTCAGCATGGATGGCATGTTCTGTTGAAGCTACAAGACTGGAAACAGCAAAGAGGCTCAGTCATTCCCAAGACAGCCTCAGTAGCCTCTCCCTGCTAATATAGCATAACAAGATGACAAGGACATTTAATATTGGGAGGCAGAGACCACTTGACTGGCAGAATCTCAGCAGATGTAACTGGTGACATGATTTTCCCTACATCACAGGAATTCGGTAATGACCCAGATCCAACCTGACTCAGAGTTATAAAGATTTTATAAGACTCCAAATACATTTCCCATGCCTTCTCACAATTTCACTCCACCAATACCATAACAAACTACAGTCACATAATGCTGCACATTCTTTCCCTTCCCATCTCGATTAACCCTTGTTGGCAGGAGTGCTGATTCCAAGGCGATAAATAGGCTTTTTCAGCTCACAGAGGCTACTAGGACTCTATGAGCTGGTACAAAAGCAACAGAGGATCCCCAGGGTGCATGTGTCTGATCCCTTAAGACTCTCCATTAACACCCTTGGAATGCACTCAGTGGAAGAGACTGGCTCAGTACCTTCCCTGCTCCCTGGAACTGGATTCGAACCAGGCCCTGGACTCAGCCAGGTGTTCTCTTTAGGGACAAAGGTCAATCTTCTGGCACTCCCTTCTTGACCAGCACCACAATGGCCACTCTGCAGCTTCCACACAGCATATGGCAAAGCGCAAAATGACCTGGGCACAAACTGGGCCTCATTCATGTCTTGACAAGGCAGAGGCGTGAGAATATCAGGTGGGTGGGAGGGTGGGGAGTGTTACCAAGCACAGCTTCAGACAAAACTTCTCCTTTCTTCTGGCATGGCCTGAGTCTGGGCCTGGGGACTTCCTCCACTGGAGCTTTTCAAACCCAAGCTTTGCTCCACCAGTCTATCCCTTCCTGGGGTGTATATAAAACCCATGGGATTTCAGTGCCGCTTCTAAATATTTTATTTATTGACTAAAAACAGGAGATTCCTGTTTGTAAACAGCCAGATGAGACATAATTATTTTAATAGTCAAAATGAGAGGAAAAAAACTTTAATGATTAAAACCAAGGCCTTGATTGAATAAACTATTAGAATCCATAGAATGGCCATCAAGCCATTATCAATTATGCTATGGAAGAATATTTAATTATCCATGTATAATGGTAAGTGAAAAAACATTAACAAAAGTATGAAAAATGTTATTCTGTTAAAAGTGCATTTGGGAACCTACCTGTTTCCAGTTTGGGGGTCATTATTAATTAAGCTTCCATGAATATTTGTGTACAGGATGTCCTAGCCAGAGCAATTAAGCAAGAGAAAGAAATAAAAGACATCCAAAGAGGAAAAGAAAAAGTTATATTCTCTCTGTGAAGGACATGAAAACACTATAAACTCCACCAAAAAACTATTAGAACTCATAAACAAAATAAATTCAGTAAAGTTGCAAGATACAAAATCACCATTTGAAAATCAGTAGTGTTTTTATACACTAACAACTATCTGAAAAAGAAATCAAGAAAACAATCCTATTGACAATAGCTACAAAAAAGGAGTAAATTTAACCAAGGATCTGTACACTGAAAACTATCAAACATTGATGGAAGAAATTGAAGAAGACACAAATAAATGCAAAGATATACTGTGTTCATGGATTATAAGAATTAATATTGTTAAAATGTCCATACTACCAACACAATCTACAGATTCAGCGCAATTCCTATCAAAATTTCTATGTCATTTTTCACAGAAATGGAAAAAAAAACTCCTGAAATTCATATGGAACTACAAAACACCCTGAATAGCCAAAGCCATCTTGAGCAAAAAGAACAAATCTAGAGGCATCACATTGCCTGGTTTAAAAATCTACAGAGCTATAGTAATAAAAACAGCATGGTACTGGCATAAAAACATACAGACTCATGGAACAGAATAGACTGCCCAGAAATAAGTCCACATATTTACAGTGAAGTGATTTTCAACAAAGGTGCCAAGAACACACAATGAGGAAAAAGCAGTATCTTCTGTGAATTGTGCTGGAGAAACTGGATATCCACATGAAGAAGAATAAAATTGGACCTTTATCTTACAACATACACAAAAATCAACTCAAAATGGACTGAAGACTTAAACATAAGACCCAAAACCATAAAATTCCTAGAAAAAAACATTGGGGAAAAGCTTCATGACATTGTTCCAGACATTGATTTTTTGTGTATGACTCTGGAAGCACAAGCAAGAAGAACAAAAATAAACCAGTGAATTATATTATGCTAAAAAGTTTCTGCATAGCCAAGAAAATAATCAACAGAGTGAAGAGACAACCTATATATAAAGACCGTGAACAACTCAATAGTTAGAAAATAAACAACTTGATCAAAAAACGAGGAAAGGAATTGATTACACATTTCTCAAAAGTCTACAAATGACTAACATATGAAAAAATGTTCAACATCACTAATCATCAGAGAAATGTAAATTTAAATCACAATGAGATGTTATCTTACACCTGTTGGAATAGCTATTATCAAAAAGACAAAAGATAAGTGTTGGCTGGGATGTGGAGAAAGGGGAATCCTTGTACGCCATTGGTGGGAGTGTAAATTAGTACAACCATTATGGAAAACAGTATAGAGTTTCCTCAAAAAATTAAAAGTAGAACTACCATATGATCCAACAACCTCACTTCTGGGTATATACCCAAAGGAAATGACATCTCTACTTCCTAAAGATATCTGCTCTTCCATGTTCATTGTAGCATTTTCCACATTAGCCAAGATATGGAAACAATCAAAGCTTTATCCATCAATGGATGAATGGATAAAGCAAATGTGGTATATATACATGATAGAGTAATATTCAGCCTTTAAAAAGAATGAAATGCTGTTGTCTGAAACAACGTGGATGAACCTGGAGGGCACTATGTTAAGTGAAATAAGCCAGGCACAGAAAGACAAATATCACATGGTACCACATGATCTCACTTATATGTGGAATCTGAAAAAGTTGAACTTATATTACCAGAGACTGGGTGTGGGAGAGTTGGGGAGATATTGGTCAAAGGGTACAAATTTCAATTAGGAGGAATACGTTTAGGTGTATTGTACATCATAGTGACTATAGTTAATATGTTGTATGTTTGAAAATTGCTAAGAGATTTTAAGTGTTATCACCACACACAAAAAATATAAGTATGTAGGCCAGGCGTGGTGGCTCACACCTTTAATCCCAGCACTTTGGGAGGCCAAGGTGGGCAGATCACCTAAAGTCGGGAGTTCAAGAGCAGCCTGACCAATATGAGGAAACCCCATCTCTACTAAAAATACAAAAATTAGCCGGGAGTGGTGGCATGCACCTGTAATCCCAGCTACTTGGGAGGCTGAGACAGGAGAATCGCTTGAACCCAGGAGGCAGAGGTTGCAGTGAGCCGAGATCGCGCCATTGCACTCCAGCCTGGGCAACAAGAGCGAAACTCTGTCTCAAAAAAAAAAAAAAGGTGAGATGATGCATATGTTAATTAGCTTGATTTAGTCATTCCACAGTGTATACTTATATCAAAATATCATGTTGTATACCATAAACATATATAACTTTTACCTGTCGATTATAAATTAATGTCAGTTCAAAACTAATTTCATTACATTAATTAATGAAATAATAAGTTATAAATTAATTATTCAATGGACACGAATAAACATTTTTCAAAGAGGATACACAGATAAATGGTCAATAAGCACATGAAAAGATCCTCAACATTCTTAGTCATTAGGGAAATTCAAATCAAAACCACAATGAGAAACCACTTTACACTCATTAGAGTGGCTATTATTTTTAAAAGAAAACAGAAAATTTTGTTCTTTTTATGGCTGAGTTGTATTCCATGGTGTATATATACCATGTATTCTTTATCTACTCACTGGCCGATGGGCACTTAGGTTGGTTCCCTATCTTTGCAATTGTGAATTTTGCTGCAATAAACATACACGTGTAGGTGTCTTTTTGATATAATGACTTCTTTTCCTTTGGGCAGATACCCAGTAGTGGGATTGTGGGATCAAATGGTAGATCTACTTTTAGTTCTTTAAAAAATCTCCATACTGTTTTCCATAGAGGTTGTACTAATTTACATTCCCACTGGCAACGTATAAGCGTTCTCTTTTCACTACATTTAGGCCTACATCTGTTGTTTTTGACTTTTTAATTATGGCCATTCTTGCAGAAGTAAGGTGCTAACTGACGTAGTTGCTTTTTTAAATAATATAGTGATTCCTCAAAAAAATTTAACCTAGAAATATGACATGAAATAGCAATTCCACTTCTGAGTATATAATCAATAGAACTGAAAGCAGGGATTTGAACAGATATTTGTACACCAGTGTTTATAGCAGCATTATCATAACAGCCAAAAGGTGGAAGCAATCCAAGTGTCCATCAATGGATAAATGAATAAACAAAATGTGTTATATACATACAATGAAATATTATTTGGCTTTAAAAAGGAAGGAAATTCTGACATGTGCTACAACATGAATTAACCTTGAAGACATCATGCTAAGTAAAATAAGCCAGTCACAAAAGGGCAAATATTGTATGATTCCACTTATAAGAAGTTTCTAGGCTACTGAAGTTCATAGGCAGGAAGTATAATGGTTGTTTCCAGAGACTGTAAGTAGGGAGGAATGAGATGTTATTTTTAATGGTAGAGTTTTGGTTGAGGAAGATTAAAAAATTCTGGAGATGGATGATGTTGATGGTTGCACAACCATGTAAATATACTTAATGCCACAAAACTTTACACTTAAAAATTATTAAGGGCGGGGCATGGTGGCTCCATAGTTTACATGATGGTTCATTCTTAGTGTTGTACATTCTATGGGTTTGAATAAATGTGTAACATGTATTCACCAATATAGTATCTCACAGAGTAGTTCCACAGCCCTAAAAACCCCTGTGCTGTCCTTGTTCATCTCTCCCTCCCCCAACCCCTAGCTACCACTGATCTTTTTACTGTCTCCATAATTTTGCCTTCTCCAGAATGTCCCGTAGTTGGAGTCATACCGTATGTAGCTTTTTTTCCATTGGCTCCTATAACTTACTAATAGGCATTTAGGGTCTCTCCATGTGTTTCCATGTCTTTGTAATAACTCATTTCTTCTTAGTACTGAATACCATGCCATCATTTCTTTCAGCATCTCCTCCTGAATTGAGTCCCTCAATTCACAAAAACAAAAGAAGGAAAATCTTTCAAAAACCCTCTCTAACCCCATACATGATCTGTGTGCGCTCAGCACAACACACCTTGCTTCCGTCTCCCACCCCCCAGAGGCAGAAGCTGGAGCTCACAGAGAAGTGCCTTGTCGCTGGGCACACACTTCTGTCCAGCCCAGCACCGGATCATTGCACTTCACCGCCCTTCCCCTAGTTGCCTCTAAATGGGGCACACTGCTGAGTCTCAGTGCTCCCTTGGCCTTCCCTCTCAGTCCCCTCCCCCAAGTCCAGGAACACCCTCACCTTGACCTTGACCACCAGGGATGCAGTGTGGAAGCACTTGGATCCCAAGCAGGGAGCCACAGAGGCTGGGCTCACGGCTGAACTTGCTCTGGTCCAGGCAGGCGCTGCCTCCAGAGCACCTGGATGATGGTTTCAACAAGGTCGGCGTGATTCTTCCATGGAGACAGAGAGAGGCAGTCAGCCAGAGAGATGGAAGACTCTCAATCGGCCGCCATACCCCAGAGGCTCAAAGAGGAGATGGGACAGTTACCAAGTCCCCAGAGCAACTCAGGTCCTCAGCTCGCTACCACACTCCTCCATTCTCCACGATGCTCAGCAAGGATCAGGCGCTGCTGAGTGCTCTTTTGGAAAGGTCTGAACTGCTCTGATTGCCCTGGGACTTGCCAAAGATGGGTCCAGGCCCTCAGAAACTGGAGGTCAGGAGAAGGCACCTATAATTGGAGAACCGAGACTCCTCCCTTGACTGGCCTCATAACAAGGGCAGCAGAAGACCAACTTCCAATGAGAAGAACCCGGAACCCGGGGCTGGGAGCAGAACCTAGGGTGGGAGGACTTGAGGACGCCCATGGGATCGCACTGCCCACCCTTCCCCAGCTGGGCCCTCAGGAAGTGCCTTACAAAGAGGTGATTCAGCATCTCATGGTGGTAGTCATTGCATAGTTGTGCCAAGCTGTTGGTGGCAAAGATGTAAAGCCGTGGGCGTGGAGCAGGCCTGGCAAGATCAGGAAGCCAAAGCACAACCGCAGGGGGCTGGCAGAAGAGGTTTCCCCAAAGCCCAGGGTGATAACATTCCTGCCAAATCCAATGAACAGCAGCCTGCGGTCCTCGTATGACCCCTGTGAGCCAGAAGAAACCGAAACCCCCAGACGCCTGGTGGTGAACATGACGCTGGGTGGAGCGCAGAGCAAGGCTGCCCCCCTGCAACACACCTGGTGGGCCCTGTCCTGCTTCCTGCACTCTTTGTGAGTCCACACAAGCAGAAAGGCCAACTGAGAGGAGAGGGGCAGCCCAGGGCACAAATTCTACTGTAGAGGGGAAAGCCTGCAGCACGGATGGTGGACACTCCCTTTTGGGAGGGGACAGCACTCCTTGGATGTAGGAAGAGTCTCTCCCACAGTCAGGCACTTTGGGAAAGGGCGGGGGCAGGCCTGCAAGGGTTTTACACAGAATTAGTTCACCAGAATCCTCCAACCCCGCCTGGGAGGTCAGAGGTCAAGGCTCTCCCCAACACAGTCAGGATCAAGTGGATCCCAAGTCGAGTCCCTGATAACAGTAGTGACTTCCTCCACTCTGCCACCACCCTCACCCCAGGTGGATGAGTTACTGCACAGCATGACAACACAGATAACCCCATAAAAGGGGCTCCTCCTCAAAATGTTCCTTTCTTGAAAAGTACTGATCTGCACGTTTTTATGAATCAATAAATGCACTTGCTTTGCACCAAGGGGCTTTAAGACTTCCCTGGATGTTAAGAAAAGAACCTACTGAGATGGTGATCTGATGGTTCCTGAGATCTACATGCTTGATATTCAGAAACCCAGCGACGGTTGTGATCTTCAGCCTTTATTTATGAGCTCATCTTGCAGTGACCTGCTGGCAAAGGGGGAAAACCCTGTGTTGCCCTAAAATCAGTTTCCAGGCAACAAGAACCTGCCCTCTTGATGAAGCGGGGTCAGTCAGCCCAGCCCCAGGGCTGTCTCCAACTCAGAGTCCCACCCCTTTTATCTTTTATCCTCTGTCCCTTTGGACTCTGTTCAAATGTGTGCCTGGGTTCCCCTAGCCACACACGCTGGCCCATGATGTCAGAGCATTCTGGGTGCTTAGTAGTTCGGCTGTCTTAGTCTGTTTTCTGTTGCTTGTAACAGAATACCTGAAGCTGGGTAATTTATAAACAAAAGGCTTTTGTTTCTTACAATTATGGAGTCTGAAAAGTCCAAGGCCAAGGGGCTGCTGATGGGGACTTCTTGCTGGTGGGGACTCTGCAGCATCCTGATACAGCACAGGGCATCATGTGGCAAGGGGGCTGATGGTGCCAGCTCAGGTCTCTCTTCCTCCTCAGAAAGTCACTAATGCCGCTCCCATGATAACCCATTAATCCATTCACCCACTAATCCCTTAATTCACGAGCAGAGCCCTCGTGACCCAAATCACCTCTCAACACTGCCACATTAGGGATTAAATTTCAACATGAGTGTTAAGTCTCTTGAAGGTGCTGAAACCTCATGGGGGAAACCCCTGATGGGTTTGATACTGGTTTAATGCCTGCCAAGATGCCTGGCCTAAATACCCATGGCTGCAGAGGGGAGGAGCCCAGGTCCCTCTTTAGAAAACTGGGGAGGGCCAAGCGCGGTGGCTCACACCTGTAATCCCAGCACTTTGGGAGGCTGAGGCGGGTGGATCATGAGGTCAGGAGTTCAAGACCAGCCTGGCCAACTTGGTGAAACCCCGTCTCTACTAAAAATACAAAAAAATTAGCCGGATGGGCACCTGTAATCCCAGCTACTCGGGAGGCTGAGGCAGAAAATTGCTTGAACCCCAGAGGCGGAGGTTGCAGTGAGCCAAGATCATGGCACTCCAGCCTGGGTGACAGAGCGAGACTCTGTCTCAAAAAAAAAGAAAGAAAGCAAGCTAGGGAGAAGCCTGGATGTGCGGCTGGGTCACCCTCCCAGTCTGTCTGTGTTGCTAAAAAGGAATGCCTGAAGAAGGTAATTTATAAAGAAAAGAGGCTTATTTGGCCCATGGCTCTGCAGGCTTTCCAAGGACCACGGAGCCAGCATCTGCTTCCGGTGAGGGCCTCAGGCTGCTTCCACTCATGGCGGAAGGAGACGGGGAGCCGGCACCACATGGCTAGGGAGGAGGTGCCAGGCTTTTTCCAACAGTAAGTTCTCATGAGAACTAAGACTGTGAGAACTCACTCATCACCAGAGGGAGAGCATCAAGCCGTTCATGAAGAATCAGCACAGAGCTGAGCTCTGTCCCTATCACCTTCTGTCACATGCCCTAAACTCGGGCATCTCTAGGGCCCTGCATGCTCTCCTCCCTGGAGGCTATGGAGAAGGTTGGCTCCTGTGTTTTAAGGAGCTGACCGTGGCTGGGAATGTGGGGACATTGCCACTTATGGGGCTGAGGAATGACATCTTTGCTGTAGAGATGGAGGGTATAGAATGGAAAGGAAGGGCCTCTTGGTAGGGCAGTCTCCACACGAGGGCAGGTGTTGGGTCTGACTCTGGCCGTTCACACCCTAGGTCTGGGAAGGACTTGAGAGTGGGGACCCAGAGTAGGTGAGGGGCTCCATCCAAGGTAGATCAGTTTGGCCAGACTTTCTGTGTTGGAGCTACGGGGTCTCAGGAGCAAGGTTTCAGGAACACCTACTGCTGCCTGCCTGGCCAGATGAACCTGATTGGCTCTGTTCTCCAGCTGCGTGGCTTCAGGGAGCTGTAGCATGCATACATGTGTGCACAGGGCCCTGGAGGGCCCTAGCCACAGATAGCATTTTACTCTATAAATCAACCTGATTCTGCAATCCCAATTTGTTAAACACATTTTCATTTAACAAGATCGACAAGCCTGTGCCGAAAGCCTGTTGAGGGCTGACACAGAGGTGGGACAGCCTGGGCTGAAGTCTGGATGGATATCATGGGGCTGGGACACACTGGCAGTTGTATATGTGCCCGTGTCGGGGTGGAAGGGTGTGTGGGGTGAGAAGAGAGCTTGCCCTGATGAGATGGAGCCCTGAGTGACTGGAGCAAAGTGAAGGAGTCCCATCTGCCCCTTCACACCTGTCCACTGAGGCTCTGGTCAGCGAGGCCAGGGGGAGGCCATCTCTGTGATGGGGGCCATGGAGGCAGCTGGGCTCCCCTGGGGCTGTGGCCCCAGCTCAGGAGGCCTCACTCCCTCTCCAAGTCCTCCCTTAGTTTTTGTGCCAGATCTCAAGTTGGCAGCAACTCCTTCTGCATCCGTGAAGACCAGGGAGGGATTCTGCCTTCATAACACAGCCCTGAAAGGAAACCCCAAGGCTGAAGCTCTGAGGTTCGGGTGACAAGTGGAGGGCTGGATCCCTTTTCTAGCAAACTGATGCCTAGAATCATCACTTGTGTTCACTTTGTGGTTCTGCAGAATCAGATGGTCACCATTTCATAGGCAACCAGTATCTCTGAAACATCCAGCCAGAGTGCACTGTGACTGGCCCGGCATCTGGCAGCAAGTTACATATGTGATACAGATGTTTTCAACTGTATGGTGACACTTTTACACAGAAATTGTATTCTTTAAAACTGTACGCATCAGCTTCTGTATGTGCAATTGTCATTTCTGGGTAGGGGGAGGAACTTGAATTCAGGAGAGAGGACTACATCGCTCGCACTTAAAATGCCCAGTCAAATCTGACCCAGTAAGGGGAGGCTGGGGTGGAAGGAACTGATTGTGTTTGGAACAGGGATTGAGTTCTAATGGTTAATAGGGCCTGGAGGTGCAAGCTCGCTTCTGGGGCCCTAGGCTCTCCTCAGGGAGACTGCAAGCCTCATCATCAATCCTACTAAGTAAGCTTTTATGCATCCTGAGTGGTGGGGGCTTCATGGAAATGACAGATGAGCATCAGTATTGTGGGGAATACCATATGGTTTGAATGTGTCTCCCAAAAAGCATGTGTTGGAGACTTAATCCTCAATGCACCAGTGTTGGGAGAGGGGGTCTAGTGGGAGGTGTTCATGAGGGTGCCACCCTCATAAATGGATTCACGCTGATTACACAGGGGCTCGAGGCTGTGTATTTTATTATAGCAAAATACACATAACATGAAGTTTATCATCCTAACCATTTTAGAGTGTATAATTCACTGACATTAAGTACATTCACAATGTCATGCAACCATCAACACTATCTAGGTCCAGAATTTGTCACCACCCCAAAAGGAAATCCTCACCCATTAAGCAGCCACTCCACATTTCCCCCCTCCTCCCAGGCTCTGGTAACCACTAGTCTTTTTTCTGTCTCTATGGATTTTCCTATTTTCTTTTTTTTTTCCTTTTTTTATTTTTTATTTTATTTTTTTTGAGACGGAGTCTCGCTGTGTTGCCCAGGCTGGAGTGCAGTGGCGCGATCTCGGCTCACTGCAACCTCCACCTCCCAGGTTCAAGCGATTCTCCTGCCTCAACCTCCCGAGTAGCTGCGACTACAGGCAAGTGCCACCACGCCCAGCTAATTTTTGTATTTTTAGTAGAGACGGGTTTTCATCATGTTGGCTAGGATGGTCTTGATCTCTTGAACTTGTGATCCACCCGCCTTGGCCTCCCAAAGTGCTGGGATTACAGGCATGTGCCACCAGGCTTGGCCCCTATTTTCTGTATTTCATATAAATGGAATATAATATGTGGCCTTTTGTACCTGGCTTCTTCACTTAGCATGTTATCTAGATTCATCCACATTATAACATATATCAAAACCACATTTCTTGTAATGGCTGAATAGTATTCCATTGTATCGTATTCATTCAATTGTAAGTACTTTTTATACATTCTGCATATTAGAACCTTATAAAATATATGATTTTGCTATGGTTTGAATGTTTGTGCCTTCCAAAACTTGTGGGGTTTTTTTTGTTTTGTTTTGTTTTGAGACCAAGTCCCACTCTGTTGCCCAGGCTGGAGTGCAGTGGAGCAATCTCAGCTCACTGCAACCTCTGTCTCCAAGGTTCAAGCGATTCTCCTGCCTCAGCCTCCTGAGTAGCTGGGATTACAGGTACATGCCTCCACACCCGGCTAATTTTTGTATTTTTTTAGTAGAGATGGGGTTTCACCATATTGGCCAGGCTGGTCTTGAACTCCTGACCTCATGATCCACCCACCTCGGCCTCCCAAAGTGCTGAGATTACAGGCGTGAGCCACCATGCCCGGCCAACTCATGTTGAAATCTAATTGCCATTGTGGTGGTATTGGGAGGTGAGACCTTTAAGAGGTCTTTAAGTCATGAGAATTTTGCCCTTATGAAGCAATTAATGCCAGTATTGTGGGAGTAGATTCATTCCCTATTACTCTCTCTCTGCCTCTCTTTGCCCTTCTGCCATGTGATGCCTTCCACCATGTGATGATGCATTAAGAAGGCCCTTGCCAGATGCCAGCCCCTTGTTCTTGGACTTCCCAGCCTCCAGAACTGTTAGCCAGTAAACTTCTCTTCATTACAAATTACCCCGACTGTGGTACTCCATTATAGCAGCACAAAACAGACTAAGACAAATCTGAAAATATTTTTCTCATTTTGAAGTTTGTCTTTTCACTCAAGTTGATAGTGGCATTTAATGCAGAAAAGGTTTTATGGTAATTTTTTGTTTTTTAAGACAGGGTCTTACTCTGTCACCTAGGCTGGAGTGCAGTGGTGCGATCTCAGCTCACTGCAACCTCAACCTCCTGGGTTGAAGCAGTTCTCACAATTCTCATGCCTCAGCCTCCCAAGAAGCTGCAATTACAGGCAAGCACCACCACCTCCAGCTAATTTTTGTATTTTTAGTAGAGATGGGGTTTCACCCCCGTCATGAGCCAGCCCTCCCAGCCAGTAGAAAATGTTTTAATTTCGATGGAGTTCAATTTATCTAGTTTCCTTTTGTTGCTTGTGTTTTTGATGTCACACATAAGAATTCACTGCCGAATCCAAGGTCATGAAAATTTATCTCTATCTTTTCTTCTAAGAGCTTTATAATTTTAGCTCTTATAGTTATGTCTTTGATCCATTTTGAGTTATTTTTGGTATATGGCATAAGGAAAGTGTTCAACTTTGTTATTCTGTGTGTGGATATCCAGTTTTCCTAGCACAATTTGTTGAAGAAAGTATCTTTCTATAGTGAATGGTCTTAATACCTCTTTTAAAAATAAATTGATCATAGATATGTGTTTATTTCTATACTCTAAATTCTACCCCATTGATCTATCTTTATGCTGGCAAGAAGTTTTGTTTTACTTTTTATTTTCTATTGATACATAATAGTCAAATGTATTTTTGGAAGATGGGATTTTTGATACCCTCATATAATACGTAATGATCCAATCGGGACAATTGGGAGATCCAACACCTCAAATATTTCTTTATTCTGGGAACATCTGAATTCTTCTCTTCTGGCTATTTCGAAATATTCAGTAGATTATTGTTAACTGTAGTCATCTTACTGAACTATCGAACACTAAATCTTATTCCTTCTATTTAACTGTATTTTTGTATCCATTAATCAACCTCTCTTTATCCTCCTCTACCCTTCCCAGCTCTGGTAACCAACAATCTAATCTCTATCTCCTTGAGATCCATGTTTATAGCTCTCACATATGAGTGAAAGCAAGCCATCTTTGCCTTTCTGTCCCTGGCTTATTTTAATTAATCTCTAGTTCCAATTAATGATAGTTCCATTCAGGGTTGCTGCAAATGTCAGGATTGCATTTCTTTTGTATGGATAAATACTATTCTGTTGTATATTCATATGTCACATCTTGTTTATCCATTCAGCCACTGACGAACACATAGGTTGATTCCCAATTTTGTCTATTGTGAAATAACCAGTATTTCACAACACTGCAGTATTTCACAACACTGCAGTATTTCACAAGGCTGCAGTAAACATGGGAGTGCGGGTATCTCTTCAATATATTGATTTCCTTTCTTTTGGATATATACCCAGCAGTGGGATTGCTGGATCATATGGTAGTTCTATTTTTAGTTTTTTGAGGAACCTTCATACTCTGTTCCATAGCAGCTATACTAATTTACATTTCCACCAGCACTGTACAAAGGTTGCCCTTTCTCCATATCCTTGCCAGCATTCATTTTTTTTTGTCTTTTTGATACAAAGCCATTTTAACTGTGCTGAGATGATGTGGTTTTGATTTGCATTTCCCTGATGAAAAGTTTGTATTGTTTTGATTATTGTAATTTTGTAGCAATGTTTGAAATCAAGACACATGGGTCCTTGAATTTTGTTCTTTTTCAATATTGTTTGGCTATTTGGGACCTCCTACTTTTCCACATGAATTTTATTTTATTTATCTTATTTTGGACAGGCTTTCATTCTATTTCCCAGGCTGGAGTGCAATGATGCAATCATAGTTCATTGTAGCTTTAACTTCTTGGGCTCAAGCGTTCCTCCAGACTCAGCCTCCTGAGTAGTTGAGACTACAGGCATGCACCACCAAGCCCCGCTAATTTTTTTTTAATTTTTTGTGGAGACAAGGTCTTGCTACGTTGCCCAGGCTGGTCTCAAATTTCTAGCCTTAAATGATCCTCTGGCCTCAAATGATCCTCCTGCCTCAGCCACCCAAAGTGTTAAGATTCCAGGCATGAGCCACCACACCTAACACCCATATGAATTTTAGAATCAGCTTTTCCCTTTCTGCAAAAACAGGCCATTGAGGTATTGATAGGGTTGCATTGCATCTGTAGGTCATTTTGAGTAGTATTGCCATTTTAATAATATTAAGTCTTAAAATTTACATAGAATGTCTTTCCATTTTAGACCTTCTTTAATTCCTCTGAACAAAGTTTTGCAGTTTTTAGTGTACAACTCTTGCAACTCCTTGGTTAAATTCATTCCCAAGTGTTTTTGGTTTTGTTTGTTTCTTTGTTTGTTTGTTTGTTTGTTTGTTTGTTTGTTTTTGAGACAGGACCTGGCTTTGTTGCCCAGGGTGGAGTGCAGTGGTGCCATCTTGGCTCACTGTAACCTCTGTCTCCCAGGCTCAAGGCATCCTCCCACCTCAGCCTCCTTTGTAGCTGGGACTACAGGCACACACCACCACACCTGGCTAAATTTTTGTATTTTTTGTAGAGACAGGGGTTTCGCTATGTGGCCCAGGCTGTTCTCGAACTCTGAGTTCAAGTAATCCTCCCACCTGGGCCTCCCAGAGTGCTGGGATTACAGGCATGATCCACCATGTCCAGATTCCCCAGTATTTTTACTATTGATATTGTAAATGAAATTTTTTTCTTAATTTCGTTACAGATTGTTCGTTGTTAGTGTATAGAAATAAAACCAATTGTTTGTTGATCTTGTATCCTGAAGCTTTGTGGAATTCACTGATGCTCACTAATTGTGTGTGTGTGCACATGTGTCTATATTCTTTAAAATTTTCAATATACTAGATGTCATCTGTGAAAGAAATAGTTTTACTCTTTTTCCAATGTGGATGCCTATTATTTCTATTTACTGTGTAAGCTGTAGCCAGAACTTTCCTTACGATGTTGAATAGAAGTGGTGAGAAGACAGGACATCCATGATCTTAGGAAGAAAGATTTCATCACACGCACTCACCACTGAGGGTGATGTTAGCTATGGGTTTTTCAGGCTGAGGCAGCTCCCTTCTAATCCTAATTTATTGAGTGTTGTTTTTATCATGACAGGGTATTGAATTTTGTCAAATATTTGTTTTGTATGAATTGCAATAATCTTGTGAGATTTTTCCCCTCATTCTATTAATGTGGGATACAGCAGTAATTGATTTTGTATGTGGAATCAATTTGTGTATCTGGAATAAATTGAACTAATCATAGTGTGTAATTCTTTTAATATACTGCTGAATTCAATTTGGTAGTATTTTGATGATTTTTTCTATCTGTATGCATAAAAGATATTGGTTTGTACTGAGAAAACATTGTATTGGTTTTCTCTTCTTATGAAGTCTTTTTCACAAATACTAGGGTAATGCTGTCCTCATAGAAAGGGTTAGGATCGGTTATCTTCTATTTTGGGGTGTAGGACAGATGGTTAGAGTTTGAGATGGATTGGTGTTAATTCTTCTGCAAATGTTTTGTAGAAATTGCCAGTGAAGCCATTTGGCCCTGGCCCTTTTTGTTGTTAAAAGGTTTCTGATTCATTCTATTTATTTAAAAAGATATCCTGGCCGGGCGCAGTGGCTCACGCCTGTAATCCCACGACTTTGGGAGGCCGAGGCGGGCGGATCACGAGGTCAGGAGTTCAAGACCAGTCTGACCAACATGGTGAAACCCCATCTCTACTAAAAATACAAAAATTAGCCAGGTGTGGTGGCACACACCTGTAATTTCAGCTACTCAGGAGGCTGAGGCAGGAGAATTGCTTGAACCTGAGAGGCCAAGATTGCAGTGAGCCAAGATCGTGCCACTGCACTCAAGCCTGGGTGACAGAGTGAGACTCTGTCTCAAAAAAAAAAAAAAAAAAAAGATATCCTTAGATTCTCCATTTCTTCTTCAATCTGTTTTGGAAGTCTGAGTGCTTCTAAGAATTTATCCTTGGGAGGCCGAGGAGGGTGGATCATGAGGTCAAGAGATTGAGACCATCCTGGCCAACATGGTGAAACCCCGTCTCTACTAGAAATACAAAAATTAGCTGGGAGTGGTGGTGCACGCCTGTTGTCCCAACTACTCAGGAGGCTGAGGCAGGAGAAACGCTTGAACCCGGGAGGCAGAGGCAGAGGTTGCAGTGAGCCAAGATCGTGCCACTGCACTCCAGCCTGATGACAGTGTGAGACTCTGTCTCAAAATGTATCCATTTCATCTAGATTACCTACTTTGTTGGGATACAATTGATTTAATATTCTCTTATAATTCTGTGTATTTCTTCAAAATCAATAGTCACGTCCCCACTTTTATTTCTGATTTAATGTTTTAGTTTTATATAAATTTTCATATTGCAATAATTTTATTATATTACTGTTAAATATTGTTAAATAATTAGGAAAAATAATAAAATAACAGTGTTTTAATAATCTTTCTCTTCTTACTCTACCTGAAGTTTTGTCAATTTTCTTGACCTTTTCAAAGGACCAACTTTGGGTTTTGTTGATTTTTTCCCTATTTTTCTATCCTCTATTTTGTTTAACTATGCTCTAATCTTTATTATTTCCTTCTGTCTTAGTCCATTTGTGCTTCTACAACAAAATACCACAGGCCACATAATTTATTTTTCAAAAATCAGAAATTTATTTTCTTACAGTTCTGGAGGCTGGGAAGTCCAAGATCAAGGTGCCAGCATCTTGTGAGGGCCTTCTTGCTATGTTATCCCATGGGAGAAAGCAGAAGGGCCAAGAAAAGGGAAGAGAGAGCAAGAGAGTGCTGAACTTGTCCTTTTGAAAGGAACACACTCCCTTAATAATGGCATTAATCCACTCATGAGGACAGAGTCCTCATGGCCTAATCACCTCTTAAAAGTCTTACCTCTTACCCCTGTTACATTGGAGATTAAGTTTCCAACACATGGACATTGGAGGACACATTTAAACTATAGCATCTTCCTTCTCCTAACTTTGGGTTTTGTTTTCTCTTCTTTATCCAGCTCCTTAAGGTGTAAAGTTAGGTTATTTATCTGATATCTTTGTTTTTTAAAGGTAAATGTTTACTCGTAAAATTTTCCCTTTGAAACTGCTTTCACTGATTGTCATAGTTTTGGTATGTTGTGCTTCATTTTCATTTGTCTCATCGTATTTTCCAATTTCCCATGTTATTTTTTCTTTGACCATTGGTTGTTTAAGAGTGTGTTGTTTAATTCTCACGTATTTGTGAATGTTCCAGTTTTCCTTCTGTTAATGTTTCCTTATATTGTGGTTATAGAAAATATTGTATTACTTCAGTCTTTTAAAATTGATTGAGACTAGCTTTGTGACCTAATTTGTGGTCTAATCTGGAGACTGTTCCATGCGTGTTAGAGAATACTAGAGGATATTCTGAAGCTGTTGGGTGGAGTGTAACGGCTTTGAATAATCTGAAGTTCAGTAGTTAAAGAGGATGGCCAGGGCCAGGCATAGTGGCTCACGCCTGTAATTCCAGCACTTTGGGAGGCCGAGGCGGGTGGATCACCTGAGGTCAGGACTTCCAAACCAGCCTGGCCAACATGGCGAAACCGCGTCTCTACTGAAAATACCAAAAAGCAATAGAGGATGGCCGGAGGGAGCCCAAGTCCCTAAAACGCAAAGCTCCCTGCACTGCACCTAGAGGGCCGCAAGAGGGCGCGCGAACCCGCCCTGGCTGACTTGCCGGCGCGCATGCGTGTTCCGCCTGCGGACTGCCTTGTCTGCAGTGAGGCAGAGCGCTGCGTTCCTTGAGGACCCCGGGGAGGCGCGGTCGCGGCTTCGTGACAACCTGGGGCCGAGTCCTCCGTGAGGAAACAGCCTGTGCGGGCCCTGACGGCTGTGGAGGGAGCTGTTCCCCGGCTTCTCCAGGGACATTTTTCGGGGCTTTCTGCATGGTGCCTGGGTTTCTGCCTCACTCGCGCGCGGTGCCCCGCAGGGCCTCTGGCCAGTTCCCTCTCGCAGGGAGCGGCGGAACTCCCGGTGTCCTGGCGCGAGGTGGCGGCTTCTGGGAGAAGTCCCCAGACCCTCCGAGGAGGAGGAATCGCTGACGGCGGGAAGGGGGTGGGCGGAATCCCAGGCCGCTCCGTCCCTGTGAGCCCGGCGGGACCGGGAGACCGGCGCTCCCCTCCCGTGGACCGGCCTCTGTGAAGCCTTTAAGGTTCGTTTTTGCTACAACGTGAAAGTAGTTTAAAAACATAAGAAACTGTAAAGTGAGTGTATTAAAACTCGCATCATTCCTGGCCAACATGATGAAACCCCGTCTCTACTATAAATTCAAAAATAAGCCGGGCGTGGTGGCGCACGCCTGTAGTCCCAGCTACAGGGGAGGCTGAGGCACAATTGCTTGAACCCAGGAGGTGGAGGTAGCAGTGAGCCAAGATCACACCACTGCACTCCAGCCTGAGCGACAGAGGGAGACTCTGTCTCCAAAAGAAAAAGAAATCTGAGCGTAGATGCAAACTGAGACACTGAGACTTCCTCCTTGTAGTAGTCAGGACCAGGCGATTGAAGTAATTCTGTCCTGTGGGGTTCGGCATCATGCACGTTTCCCCTGGGCCGTCCTCTGATGCAGGGCACTTGCTCCACACTCTGGGAACCCAGATTCACCAGTCTGCCCTGTCACATAGTTGAAGGAGTTGCATTTATCTTTCTGGCTCCCAATTCCTTTAAAATTACATTTGTTGCAGAACCTCCACAAGGCGAAATGAAATAAAATTACATTTGTGACCATCAGAGAACTGAAGGAACTATTAACTGGCCGTCCTGGTTTTGCTGAGATCAGGCTGTTGACAGCTCCTGGTTGGCCCACAGCTACCTATGTCAGTTATCTCCATTAACATTTCCAAGAATCTTTGTAGGACAATTTCTCCACCTGCAAGTTCTTTCAAGTAGAACCCTTCTTTCCTTTAAGGCAATTAGCCCATTGCCAAAAGGTTTTACTGTCTTAAAGCTGGAACTGTCTTTCTGAGATCTAATTCCAGGGACTTCTCCACAGCTAAGTGAGGTGCCTCACACCAGTATTAGGTGATTCTTTGTGTGGACAGAACAGAGCATTTTCATCTTGTGTTTAAAGCAATTTCTTGGCTTCGGCTCCTCACCACTTTCTATACCAGTCTCCCATTCACGTCCCTAGTAATGCCTATGCAAAAAAAAAAAGAAAAAAGAAAGAAAAAGAAAAAGCTGACGGTGAAACCTACAGGTTTAAGGGCTTAAATCTCAGACTTTGTGTTAGGAGAAACAGGAGTGTGCTGAGAGGGCAAGCAATAAAACAAGTCATACCAAAAAGCCACATTGCTCTCTCCTAAGCCCCAACCCCACTCCACTCCTGAGGCCAGTGGTCCAGACAGAAAATAACTGGAGAAGACGAGGAGGTCAAAGGATCAGGGAACTAAGCATTATGTGAATTCACCAGCAAGATGTACAGAACGCTTGTGTTTACATTGTTTTTATGGAACTAGCAGAATAAAACTGATCTATTTTAAAAATGAAAAAAAAACTCACATCATTTTAACTTTAAATAGTTTATACCAAAGGAAAGTTTTAATACATTTGCCTTCCTGGCTTTAATGAAAGCAAACATATCAATAACATTTTAAAAATATACTTCTTAGCTTATCTCATTTTCATTTGAACATGTCCAACAATTCCTCATGACACAGTGACAGTCTTAAATAGCTGTCAATTAATTTCAGCTTACAAAAACTTCTTTTGTGGGACCCCCATTATGACTGGTATCGCTAAAAATTATGTATTAGAACATGTTGGGAAGCAGAGGGAGAAAATAATTATATATCAGATCCACTTCCACATTTAGGAAAGAACTAAGCAAAATGTGTTCATCAGTTTTGGACATTGAAACATTATCGTTTGGTTTGGTTTTTTAAATGCCAACTATTGTATCATCTGAGGAACTGACATTTAAACTGGCACTGAGCAGTGTGAGTGTGGGGTGGGAATACTGTCTGGGTATTGGTGTGGAAGTGAATGGCGATTGTGGAGCTCCGTGTAGAGATCACAGCTATGCTTGACAGTGGTTTTGAGAGGCCGTGTCAGATTCATGACTGGGTACTAGTGGAGCCATTATCTGAGATTAGAGATTAGAGGACAAGTCACTTTTATTTGGGGAGGAAGTTGAGGGCCTCAGTTTGAAATGTATTACATCTTAAGTGCCTATAACACGCAGAGACTGTGCCTCAAATGAAATCTAGACTGAGCTTTCAGATGTCATCACCATCAAGATAATGATGGGAGAAATTGCTGCAGCAAGTGAAGACATGCAGGAGGTTTCCAAGGCAGCTATAGTGAAAGGGGCACACGGGTGGGGACTGGGTCTCAGAATGTTCCCTGATACTCTTCAGGGGGGCTTTGCACAGGACACCAGCAAGGAGTGTTCGTGGACTAGGTTTGAAGACAGTCAGCCTGAGATGTCAGAGGAGTCTGGCAAAAGAATGATCTCAAAAGGAGGCCGTGGTCAAATTAGTCTTTGTTTGTTTGTTTGTTTTTGAGATGGACTCTTGCTTTGTCACCCAGGCTGGAGTGTGGTGGCGGGATCTCAGCTCACTGAAACCTCGCCTCCTGCGTTCAAGCGATTCTTCTGCCTCAGCCTCCCAAGTAGCTGGGACTACAGGCGCCCGCCACCATGCCCGGCTAATTTTTGTATTTTTAGTAGAGACAAGGTTTCAATATATCAGCCAGGCTGGTCTCAAACTCCCGAACTCAAGTGATCCACCCACTTCAACCTCCCAAAGTGCTGAGATTACAGGCATGAGCTACCATGCCTGGCACTACCCAGATATTTTAATCCAATGAGTATTTTAAGTCATTTTCTTGGGACTAAAACACAATTGAAACGTGACCTCTTTTGGGGAATTTGCCTTTTCCTAGGCTTCTCTGACATCTCAGCTGTGGAAACAATTTTAAGTCATTTTCTTGGGACTAAAACACAATTGAAACGTGACCTCTTTTGGGGAATTTGCCTTTTCCTAGGCTTCTCTGACATCTCAGCTGTGGAAACATGGAGTTGTTTGATTTCCACTTTTCTACATAAACCACTTCCTCCACTGAGTACCCTGAAACTGTCTGCCCTTTTTTGCCCCATGTCAAACTCCATGGAAAAGTGCACTTACTTGCACAACTTCCTCTTCCAAATAAGTGGCATGCTGCCCTGGAATCTCTGCTTCAGTTCACTCTCATAACGCCAGAAGACGGCTGTAGTGTCAGCTGTGATTTTCTGTGTTTGTACTAATTGGAGTCTGTCCACACGTGTTCTTCAGAAGTCAGGCAAAGAGATGCTTGGACAGTGTGCATGTCCGCTCTCTGACTCTTGCCCTCTGGGATTCTATGGGGATGTTTTAGTGTCTATAGAGGCAGAAGGGACTCACTTGATTGTGGCAGGGACATACAGGGTAGAGAGTGCTCAGGAATTATGAGCTGGGATTTTCCCATCTGTGTGGCACTGACAGGCAGAGCAACTGCAGTTGGACCACTTCCAGCCCAAACTAACAACACTGATCATATACCCATATATAAGTAATACATTTATATTTATATTTTTTAATGTATATATAATACAATGTATATCATATTGAATGAGGAGATACACTAGGCCAAAATCAAAAGCATTGTCGTGCAAATAGATTAGAAATTTCTATGCAACTCGCCCGGGCGTGGTGGCTCACACCTGTAATCCCAGCACTTTGGGAGGTAGAGGCGGGTGGATCACGAGGTCAGGGGTTCGAGACCAGCCTGACCAACATGGTGAAACCCCGTCTCTACTAAAAATACAAAAATTAGCTGGGCGTGGTGGCGGGCGCCTGTAATCCCAGGTACTCAGGAGGCTGAGGCAGGAGAATTGCTTGAACCCGGAAGGTGGAGGTTGCAGTGAGCCGAGATCATGCCACTGCACTCCAGCCTGGGAGACAGAGTAAGACTTTTGTCTCAAAAAAAAAAAAAAAAAAAAAATTCTGTGCAACTCATCAATATGGGATAATATTTTGAAACAAGTGGAAAATTAAATAAGCTTTCCAACAAAAAATTCTGACAAAAAAGAAGACCTGCATTGCCCTTGCTTACAACAAAGAAAAACAAAAATAAAAGTTTTTTTCTCTTGCAAAACATAATTTGCAAGTATGTTTAACGACAAACTTTTACAAGACAAGTGAATGTATTTTCCAATTTTGAAAATGAACAAAAAAGAAATGTAAAAAAAGTAATAATGTATAATCCGGGATGTTACGAGGAGATTACAGACATCCTAATTTCACCATTGGGTTGGAGATAGACACATTTTTCTTTCTTTTTTGTAGAGACGGGGTCTCGCTGTGTTGCCCAGGCTTGTCTGGAACTCCTGGGCTCAAGCGATCTTCCTCGGCTTCCCCAGGTGCAGGGGTCCCAGGCGTCAGCCCGCGCCCCGCCAGCGATAGACAAAATCAAACTGAACCTCCTCAGATGCTGAATATTCCGAAGTGGAAAGTTCGCTCAATGAACACACCTGATTTACAAAACTCAGCCACTGGCTCTGTACCATCTGTAACAACTTAAGCAATCAGTTAGAGCTGGTCCCTCCCTCCTCAGCCGTCACAGCTGTTTCCTCACAGAGGACGCGGCCCTGGATCGTCCGAAGCCGAAGCCGTGTGGCGCTTCCCGAGTGGGCTGAGAGGGAACGAAGCTGGTGTCCACTCCCAGGATGGGCGTCTGCAGCTGCAGACGGAACACGCATGCGCCTCACGCAGGGCAGAAAAGGCTTAGTCGGGCGCCCTCCTGCGGCTTCGGGGAGCTGCACAGGCACTTTGTACAGCACTCACTGTGCACGGTGATCCCGTGCCCCTCCCGGCGCCAATTCTCTGAAATTGACGCTGTCCCTTTCATGTGGGCTGATTTGCTGGCGTACATTGTTCGCAGTATTCTATTATGATCTCTTTTCTTTCTGTAACACCTATAGTAATGTTCCCACTCTCAACTCTAATTTCGTTATTTTGAAACTTCCCTCTTTTTCTTGGTCAGTCTAGGTAAATGTTTGTCAATTTTATCTTTTCAAAAAAAGAACTTTTGATTTTATGAAATCTGTCTACTGTTTTTCAATTGTCTGTTTCGTTTATCTACACTTTAATCTTTATTCTTTCTTTCCTTCTTCTAACTCCCGCAGTGGAGGGCAGGAGGCGAAGCCTAGGAGGCCACAGGGAAGGAACAGGACTTGAGATGGGACAAGTGAGGCCCTGCCTCTGCTGGGGACTGGAGAACCCCCGCTTCTACACCAGCTTCCGGTTGCATTCTACATTTTTCACCGTTACAGCGGGAATTTTCCAGAGCCCCTTTGAATTTTAAAATATGCTAAGCATCTAGCATTTCCACTGACCTTTTTTTTTTTTTTTTTTAGACAGTGTTTCTCTCTTTTTGCCCAGCTGGAGTACAATGGGTGCGATCACGGCTCACCGCAACCTCCGCTTCCCGGGTTCAAGCGATTCTCCTGCCTCATCTCCCGAGTAGCTGGGATTACAGGCGCCCGCCGCCACGCCCGGCTTATTTTTGTATTTTTAGTAGAAACGGGGTTTCACCATGTTGGCCAGGCTGGTCTCGAACTGCTGACCTCAGGTGATCCACCTTCCTTGGCCTCCCAAAATGCTGGGATTACAGGCGTGAGCCACTGTGCCCGGCAGGACCCTTCTTTTAATTAGTTCTATTAATTTACCTCCGTTTCCAACTGAAGAAATTATTGCCAGCTGAGAAACAGGTTCCAGCTGAGAAACAGGTTCCAAGACCACCATGTTTGCTTCAAGTATGAGTAACTAAAACATAAAAACAGGGTTACCTTGGCGGTAGACCCCCAGAGTTCAGGTCCTGACTCTGCCTCTACTCACTGACTTTGGCTAAGTCACGACATCTCTCTGAGCCTCCATTTCCTCATCTATAAACAAGACTAATGCCCTCAACCTATAACATAGAAGAAAATGCATTTATTGAATCAGTCTCATGACTTTGGGGACCTCACACCTCAGCACAGGCTAGAGAATATTTTGAGCCCATGTATCCTCACCTCTCAGTTATCTCGCTTTTCTTCTGGAAGGTAGCCTTGAGCCCTGGTGCTCTCAAGAGCTAGGCTAAGGCTACATCTGTCCCTTCTTGGGCCTCCATCCAATTTTATCATATGAAGTCCCCCCTGGAGTACATGCACATTGTCCTAGCCAGCTCCGGCTGCTTTAGGAAATTACCAAAGACGGGCTAGCTTAGACAATTAACATTTACTTCTCACAATCTGGAGGCTGAGAAGTCCAAGATCAAAGTGCCAGCAGATCAGGTGTCAGGTAAGTATATTCTTCCTGATTTGCAGGCAGCCATTTTCTCCTTGTATCTTCAATGGCAGAGAGGAAGGGAGGGAAAAAGAAAGAGAAGGCTCCCCTGTCCCTTCCTATAAGAACATTAATCCCATTCATAAGGTTGTCACCTCCCCAAGACCTAATCACCTCTCTAACATCATCACATTGGGGTTTAGGATTTCAACATATGAACTTAGAGGGACACACGTATTCAGTTCACAGCGTACCTAGTCCCTGAAGACAAGAACTACAGAGTGAAGGGACTGAATGACATCCTTCTTACTGGAGAAACATTGCCCTGTCCTACCCTAAAACCTTCTATTCACAGCCTTTGTGTGAGCATGAGAGGATTTTCGTTATCACACCTTTGTGTTGTTTTTATGAACTAAGGGTCTCATCAAAATTTTTCCCATATAGGCTCTGCTGTCCATTACTTAAGGAATGTTTAATGTTTTTCAAAATTGTCTAATTTCCTTAATAAAATATTTGCATATACAGTATCTTGTTAATGTATCTTTAAGTGTTTATTTTTGTTTTCATTCCTTTATTTTTATTATTATTTTTTTTGAGACAGTCTCTCTCTGTCGCTAGGCTGGAGTGCAGTGGCACGATCTCGGCTCGTGCAACCTCCGCCTCCCGGGTTCAAGCAATTTTCCTGCCTCAGCATCCAATTAGCTGGGACTACAGGCATGTGCCACCACGCCCAGCTAATTTTTGTATTTTTGGTAGAGATGGGGTTTCACCATGTTGGCCAGGATGGTCTTGATCTCTTGATCTTGTGATCTGCCCACCTCAGCCTCCCAAAGTGTTAGGATTACAGGCGTGAGCCACCACGCCTGGTCTGTTTTCATTCCTTAACTTTTCCTTTTTGAATATAAGATTGAAATTATTTCCCAGGAAAATTTAAAGAGCGAAAAAATTAAGGCACCTAAGAACGCATTATGAAGATATTATGCACTGTAGACTTTGCAAGAATCAGAATAGTACAAAGAACATCAATATACTCCATACCTAGATTCACATATTTTTAATATTTTCTCCATTTTTGTGGCCACTTAATAGTTTGTGCGCTGTCACTCGCTTGTGTTCTTGCTCTCTCTTCCTCTCTCCTTTCTCAGGTGATACACACACACACACACACACACACACATATATATACACATATAATATTTTCCCCTGAATTATTTGAGTTACATATGTTATGGCCGTTTACCCCTAAATACATAATAACATCTGAGCGGTTTTCCTAAGAATTGAAATATTCTCTTACATAACCACAGTACTGTTATCAACATCTATAACTTTAATCTTGATACGATACTTTCAACTATCCTACTGCCCTTTTGTAATTTTCCAAATGACTCAAAATGTCCTTTTTAACCCCCTCAATTATAGGATCTAGCCTATAGGCAGTTATGACATTTAATTACAAAGTATCTTTGCCTCCTTTTGTCTGGAATATTTTCAGTTTTTCCATTTACTGTCTGATACTTGCATTTTGTTAGTATACAGTTTCCTCATTCTCCCCCTTTTTTTTTTGAGACAGAGTCTTGCTTTTTCTCCCCGTATTTTAAAAGCACATTCCACAGTTACCTAATGTTTTGTCAAGATTAGATTCAGGTTATTCTCTCTTGGTTTAAATACCAGGTAACCTTGTATCCTGTTCAGGTTTCACACTTGGAGGCACAGAATTTCTGTCTGTAGCTGCTATGATGTGGATATTTGATGCCTTCAAATGTCATGTTGAAATTTGATCCCCAGTGTTGGAGGTGGGGAGTAGAGGGAGGTGGAGCCCTTAAGTGTCGATTAGTCCCTTCCCTGAGTACGGGATGAGGAGTGAGTTCTGGCTTTATTAGTTTTCATGACAGCTGGGGTTTTTTTGTTTTGTTTTGTTTTGTTTTGTTTTGTTTTGTTTTGTTTTGTTTTGTTTTGTTTTGTTTGAGACAGAGTCTCGCTCTGTCGCCCAGGCTGGAGTATAGTGGTGCGATCTTGGCTCACTGCAAGCTCCACCTCCCGGGTTCACGCCATTCTCCTGCCTCAGCCTCCCGAGTAGCTGGGACTACAGGCGCCCGCCACCACGCCCGGCTAGTTTTTTGTATTTTTTAGTAGAGACGGGGTTTCACCGTTTTAGCCAGGATGGTCTCGATCTCCTGACCTTGTGATCCACCCGCCTCGGCCTCCCAAAGTGCTGGGATTACAGGCGTGAGCCACCGCGCCCGGCCAACAGCTGGTTTTTAAGAGAGCCTGACACCTCCTCTCTCTCTCTCACTTCCTCTCTGGCCATATGATCTCTGCACATGTTAGCTTCCTTTCCCCTCCGCCATTTGTGAAATCAGCCTGAGGTCCTCACCAGAAGCAGATGTTGGCACCACGCTTATTGTACAGCCTGCAGAACTGTGAGCCAAATAAATCTCTTTTCTTTATAAATTACTTTATAACAATACAAAGACAGTCTCATACTGTTAATATCAATTTTGATCAACCAACCAAGGTTTTCTCTGATTTCTAGGTTATTTAATCACTGTTTCCCTCCCTGTAACTAATAAGCTGTCTGTGGAGAAACACTTTAAGCCCATGAAAACATTCTGCTCTGCAACAAAATTTCCTCCTACCTCACTAATGTTTCCCATCCATAGATGATTATTGCCTGGTCTGTCTTTACTGTAATGGTGGCAAAACAATGGTTTTACAACTCTGTTACTCTCTGAAACATAACTGCTTGATTTCAGAATCCCATTTGATCTTCCTAAGACACCTGTGAGATTAGGCAGCATGGACAATATTTCTCTCTTCATTTACAGTTTAGAAAATGGGGGTCTCCTTATCTTATACCATAATCAAAAATCAACTCAAAGTGGATTAAAGACTTAAATGTAAGACCTAAAGCTGTAAAGCTACTAGAAGAAAACATAGAAGAAAAGTTCCATGACATTGGCCTGGCAATGATTTTTTTTTGGCTATGACCCAGAAAGTACAGACAACAAAAGCAAAAACAGACAAATTGGATTACATCAAACTAAAAAGCTCGGCACAGCAAAGGAAAAAATTAACAGAGTGAAGAGACAACCCACCGAGTGGGAGAAAGTATTTGCAAACGATACATCTGATAAGGGGTTAGTATCCAAAATGTATAAGTAACTCAAACAACTCAATAGCAAGAAAAAAAAAAACTTAAAAATGGGCAAAGGACATGAACAGACATTTCTCAAAAGAAGATACATCAATGACCAACAGATTTAGGAAAATATACTCAATGTCATTAATCATCAAGAAAATGCAAATTAAATTCACAATGAGATATCATCTCATACCTGTTAGAATGGCGATGATCAAAAAGCCAAAAGATAGCAAATGTTGGTGAGGATGTGAAGAAAAAGAAACCCTTGTACACTGTTGGTGGGAATGTAAATTAGTACAGCCATTATAGAAAACAGTATGGAGGTTCCTCAAAAAACCAAAACTAGAATTAGCATATGATCCAGCAATTTCATTTCTGGGTATGCATACAAAAGAATTGAAATTAGCACGTTGAAGAGATATCTGCATTCCCATGGTCATTGAAGCATTATTCATTATAGCCAAGATAGGGAATCAACCTTAGCGTTCATCAACAAATAAATGGATAAAGAAAATGTGGTGGCCAGGCGCGGTCGCTCACACCTGTAATCCCTCCACTTTGGGAGGCCAAGGCGGGCGAATCAGAAGGTGAAGAGATTGAGACCATACTGGCCAACATGGTGAAACCCCATCTGTACTAAAAATACAAAAATTAGCTGGGCATGGTGGCATGCGCCTGTAGTCCCAGCTACTTGGGAGGCTGAGACAGAAGAATCGCTTGAACCTGGGAGGTGGAGGTTGCAGTGAGCTGAGATGATGCCACTGCACTTCAGCCTGGCGACAGAGTGAGACTCCATAAAAAAAAAAAAAAAAAAAAAGTGGTATATATACACAATGGAATACTATTCATCCATTTGAAAGAAGGAAATTATATCCTTTGCAACGACATGGATGAACCTGGAGGACATTACATTAAGTGAAATAAGGCAGGCACAGAAAGACAAATACTGCATGAACTTGCTTATTTGTGGAATATAAAAAAGCCAAACATATAGAAGTAGAGAGTAGAATGGTGGCTTCCAGTTGCTGGTGGTGGGGGTGTGTGGAGAATGGGGAGATGTTGACTAAAGGGTACAAAGTTTCAGTTAGACAGGAGAAATAAGTTTACAAGATCTGTTGTGCAACACAGTGACCATAGACAATAATAACATCTTATATATTTCAAGTTGTTAAAATAATATATTTTAAATATTTCCACCACACACAAAAAATGATAAATATGTGAGATAAGGTATATGTTAATGAGCTTGATATAATCATTTCACAATGTATACATATATCAAAGCATCATTTTGTACCCCATAAAATATATACAATTATGATTTGTCAAATTAAAAATAAAAATTTTAAATTAAAAAAGGGAAGAAAACAGAGGTGGGGCAGTGGTTAAATCATTCATTTGAGAACATATGAGGAGCATGTAGCAGAACTGGAACTCAAATCATGGTCTTTCTCTTGTTTAGGAATCTCCATTCCTGGACTTTTGAAACCCTCCAGATAACAGGAATGCTACCTGGAACCCTGGGTTGGAACTCTTAGAGAGTTCTGCTCTCCAAGATTTTGCAAATAGGACAGATAAACTTGAATCCCAAACATGTGTCTTTTCCAGTCAAGATCCATCTCTGATCCTTCCAGAGTGGAAAGTGGCCTATGTAATTAACTTGCTACCGAGCTTGATGGGCTCCTCCAGTGATTATACTGCACCAGGCATTTGGCATTGTTCTCTTGCTAGTAGGTTGGGTGTTCAAAGCATCAATAGTTAGATCAGCCTTGGAGAATGGGAGCATATGGACATCCACCCATGCACAGCCTCCATGCCTGCTTCCATGGGTACTCTATCATGCACTGTGCCAGCACTGGAGTAGCTAATGGCAGAGAATGGATGATGACAACTGGACAAGTCTTTCGTCTACTTGGTAGTTTCATGCTTCTTCTGTAGTGGATCCTCTCTGGTGAACATTAACATATGACACAAAGACTGTCACACCCTGCCATGGTTTGAATGTGTCCCCCAGAAAGCATGATGTTGGAAAATTAATCCCCAGTATCAATAGTGTTGGGAGGTGAGGCCTAATGAGAAGTGATTAGACTTGAGAGCAGAGTGAATGGATTAATGCTGTTATCATGAATGTGGGTTTGTTATCAAAGGGGAAGTTCAGCCCCTTTTACTCCCTTTCTCCCCCTCTTTGTGCTTCTGACATGGAATGATGCAGCAAGAAGGCCCTCACCAGATGCTGGCTTCTTGATATTGGACTTCCAAGCCTCTAGAACCGTGAGTCAGTAAAGTTCTGTTCATTATAAATTAGGCACTCTGCGATTTTCTGTTATAGCAGCACAAAACAGACTAAGACACACTTCATGCCCCCTAGTGTGGCTCTATCCACTTGGATTTTCCCCCAGACCTCCTTGCCTCCAGTCTTTCCATCTTCTAAGTCCCTTGACCAACCATCCAAGCCAGCCATCTTTTTTCGTGTGTATCCTTACTTCTGTCCACTTCTCTTTCTACATAAAATAAACGTCCAGGTGTTCACCAGCTCTGTCCATTGCAAGGACATTCTCTCATCAGTTTCTTTCAAGGCCACTCTTAAATAGGGCTATGATATAGGAGCTGGTACCCACATTTTCAGCTGGTACCCACAAATTGAGCAAACTCATCCATGAACCAGGGTTGGACTTTTTCTTCCTCCATTAGCTGGTTCCCCCACAATCATAGGTGTGCACTGAGGGAAGGTGTCATGTTATCATGCCATAAAAGGCTGAGCCATCTGCCTGTGCAGCTTATCCACTTTGGTCTTGCTTGTGCCCTGTGTTAACCATGTCTTTTATTTTATGTATTCTGATGCTTTGACATCTGAAGACTTGCTGAGGGACTGCCCTTACCAGGGTTAGTCAGTTCCTAGAGATCATTAACAATTTGTCTGTGAGTGCACTTTTCAAATGCAAACCAACCAGTCCAGAGCCCACACCCGCAGGCACCTTCTTATCTCTGGGCCACTATCCCCCTATTCTAATCACTCCAGCACCAAAAAAATAAAAAGAATTACTCCTCTCTCCCACTTTTTCTTCACTCCACGCACATTGTACCTAAGTAACAGACAACTGTGCACAGACTTATGCCCCAGGGCACACTAAAATTATTCAAACTGGCCAGGCGTGGTGGCTCACACCTGTAATCCCAATACTTTGGGAGGCCAAGTCAGGCAGATCACAAGGTCAGGAGTTCGAGACCAGCCTGGCCAACATGGTGAAACTCTTGTCTCTACTAAAAATACAAAAATTAGCTGGGCGTGGTGGTGCGTGCCTGTAATCCCAGCTACTGGGGAGGCTGAGGCAGGAGAATGTCTTGAACCAAGGAGGCAGAGGTTGCAGTGAGCTGAGATTGTGCCACTGTACTCCAGCCTGGGTGACAGAGCAAGACTCAGTCTCAAAAAAAAAAAAAAATTATTCAAACTAGCCAATTCTGAATCCACTTACCATGCCTCATCATTCCTTCCCATGGAAACCACAATAAATGCTCTTGGCCACAACTCCCCACCCTCTGCCTCCTGACCAACCCAGTGCTTCTTCGTGGAGATCCCCATGGCATGGAATACCCCCTTCTGCTGGGATCTGTATTACAAACTATCTTTTCAATGCCAGTCATCTTCTGATCTATTGGACTTACTATACTTAAATAATAATAACACCTATATTAAAACATGCCCAAACTCACATACACCACTTCCATTTTACTTATGAATTACTGCTAGACTTGCTTGACCTCATGACTTAAAGCATCCGATGGAACCTAGCTCATGATAAACAGGTCTGGTCAAGGTCACATGATGTTCCATGGTCAAGTTCTTTACCCAGTGTCATGCTAGGAGCTGATCTTTGAATGGCATGTAATTCTCTGCTGAAGATGACAAGACCTGTTCTATAATCCGAGGGGTCTATATTGTGATTCACATGGTGGGGCTTGCCATAAACTCCACATGGTGTCTTTTGCAGCCCAGATACCTCTACTACTATAACAGCTGCTGGGTCATATGGCCCAGGTGGAAGTACTGCTTGAACTACAGCCTGGACCTGCTGCCTAGCCTTTTCCTGCTCTGTGCCCCACTCAGAGCTGACAGCATTCCATGTCATGATTCTTGCTCAAGTTAGAATGTTCTGCCTTTGAAACCCAAAAGGTCTTATCAAGGATTGTGCTTCCTTGTTAAGAGGTAGGAGTGTAGGCCAGGCATGGTGGCTCATGCCTGTAGTCCCAGGACTTTGGGGGGCCAAGGTGGGTGGATCACGAGGTCAGGAGTTCGAGACCATCCTGGCTAACACAGTGAAACCCTGTCTCTACCAAAAATACAAAAAAATTAGCGGGCATGGTGGCACACACCTGTAGTCCCAGCTACTCGGGAGGCTGAGACAGGAGAATCGCTTGAACCCAGGAGGCAGAGGTTGCAGTGAGCTGAGATCATGCCATTGCACTCCAGCCTGGGTGACAAAGTGAGACTCAGTCTCAAAAAAAAAAAAAAAGAGGTAGGAATGTGAAACACAATAATCCACCCTCTGTATTGGAGACCATTGCTGTCTTGCCCCTAAAATGTTACTGCTGTAGTAGGCCCCTGAAATTGTGTAGGATCCATCTCCACCCTCTGTAGTGCTTGTCTTTTACCAAGGCCTCCGACTTACCTGCCATGTCTTGCTCACCTGGCAGATGAACACACTTGCCAGAGCAAAGCCTGGATGCCATGTAATTGTGGATGTCTCAGTCTGTTCTAGCAAAACAATTGGAGCAAATTCTTGTTCAATCTTTTATAATAATCCACTGTCATCCTCATAATCCATATGGGTTTGGGAAGGGCCTGACTGTTAAATCAAGTGGGGATACAATGAGGACTGCCACCCTGTACCTTTTAGGTCATTAAGAGAGGCATGAATCTCTGCCATTCCCTCTGGAAGTGACACTTTTTGACTTATGTCTTGGCCAAGGAAGGGGTAGGGAAGTAGTTTCAGAGTATTCCACTTGGCCTTTTTGGTAGCTCTTACCCTATAGGCCAAGGAACTAATTTGGTTTGCCAACAGTAAGTACATCCATTCCAGTTATACAATCAAGGTCTTTGGAAATTACCACTGAATGGGGCAATGAATCCTGTGGGCCTGCCATGAGACAGACTTTCATGGACTACCTGGCTGCCACACTTCTCCATTTTAACATAGAGGCCATCATGTTGCCTAAGGTCCCTAAGTATCAATGTCAACTCAGAACCTTTTTCTTTTTTTTTTTTTTTTGAGACAGAGTCTCGCTCTGTCGCCCAGGCTGGAGTGCAGTGGCCCAATCTCGGCTCATTGCAAGCTCTGCCTCCCGGGTTCACACCACTCTCCTGCCTCAGCCTCCCAGGTAGCTGGGACTACAGGCGCCCGCCACCACACCTGGTTAATTTTTTTGTTTTTTTAATAGAGACGGGGTTTCACCTTGTTAGCCAGGATGGTCTCGATCTCCTGACCTCGTGATCTGCCTGCCTTGGCCTCTCAAAGTGCTGGGATTACAGGCATGAGCCACCACGCCCGGCCAACTCAGAAACTTTGTCCAGCAGCCTTGAAGCTTCTGGGGACTCCCTTTTTCCTGTATACCTGAGTAAATGGCCATAGGTCCCTTTGGGTGGGAGGGGGCTGGGAAAATCATTATCGCATATATTCATGGTGGTGAGATAGGGTCCTGACTTCTGAAGATTTGGCTTCTTCAGTCATGGGTTCTGGGTTTGAAAATGGCAGTGATCATTACATTATATTAGCCTCAGTTTCTTGATTATCCATCCTTTATTTCACTTGACCGTATAAACTGATTACTTCCCCTGTTGTTTGCCCATATTTCTTGTCTTTAGAGACACTATGTTCTATTAATCTCCTCGAAAGTTCTCTGAAGATAAAGCCCCTCTTCCCCTTTCCCTCTCCCCATCTTCCACTTTAATCTTACTGCTCATTATGTGAATTGAGCTCACCTTATTTCTGGAGCCATCCTCAGGGAGGCCCAGTCTTGTAACAAATCCCCTACTGTCAGCCTCAGCCTGCAGAGGACAGCTACCACAGAGTTTCTCAATGATGCTGGTGCCTCTCTCTAGCACATTCTTTATCGCAGCAGATGATCTTCCAGACTTTCTGATGAAACATAGACAGCTGGTATTTCAGCCTTACATACTCTACCTATTCTAGTATGCCCAGTTCCCTGAACCTTTTAACTTCTTATTTTACCTTTTGTCAAGCAATTCTGACATTTTCTGCTTAACATGAGCCATGTATTTCTCTAAATTTCTCTAATCCCCATCTCCTAGCATCCTTGCCAGAGTGTTTAAGTCCCGTATCACAGGAGTGTGCTTTCTTTCTTTCTTTTTTCTTTTTCTTTTCTTTTTCTTCTTTTTTTTTTTTTTTTTTTTTTTTTTTTTTTGAGACAGAACCTCGCTCTTGTTGCCCCGGCTGGAGTACAACAGTGCAATCTCGGCTCACTGCAACCTGCACCTCCCGGGTTCAAGCGATTCTCCTGCCTCAGCCTCCTGAGTTGCTGAGATTACAGGCACCTGCCACCACGCCTGGCTAATTTTTTGTATTTCTACTAGAGACAGGGTTTCACCATGCTGGCCAGGCTGGTCTCGAACTCCTGACCTCAGGTGAGCCGCCTGCCTCAGCCTCCCAAAGTGCTTGGATTACAGGCATGAGCCACTGTGCCTGGCCAGGAATGTGCTCCTTTTCAATAAACTCTCTGGTACTCTAATATATGTTTTACCTTCTTGATCCAGCATCCTCAGGGTCCAGTCTCATACATACTGTCCTGGTTCCTACAGATACATATAAACTAGGGCCTGTAGTAACTTCAGAGGATGGTTCTTTTCCTCTCTTATCATGCCCAGAATTTCCCCTGTTGGGTTTTTTTGGTGACTTAATTCTAGTTATTGGTCTAGTGGATGGGGTAGGGAGAGGAAAGGGTAGGTAGATCCTGAGGGGGCACGGGTTGTATTGCAATGTAGAGGCCTCAGTCTGCATCATCTTCAAGCAAGGCAGAGCCCTAGCTTTAGACTTGGAGGAGTGGGCCACTTTAGCAAGCCTGAGAAATTCAGAGTGATTGGTGTTTGAAGGTGTTTGCATGCACAAATCAAAATGTCCCCATCCCAAATCTCAGAGTTCTACTCCTTCCCAGCAGGATCCTGACCTTGGCATAGCAAACTTGCTGGGATTTAGAATTCAAACTTAGCTGAAGTTAGGGCCTGATTCTCAGCTGTTTTGCTGTCAGGCTTCAAAGAAGTCTTCTGACGCTCACATTTTCAATTAATTTGTCACTAATCACCGTCATTGTCAATAGCTCCTGGTAATAGCCATTCAATTCCATCATCTCTAGAATTACCACTTCCCCCAGTGTTATAAAGATCTGAGATATAGCACCCACCAGTGCGTTCCCTTCTGTCAACATTCCACCCCAGTTCAACACCACTGACAATTTTAACAATTACTTTGCTACAACCTGACATATGCTATCATTATCACTACTCTGCCAATCACAAGTCATAGGGCCCTCCCTCATTGTCAGCTAGGTGGCAGGTAACACAGTTTCAAAATTCCATTTTATGGCTAATGCCTGTAATCCCAGCACTTTGGGAGGCCAAGGCAGGCAGATCACCTGAGGTCAGGAGTTCAAGACCAGCCTGGACAACATGGCGAAACCCAGTGTCTACTAAAAAATACAAAAATTAGCCGGGTGTGGTGGTGGGTGCCTGTAATCCCAGCTACTCAGGAGGCTGAGGCAGAGAGAATTGCCTGAACCCGGGAGGCAAAGGTTTCAGTAAGCTGAGATTGCACCACTACACTCCAGCCTGTGCGACAGAGCAAGACCCCACCTCAAAAAGAAAAAAATTCCATTTTAGAGTTTGCGTTCTTGGAACAACTGCTGGTACCAACTGGTGTAGGGCAGATTCCCTATAAATAGATTCTGAGATGGAGAATTGCATACAAGGTAATTACTGGGTAGTGTTCTCTAGAAAAAATGCCTGTACAGGAGTGATATAAGGATAACTGGACAGAGTAATAGGTTTAAATGCTGTATGACTGCAACAGAGGCCTCAGTTGGTCTCACAGGGAACTCTTAAGCCAAGATGGCCCTTTATAGAGGCTGCAAGTTGAAGACAGGGGGCCAGGTCTTTGAGGCCTGCACTGAGCAGTCTTTGGATATGGACTTCCCCCGGGGAGAAGACGTGACTTGTGAGAGGCAGCCCCCTGCAGTTAGGACAACTCCCAAGGAAGTATTTTGCTGTGAGCCATCAGCAGCCACTCACCCGGCAGCTGCTGGGATGGATGCCTCAACCCTGAAGGAGGATCCTGGCAGCACCACAGTGTGCACTATAGGGCGTATTAAGTTTCCAGCTTTGGTTGTTGGTTTATGTTTTCCTCCCTACAGGTATGTCAGCTATTGCTTTGTATGTTTTGAGGCCTTAGTGTTAGGGACATGCTGTATATTTATGATAAATATATCTTTTCCATCAAGCACTCTTATTTATTCCCTTTTAATCTTCTCAAATTCTAGCTTATCAGATATTAGAATTATTACTTGTATCAGTCAGGGTTCAATCAAAAAAGCGGAACCAGTAGATATTTAAGATACTTGTGGCAAAGAGTTGGCTTACTCGATTGAGGGGGTGACCAGGTGAGTCCAAAGTCCATAAGAGCACCCCATCAGGAAGGGCAGGCTGGAAGCTGTGGTACGCTGATGGAGTTTCTTCTCCATCAGGGAAACTTCGGTTCTTTTTTGAAAGCTTTTAACTGATTGAATCAGGCCCACCCAAATTATCTAGGATAATCTCCCATGCTACTTAGTCCAACTGGGTTTATGGGCTTCAATCTCATCTACAAAATGCCTTTACAGCAACACCTAGATTCGTGTTTACTTAAATAGCAAGAGACTGTAGCCTAGCCAAGTTGACACATCAAAAGACCATCACACTCCCCAAGTTTGTTTTTTTTTTTTTTTGAGATGGAGTCTTGCTCGTGTCGCCCAGGCTGGAGTACATGGAGTGCAGTGGCAAAATCTCAGCTCATTGCAACCTCCGCTTCCCAGGTTCAAGTGATTCTCCTGCCTCAGCCTCTTGAGTAGCTGGGATTACAGGCGTGCGCCACCACACCAGGCTAATTTTTGTTCTTTTAGTAGAGACGGAGTTTCACCATGTTGGCCAGGCTGGTCTCAAACTCCTGACCTCAGGTGATCTACCTGCCTGGGCCTCCCAAAGTGCTGGAATTACAGGCGTGAGCCACCGCGCCCGGTCCAACTTTCTTTTTGTTAAAATTTTCCTGGTGTGGTGATATTAAGAGTCTTTGACAGTCCTCCTCCACCCTCACAGGATTCTGCCTCCATTTGATTCTCTGTAGGCTTGTGATTGCTTTGACCAAGAGTCTGACAGAATTGGTGTTAGGTGACTTCCAAGGCCATGTTATAATTGGCCATGGCGCTTCTCTCTTGTTCACTGGAATGCTCACTCTTGGAGCCCAGAGCCACCATGTAACAAGTCCAGCTGCCCTCAGTCCTTTATGCTGGAGAGACCACATTGAGGCACTCTGGTCAAACACAAGCCGAGTTCATCTTTTAGCCCATCTCCTCCCAAGCAGTAGACATGTGAGTGGAAAAGCCATCTTGGAAGCGGGCCCTCCCAGCCATCAAATCATCCCAACAGAGGCTACAGACATAATGAGGCAAAGGCCCACCCACTCAGTTCCCCTTTCAAATTCCTCACCATGAAATTTATGAGCATAATACGGTGATTGTCCTTCAAAACCACTAAGTTTTGGGGTGGTTTGTTAATAGAACAGTAGATAACGGGAACACCTTGAATATGTTTTTCTATGCTTTTATTTTTCCAGTGTTTTATGTATTTTTGTTTTGTGTCTCTTAGAAATAACAGCTACTCGGGAGGCTGAACCCAGGAAGTTCAAGTGAGAATCACTTGAACACAGGAGAATCACTTGAACCCAGGAGGCGGAGGTTGCAGTGAGCCGAGCTCGCACCATTGCACTCCAGCCTGGGCGACAGAGCGAGACTCCGTCTCAAAAGAAAAAAAAGAAAGAAAGAAAGAACATGGGTTTTTTTCCCCCAATCTGAGAGTCTCAGAATCAAATTCCTGAGGAGGAAGTGAAAACCTTTCACAGTTAGTATGTATGCACAGTAAAGCCCGAAACCGCACATTAAGTCTTTCTGCCTTTAGACCCACATCTTCCCTGCCCATTCTTCCTCTAGGAAATCTGGCGCCCAGTTTTCTCTGCGTAGTTGGCGCGGGGCTTCAACTCCCGGCGCTCCTCCAGCTACTGGCACCTCCCTGGCCTCCAAGACGTCTACCAGACCTGCGTCTGCCCGGGGAAACTTTGAAGTTCCCTTCGGAACCTCGCAGGCTGACAAGCAAGTCAGAGCGATGGGTGGAGGAGGTTGCCATGGAGACAGGTCCAGGGCCAGAGGCGCGGGAGGGGGAGGCGGCAGCTTGGGCTCCGATTGGCTCTGCGGGCGCGCAGCGTTCCTCTGGCGCACATGCGCAGTGACGCCGAGGCGAGGTCGCGGCTAAGCAGAGGCGCCGGGGTTTCTGGGCCGGGCTTCTCAGGACCGGGCTGGAACGTGCAGCTCCTGGCCGGGACACTCTGTGCTTTGCGGGGAAGGGAAGTGGCGGAGCCCGAGGATCCGCTGCCGCTCGGGACTGAGCCCGCCACGCAGGCGCCTGTGCCAGCGTCGCCATTGTTGCCTGTGGCCTTAGGGCCGCTCCGGCTGCCCGTCGGCCGGGTCCCAGCGACAGGTATTGATGTCCGGGCGCAGCGCGCGAGTGTCCGCGCGATCAGTGACAGCCCGAGCCCGTCCACGCGCGGGCTCCCGTGCTCGTGGCTTGCGGGAGGGCAAAGACGGGGTGGAGGCTGCTGTGGGCCCAGTCCCAGCGTTGCGCGTCGCACGGTCCCCGACTCCCCCGCTGCCCTCGACCTCGACCCTGCGGCTGAAGAGGAGTAAGAGGCAGAGGGACTTGGCCGGGAAGGGGAGGCGACAGGAGGCAAGGCAAGGCTGTCGCATCACCTCCGCAGGGCCTTGTAAACAGTTGTCTTTGGTGGCACGACTGTGCCTCAGCAGGGCTCGGAGCTGGAGCCTGGGGAGAGGTGGTGTCGGTTCTCCTCCAGATCAGGCCGGTTCTAAGGTTTCCTTCGAGAATCCTGGTTTCGAATATATCCCTAAAGAACTGTCTCCTATAGAAGCACTTAAAGGACTTGAAGTCACACCAACCTCTTCACTCTTTTCCAGTCCAACCCGCTGGTCTTCCCAACCCTCTGATAGTGAAAGGCTAGAATCGGCTGGCATTAACATGCAACGCAGATAAATGGCTCGCCCTTTCCCCTGACAGTTCCCTTGGGAACCTTGAGCACTGTATTAAGAAGAAATTCTCCTAGTTTCTTCCAAGTAACAGATTCACTTTGTTATTGTTGAGAGTCCGTTCAGTCATTACAGCTTCTGTAACATCAGTGACTAAAATAATGAAACTATTTTCTCTATAAAAATGTTTAATTTTTGTTACAACAGGTTAGAGGTTTAATCTGTTGTTTGGCTTAGATTCGAGTCATTGCCTCTGACACTACCTTTTTAATAGCAGCTCCATCCCCCACCAACCCCAAGCAGATGGCAGTTCCCTTACAAGTCTAAGGATATAGGGGAGGAAGACAAGGTAAAGCTTATGTGTGTTCATCTATGCACACTGCGAGTCTGTTTCTGTGTGTGTATATGTATAGTAGAGTACACCAGGGATTCTTGACCTTGTGGTCCATGCTTGTGTTTCAGGGTCTCTTATCCATCCCTGCAAGTTCTGGGCTCAGAATTTGTCACTAAGGCTGCTAACTCTACCTTGATTCTGTTCTGCCCTCGGCTGCAGCAGCCTTTGATATAGTGTCCTTGTGACTCTAGCATGAGACTTCAAGCAGTTGGCTCACTACTGGAGAAATAAAGGATATTGCCAGATTGACTCTCCTGTCTGTAGCAATGTTAGCCTCAAGCAAGAGGATGAACAGTTCTTCACGTTCTCAAATCCTTCTAAGGTGGAAGTCAGACAAGGCTCAGAGTGGACCCTACAATGTTGAGAAGGAAATCCTTACTTCAAGATTCTTGCGTGACACTGAGACCTGTCGACAGAATTTTAGGAATTTTCCATACCCAGACCTGGCTGGTCCTCGAAAGGCATTGAGTCAACTCCGAGAGCTCTGCCTTAAGTGGCTGAGACCTGAGATTCACTCAAAGGAACAAATTTTGGAGCTGCTGGTGCTGGAGCAATTCCTGACCATCCTGCCTGGTGAGGTTAGGACTTGGGTAAAGTCCCAGTATCCAGAGAGCAGCGAGGAAGCAGTGACTCTGGTGGAGGATTTGACTCAGATTCTAGAAGAGGAAGGTGAGAATCATAGAGCAGAGAGGGGAGGAATCCCTGGGTGGTTAAAGAAGACAACTAGCACATCTGAGCAGCTCCTTTAAA
Organism: Homo sapiens; assembly: GCF_000001405.40. Classification (NCBI taxonomy): domain Eukaryota; kingdom Metazoa; phylum Chordata; class Mammalia; order Primates; family Hominidae; genus Homo; species Homo sapiens. The sequence continues at coordinate 16,567,247 of NC_000017.11, read as the reverse complement.
GAAATCAGGGAGAGCACTGAGAGGTCCAGGATGCATTTTTTAAAAAGAAAGAAACTGGGGAGAACAAAGGTTAGTGAGTGAGAACAAGGCTTTAACATGAGCTCCATCCTGCATGGTGTTCTCCTTCCAGATTGCTTGGGAGCAAACACACATTATCTAAACCCCCAAGAAAAACGTCTTGAAATAATGACCAGACGCAACCAAATTACCACTGTGTGAGCCCTCAGAAAGTACCTTCAGAGGTTTGCACCATTCTACTAATAAATCATTTGCTTTGTGAATTGAATTTTACAATAAAATACTTCCAAAAAAGGAAGAAAGGGTCTAGAGAACATTCCCTTATTAAGAGATAACTCACAAAATTAATATCACATAAGGATTTAGTTAAAATGTGAATTTTGTTCATACTCTTTAAGATTTTTAGAGCGAGCTTGTTTTTGAAGTCTGTTTTGATGTCTTAGGACAAGTCATTGGCCCTTTCCTCTGATGCTTTGAAGTAGGAGTGCTGTTTTTGATTTCCTTCTTACTTCTCGATTTAAGAAAGTGTAGGCATCTATTTGGTGAGGGGTTTCCTAGGCTATTCAGAAAGGACTAATCTCCCTCATGACCTCTTTCTCTTCTCTAGCTCCTCAAAACTCTACCCTTTCCCAAGATACCCCAGAGGAAGACCCCAGAGGAAAACATGCTTTCCAGACAGGATGGCTAAATGACTTGGTGACCAAAGTGAGTGTGACTGTCTTTTCTGATTTTAAAATGCCTTCTTAGTGTGTGAGGACATTTTCTGACCTGGCCCTATAACTACTGTGCCCCCAGAAGCTCTATCAAGGACTTAAGCCCCAGTTTCTCTCCTATGTTATCTTGGTCTGTTAAGGTAGGTGAATGTACTATAAAGAAAAGGTGCTTCCATTGCCTTCCCTTGATATGTCTTTCCTTACTTTGACTTTGTCAGCAATATCACATAGAGAATACGAGATTGACCTCCACAGCCAGATGGATTTAGGTTTTGTTTCCCGGCTCTACCATTGGAACTGCAATTTGGGACAAGATACTTAACCTCTCTTAGCCTGAGTTATTCTACTCTCATAAATAGAATTTACCTCTTAGGTTGTGAGTATTAAATATTATGAGACTTGTAGTTAGCCTGGATTACAGTTAAGCAATTAATAGATGATTGTTACTATTATTTTTCCTCATTAACAAGTAGTTAAAGGCCATGCATTCTGTCATATTACTGTTGGTCATGAATTTATATATATTTTTTGAGACAGAGTCGCACTCTGTTGCCCAGGCTGGAGTGCAGTGGTGCGATCTTGGTCCACGGCAGCCTCCACCTCCTGGGTTCAAGTGATTCTCATGCCACAGCCTCTGGAGTAGCTGGGGTTACAGGTGCATGCCACCATGCCTGGCTAATTTTTGTATTTTTAGTAGAGACAGGGTTTCGCCATGTTGCTCATGCTGGTCTTGAACTCCTGACCTCAGGTGATCCACCCGTGTTGGCCTCCCAAAGTGCTGGGATTACATGTGTGAGCCACCGCGCCCGGCCATGAGTCTATATTATTTTAAAGAATAGTAACTCAAGATACCTTAAGAGAAAGATTTACTGTAAAAATATAACTGGTTTTTCTGAAATTGGAAAGCTTTTGGTAACCAAGTTAAAATGATTATTCATTGATAGTGTGAACATTTACCTGGAAAGCCTAACAAAATCAAGGGAAAAAGTGTTAGAAACACTAATAGAAAAATTGGATAAAATGACTACAGAAAATGACATGCAAAAATCAATCACTTACATATATATACTTATATATATATCTACATATATACATATAAAAATGAGATAAATGATAAAATGAAAAAAATGCCTCCAGTATCACACCCCCGAAAAAAATTTAAAATATCTAAAACTAAGCATAATATAAATATTGCAGTACTTTCATGTCTAATATTTTGTAGAACATGAAAGAAACCTTGAATATTATAAAGTCATCAGTTCTCCCTAAGTTATAAACTTAATACAATTTTTAAATCCCAGTATGATTTAAAAGAAAAGATTTTTTAAGAGATGGGATCTCACTATGTGCCCAGGCTGGTCTTAAACTTCTGGCCTCAAAGTGATCCTCCTGCCTTGGCTTCCCAAAGTGCTGGGATTACAGGTATGAGCCACTGCGCCTGGCCTCCAATATGACTTTTTTAAAGATACTGACAATTATATGAAAAAATAAACACGTGGCCAGGCGCAGTGGCTCACACCTGTCATCCTATCACTTTGGGAGGCCAAGGCAGCTGCATCACCTGAGGTCAGGAGTTTGGAGACCAGCCTGGCCAACATGGCAAAACCCTGTCTCTACTAAAAATACAAAAATTAGCTGGGCATGGTGGCGTGCACCTGTAATCCCAGCTACTCAGGAGGCCACTGCACTCCAGCCTGGGCGACAGAGCAAGACTCTTTCTCAAATAAAAAAAGAGAAAAAAGAAACATGTAAGATAATACTATATTTTTAACAAAAGGAGCAAACAAGAAAAGCACTAACCTTACCAGATTGTGAAATGTATTTAACAGTGCAGCAGTTCAACACTGTGATTATTGGTATCTGTTATATTTTTAAAAAGAAAGACTGAATTTAACCATAGAACACATAAAAATATCTTAACATTTTAATTATAACATGTTGGATTTATTCTTAAAGCACAGCTTGAAAAGCAAAACCATTCAACTGTGTCATCTGTGTTTAAAATTTAAAACTCAAGTCAGGCCTGGTGGATCACTCCTGTAATCCCAACACTTTGGGGAGCTGAGGTGAAGGATCGCTTGAGTTCAGGAGTTTGAGACCAGCCTGGGTGGCATAGCAAAACCCCATCTCTACAAAAAAAAATTAAAAATTAGCCAGATGTGGTGGTGTGTGCCTGTAGTCCTAGCTACTCAGGAGGGTGAGGTGAGAGGATCACTTCTGCCCAGGAGTTTGAGGCTGCAGTGAACAATGATTGTACCATCGCACTCCAGTCCAGGTGACCAGGCAAGACCCTGTCTCTTTTAAAAATAATGATAATAAACCTTTTCCTTTTAAAAATGGAGCTGCCAGCAATGCATGCACTAGTCCAGCACAGGCAACAGAGCGAGACTCTGTCTCTTTTAAAAATAGTAATGATAAACCTTTTCTGTTTAAAATGGAGCTGCCACCAATGCATGCATGAGTGCTAAGTGAAAATAAATTCTGATCTATTTTCAAACTTCCGTTTAGGGTCATGGAGAGATGCTGTAGGGCTGTCCATATGTCAGGGGAGGGTTTTGACTAGACAACTTCTAGGATCCTACTAAAGCTTAAAATTCTGTGACAGTCCCCCACCATACATATACCCAGTGTTATCAGTGTCCCCTTTGCCATTAGTTCTTGAACTGAGTTAAGTTACATTTGATATTTTAGGAATCGATGACATTCAAAGATGTGGCTGTAGACATCACCCAGGAGGACTGGGAGTTAATGCGTCCTGTGCAGAAGGAATTATACAAGACTGTGACGTTACAGAACTATTGGAACATGGTTTCTCTGGGTAAGGATCATCTGCATCCCTCCTCCTCCGAGCCTGTTCCCATTAAAAATGGGTTGGTCCTCAGACATGCTTGGCTAAAAATGGGGTCCAGAAATAAATGTTCTTATCTCATTCAAGCACGAAAGTGACTGTTTTACTCCCGTTTTCCAAATGAAAGGTTCTTAAGTGAGAGAACATTGGCAACTGATGCACAGCTTCATAGTGCTGCCACCTGATGCTGCCTTGCCCAGCCTTTGCTACTCTAAGGGAATGTTTCTTCCTTCACATATCCTCTTCAGTGGCAGGAAATTGTTATCCTGTCTCTGAAAGGATAACAATCAACAGCCTAATTCTCTTATTAGATCATGTCCATGAACTATTGTTTTCCTACAGAGGTCTGTTCTCCCAGATAGGTAGAAGTCTGGTAATAAAACTTTGAGCAACCATTTATCTCCAGGATAAAATTCTTTATATTCCTCCTGAACAGGACTTACAGTGTACAGACCAACTGTGATTCCCATATTGGAAGAACCATGGATGGTGATAAAAGAAATTTTAGAAGGCCCTAGTCCAGGTGAGAAACAAAAAGCGCATGAGCTTCTTTGTATTTAAGAATCTATATCCTAAATGTGGTGAGAAATGCATTTTAAATATGACCAGGTCACTTTTTGCAAAGGCATTCTAGCCTGTGAAGAACACTGAGCTGTTTGGCATTGCTTCCTTACAGAGGCCTCTTCAGGAAGAGCTTCCTAACATCACTGTTAACACACTTTTCCCGTGTCTCTTCTCATTTTATCCTTCTACATGACCTCTAGGTCCCATCTCTTAAGAGCTTTGTCTAGGGCTTTCATTGTGCCACTTTCCCCTTCCTCTAGATTTAAACATGTATGAATGCCCCCTAAAAATTTAAATGTTAAACCTTCTTCTTTTTGAGTTTCTTTTATTCTGTTCACTGACAAATCCCTACATCCCCCTGCCTTCACTTTTCTAAATCATCCCTTTCTTTTTTATTTTCTAATTATTTAAAAAGATAATATATTCACAAGATTCAAAATGTTTAAAAGTATATAAAGCAAAAAAAATATATAAATATATATAAATGTCCACCTGAATACCACATTCACCCAGTTCCTACATCTCCCCAGCATGTGACCGCTGTCATAACAGCATGTCAATGAACCACTGTTTTCCTGTAGAAGTCTGTAATAAAGTTCCACATAAGTAGAAGTCAGGTAATAAAGTTTGAACAACTGTTGTCTCCAGGATAAAAGCGTGGCAATAAACAGTTATTTGAGATGTTTATTTTGCTTTGGGTTTTTTGCATATAAAGTCAATATAAAAATAGTTTTTGTCCATTTTTAATGTGAATGGTAGCATACAATACATACTGTTTTGTACCTTGCTTTTTTAACTTAAAAGTATATCTTGAAAAGCCTTCCAAATGAGTATGTAAAGAGCTTCCTCATTTCTTTTTTTATATCTGCATCATATTTTTATTATTGAACTTGTTCCTTATTCATGGACTTTTTCATTCTCATTCCTTGCTTATTCCTCCACAATAACTTGATTTTAAAAGATTTTAAACCTACACAGGCACATTACATTCATCACTTATGTACTGTCTACTGGGAATCACTAATTATCATCATTTAGCCACTTCTGCTATATCTCTATACAAAGGTTTTTGCACTGAGCCGTTTTACAGTTAGTTATAGACATCAAGACAACCCCTAAATACCTCCTAAGAACGTGAACATTCTTCTACATAAGCATGATACCATTCTCTCACTCTAGATAATTAACATTTATATAATAGTGTCATCAAATGTATAGTCAAATATTCAGATTTTCCCAACTGTCCTAAAAACATCCTTTATAGATATTTTTCTCCCCAGTACAGAATCCAGTCAGGAATCACGTGTTCTACTTGCATGTCTCCTATCTTTAGTCCCTTTTAACAGAGAAATGTTGCCCAGCCTTTTTTCTTTTTTAAAAAAAGTCTTTCATGATATTGACATTTTTTAAAGGTTCCAAGCCAGTTTTTTTAATGACCTACAGTTTAGATTTGCCTCATTGTTTCCTAAAGATTAGTCAGTTTAAACATTTTGCCAAGGATATTTGAAAGGTGATGTGTATCTTCCATTGCATTTCTTCAGGAGGTACATAATGGTAATTCATCTCATCATTGGTGATGCTCAGTTTGGTTAAGGTGGTGTGTACAGGATCTGTCCTTTTTAAAGGTGCATTCTTTGTGATTAATAAGTCATCTGTGGAGTGATACTTTGAGGTCACATGACTATTCCTTGATAATCTTTTACTTAAAATTTTTAGCATCCATTTGATGATCTTTGCGTTATTATATTGCTGGTTGCAAAATGGTGATTTTCTTTTTTGTTGTTGTTTTTGAGATGGAGTTTCACTCTTGTCGCCCAGGGTGGAGTGCAGTGGCGTGATCTCCTCTCACTGCAACCTCTGCCTCCTGAGTTCAAGCAATTCTCCTGCCTCAGCTTCCACAGTAGCTGGGATTAGAGGCATGTGCCACCACACCCGGCTAGTTTTTGTATTTTTAGTAGAGACGGTGTCACCATGTTGGCCAGGCTGGTCTCAAACTCCTGACCTCAGGTGATCCACCCGCCTTGGCCTCCCAAAGTGCTGAGATTACAGGCGTGAGCCACCGTGCCCAGCTGCAAAATGGTGATTTTCTTTCTTTTTTTTTTGAGACGGAGTCTCGGTCTGTTGCTCAGGTTGGAGTGCAGTGGGGGGACCTTGGCTCACTACAAGCTCCACCTTCCACGTTCACGCCATTCTCCTGCCTCAGCCTCCCAAGTAGCTGGGACGACAGGCACCCGCCACTACACCCAGCTAATTTTTTGTATTTTTAGTAGAGACGGGGTTTCACCATGTTAACCAAGATGGTCTCAATCTCCTGACCTTGTGATCCACCCGCCTCGGCCTCCCAAAGTGCTGGGATTACAGGTGTGAGCCACCACGCCCAGCCAAAATGGTGATTTTCTAATGCAGTCATCTTTTCTAAATGATTAATACCATTCTTCATTAAAGAATAGCCCTTTCAGCCGGGTACGGTGGCTCGCGCTTGTAATCCCAGCACTTTGGGAGGCCAAGGTGGGCGGATCACGAAGTCAGGAGTTCAAGACCAGCCTGGCCAACACAGTGAAACTCTGTCTCTACTGAAAATACAAAAATTAGCTGGGCGTGGTGGTGGGTGCCTGTAATCCCAGCTACTCGGGAGGCTGAGGCAGGAGAATCACTTGAACCCGGGAGGCGGGGGTTGCAGTGAGCCAAGATTGTGCCACTGCACTCCAGCCTGGGCAACAGAGCTAGACTCCACCTCAAAAAAAAAAGAAGAGCTCTCCCTCCCCCACCCCATATATATATATATATATATATACACCACTGTTGACTAATGGAAATTTTAAAAATTCAATATATTATTAGTCGGCCAGGCATGGTGGCTTACTCCTGTAATCCCAGCACTTTAGGAGGCCAAGGTAGGTGGATCACTTGAGGTCGGGAGTTTGAGACCAGCCTGTCCAACATGGTAAAACCCTGTCTCTACTAAAAATAATAATAATACAAAAATTAGCTGGGTGTGGTGGCACGTGCCTGTAGTCCTAGCTACTTGGGAGGCTGAGGCAGAAGAATCGCTTGAACTCGGGAGGTGGAGATTGCAGTGAGCCAAGGTTGTGCCACTGCACTCCAGCCTGGGCAACAGAGAAAGACTCCATCTCAGAAAAAAGAAAAATATATATATATATATGGATGTGTATGTATTTATTATCAGTCCATTAATTCCAGTTTTTACATTTTATTTTGTGTTTTTGATGCTCAATTGTCCCAAATTTGGGCACTCTAGCATCAAACAAAAGTCCAGCATCTTTTTGACATGTCCCAATTTGTCTTCAACCATTTCCTTGCTTTCTGGCACAGCCAGATGTTCTTTAGGCTCACCTTATGCTCACCTTAGACTTGGGATTTCTCTAAGGAACCCTGATTCATTTTAGTAGGGAATGGTACTTAGAAACCAAGATCTGGGCCATAAGCGTATTCACTGTTTATGGGTATCATTGCTTCTGTTCAGTGGATAGAGCTAGGAAGTGTGTGTGTGTGTGTGTGTGTGTGTGTGTGTTAGTTCTTTTAAGTCAGGAGTTCATACTTAAACTCCAATTCAAATCTGACACCACAAGGATATTCCATTTTTTATATTCCCATATTCCATTTTGTATCTCCTTTCTTATACAGTGAATAACCTGGTTTCCAACAACATCAGTATATTTACTTATTTGCTATATCATATGTTACACACAAAAATAGTTTCACATTCACATTAGTATAACAAACAGTCTAGAAAGTTCAAGATTTCTTTGAAGTCCTTTTTGTCCTTAGAATATATACCACTAAGGATAGTGTTTTTTTGCTTTTTAAAATTATTTTTAATTTACATTTTTGAGTATGCAAAAACAGTAACATGGCTGAGAACTCAAAAACTATATAGAAAGGTATACATTTCCTTTCCTTCTGCTCTCTTCCCACCTACTCCCTATAGGTAACCATGATCATTGGTTTCTGATGTATCCTTCCCATGTTTCTCTTTGCAAAAATAAATTATTAATATATTATCTTCTTTTGTATATGAAAGAAGTATACTATGTATATTCTTGCATCTTGCTTTTATTCCATTTTTTATTTTATTTTATTATTTTATTTTATTTTATTGCTGTTGTTGAGACAGAGTCTCACTCTGTCACCCAAGCTGGAGTGCAATGGTGTGATCATGGCTCACTGCAACCTCCATCTCCTGCATTCAAGTGATCCTTCCTCCTCAGCCTCCTGAGTAGGTAGGACTACAGGTGTGTGCCACCACGCCCAGATAATTTTTGTATTTTTTGCAGAGGCAGGGTCTTGCCATGTTTCCCAGACTGGTCTCAATTTCTGGGCTCAAGTGATCCACCTGCCTTGGCCTCCAGTGCTGAGACTACAGGTGTGAGCCATAGCACCCAGACATTCCATTTTTTAAATCTAAGACACTGACTTCTTGTATGTCCACCAATATGGATGCTAGTATACAACAATGAATTAAACAATAATGACAAATATGATATGGCCAGGCACAGTGGCTCACACCTGTAACCCCAGCACTTTGAGAGGCTGAGGCAGGCAGATCACTTGAACTCAGGAATTTGAGACCACCCTGGGCAACATAGTGAGACCTGTCTCTACTAAAAAAATTTTTTTTAATTAACTGGTTGTGGTGATGCATGACTGTAGTCCCAGCTACCAGGGAGGCTGAAGTGAGAGGATAACTTGATCCCGGGAGAGCAAGGCTGCAGTGAGCCAAGATCACACCACTGCACTCCCACTGGGTGACAGAGTAAGACTGTCTCAAAGAAAAAAAAAAAGATATGCTACCTTAGAGTGAATTGTTTCACTTTTTTAAAAAACTAACTTTGGTCATTAGGTATTTTAAGGGTCATAAACTTTAAAAGCTAATTCTTCTCTATAATTTATGGCCTTATATGCCTTAGTTGGCAAAATACAAAATACACCTACAGCACACTAAATTCTCTGGGGAACAAATTCTGCACACTCTAGGCACTGAGAAAACATACATAGTGTAATGGAAATAAGCCTGGATTAGAGCCAGGATAGTCTTCTGGGAGATACTTGCAGTCTGAAGTCACTTTAACTTCTCAACATGAGGAGTTTTTTAGATCATCAGAGAGCACAAATTTGGGCTCTGAATACTCAAGAAAGGGCAATGTATAGTTATGCATTTGGAGAGGGGGGATTTTTCTCCCTCCAAAGAGCACCAAGACTGAGAAAGACAGTTCCTTTTTTCATCTTTTAGAGGTGAGGTTTTGGGGTTTTGTTTTTCTAGCCTAGCCTGTTCTTACATAGTGTGTAGTCCTCTGTTCAAGGGACTCCTGTCAGCCTCCTCTCCTTGGCTGGGCCCCAGCCTTTGTCTTCTAGCCCCAGAGTCCCTTGTACCCTCAAAATGGAAGTTTAAGGTCATCAAACATGATTGAGGAGCTGTCTCAGGCAGTCAACTTCAACTATTACTGACTTCTTGCCTTCCTGCTTGTACTTAATTTTTGGCCTGTGAGGATTTTGCTTTCTTGCCAGCTCAGAGATATAGTAAGTTGAATCTACCTTTGGTTAGGGTACTTCAGGAAGTAGGTTAGTCACACTTCAGGAAATGGAAACTTTGGTAATTAACAAACAGAATAGTAGTATTGGTTTGATGGCCATTACTGTCTCAGATCTTTTATAGTTCTTTATTATATTTTATGGTTTATTGTTCTTTATACAGTACTTTGCCATTCTTTGAGGTTCAATTCAAATCACACTTCCTCCACTGAAGCTTTCCTTGATTACCTGAGTCAACATTAATCTCCTCTGTTTAGAAATATTATACCACTGTTTGTCCTTATTAACCAACAGATAACACTTCTAACCAATCCTTTCTGGTTTTAGTGATAAACACATATTTAAACCCTGCTTAATGATCTGTTTCAGAAGTTTTAGTAAACTAATTTGTTTAAAATGTGCGTTTATCGGTCGGGTGCAGTAGCTCATGCCTGTAATCTCAGCACTTTGGGAGGCTGAGGCGGGCGATCACCTGAGGTCAGGAGTTCGAGACCAGCCTGACCAACATGGAGAAACCCTGTCTCTACTAAAAATACAAAATTAGCCAGGCGTGGTGGCACATGCCTGTAATCTCAGCTACTCGGGAGGCTGAGGCAAGAGAATCGCTTGAACTTGGGAGGCAGACGTTGTGGTGAGCCGAGATCGCGCCATTGCACTCCAGCCTGGGCAACAAAAGCGAAACTCCATCTCAAAAAAAAAAAAAGTGCTTTTATAGTAGCAATTTATTCATGATCACTATTCAGCCTTGTCACTTTAAGTTTGTTAATTATAACTTTAGTACTTTTCAGTTGTATGTACAATCTGTCATAGACTGATACTGATTGCATAGAAGTTGAACTCAACTTCTGGTATCATCTCATCTCTTTTTTGTGTATATACACACCTACTTGTATAGTCCATCCACATTCTCATTTTCTTCTGGGGAGGGGAATAACAAATCCTAGCTTGAGAAAGTTGGTTTATAAATTTTTTTCTTTCATAAAAGTAATATAACTATTTTCTATTTTTCTTTTTTATTACTTTTTATTTTGCTACACCTACTGGAGTGGAATATAACTACTTACTAGTACTAAATAGCAACAAAAGTAATATAGCAAATTTACTGAAAATTAGAAACCAGAAAACTTATAATATCATTATTAGCATTTTGGTAATCTTTTTCCACTTCTGATGTGTTTTCATGCTTGTTATGATACTCTTTTTTCATTTAACATTACTCCTAAACATTTTCTTAGGTAAACTGTGATTTTGTATTTGAATAAAAGTAAAAAAAGTAATTTGTAAATTCAAGGAGTACAAGGAAGCAAATATTAAGTGTCCCTCTCCCCTCAGTCATGACCAGGACCTTCTCCCCTTAGATTTTGTGTGTGTGTGTGTGTGTGTGTGTGTCTGTGTCTGTCTGTAACACAAATAGCATATCTTTACACAGCTAGGATCTTGCTCTACATTTTTTTATACACCTGCTTTTTTTTTCACTTAATGTGTCCTGCCACTAGTCCTTAAACTAGACCTACCTATCAGTTATCAATATTCTGTTATCCCTTATTCTATTAATAACTAGTCTCTTACTGATGATGTAGCTGTCATTTTCAATTACTGCATATTACTCAATTGAATGGATATATTTGTAAAGGTATTATACTATGATCTGCCTCTTAGAAAGTTTCTGAAGTATTTAGTACCATTTTTGCTATATTATAAATTCCATATTTGATTAAATTACATTATGTAATTCTTGATATTTGCAAGTTATATGTTTCCCACCTGGTTTCAAAGGAGAAAGAGGTTGTAACTTAAATTTTGTGTTAAGTAATTATACGAGAAACGTAATAATAGGCACCAACAAATACATATTTGGCTGCCTTATTACAGCCAGGTTAGATTGAGGGTCAACCTTTTTGGTTTGGTTTGGGGTGTGTGTGTGTGTGTGTGTGTGTGTGTGTGTGTGTGTGTTTGGTTATGTGTATGCATGCACATCTGTGTATGCTTTCATCTGAGTTCTCCTTTTTAAATGTTAATGTCATTTATTTTACCATTTCAGTTGAGTCGCCACCATATCCAGAGTCTTGGGCCATTTTCTAAACGAAATGTGAAAGAAGGATAAGCTATTTCCAGAATTTGCATCTAGGTTGGAAATATAAGAAATGTACAGAATTGTGAATTACAGTCATGTGCTGCATAATGATGTTTTGGTCAACAACAAACTGCATGTATGACAGTGGTCCCATAAGACAACAATGGAGCATATATAGAAGCCTGATGCATAAGCACTTAATATTTGTATTGCAGATCAAGTAGGGGAAGTGATTGATATCAGTAATAGTGCTGGTACATTTAGCTTTCCATATTTAAAAAAGGAAAAAAATATATATACATATATATCATCTAGGTTCATATAAGTATACTCTATGATGCTCACACAATGATGAAGTCGACCAACACCACATTTCTCAGAACGTATCCTCATTGTTAAGAAATCCATGACTGTACTCATATAAAGCCAAATTCTGTCATGAGCCCAATACTATATTGGGTTGAACCATATAAGGTTGCTGACATTCAGCCATTTTGACCTATAAAAAAAGGCAATTTCCTACATAATTCAACCTAATCTGTGTTTTATTTTATTTTTTTGGAGACAGGATCTTGCTCTGTCATCCAGGCTAGAGTGCAGTGGGGCGATCATGGCTCACTGCAACCTCCGCCTACTGGGTTCAAGCAATTCTCATGCCTCAGCCTCCCAGGTAGCTGGGACTACAGGTGCACACCACCACATCTGTCTAAATTTTTATATTTTTAGTAGAGACAGCGTTTTGCCATGATGGCCAGGCTGCTCTCAAACTCCTGACCTGAAGTGATCCACCCACCTTGGCCTCCCAAAGTGCTGGGATTACAGGAGTAAGCCACAGAGCTTGGCCTCTAATCTGTATTTTAAATTCAAAGAAGCATTGTAGAGAGAAATATGAGCTGGACTATAAACATCTTTTTTAATAGGTGGAGAAGGCATCGTAAAAGAAGGCCTAGAGTCTAGGATTAGCATGGCATCTAGAGAAGATTATGAAGAAGTAGTGGATAACTTTAGGCCAGGTGTGGCGGCTCATATCTGTAACCCTAACACTTTGAGAGGCTGAGGCAGGCGGATCACCTGAGGCCAGGAGTTTGAGGCCAGCCTGGCCAACATGGTGAAACCATGTCTCTATTAAAAATAGAAATATTAGCTGGGCATGGTGGTTCCTGCCTGTAATCCCAGTTACTCGGGAGTCTGAGGCACAAGAATCACTTGAACCTGGGAGGCAGAGGTTGCAGTGAGCCAAGATGGCACAGAGTCTGTCTCAAAAAAAAAAAAAAAAAAGTAGTGGATAACTAAATTAAGCTGAACATGAGTTGTAGTAGGAGACAATAGAATAGAAAGGGCTGAATTATTTTGGGACTGAGTGCCAAGTGGAGGTATTTTAAACTTTTTAACTTTTATACTTTAAGCCACTAGTCCTTAAACTTTGGTATGTAGCAAAACTGCTGGGTTTAATAAAACAGATTACTCAGCTCTACTGCCAGAGTTTCTGATTCAGTATGTCCAGGTGAGACCCAATAATGTTAACACATTTCTAGATGATAGTGATGCTTATGCTGCTATTGGGAGGACTGCCTTGAGAACCATTGTTTTAGGCCATGGGAGATTTACTAGAGATATTTGAGCATAGAAAGCACTCAGTGAAATTGCTTTAGGAATATTATGTGGGATTGTGTGGAGCAGATTGGAAGAGAGAGTGATGAGAGTCAGCATGTCTACTTTATGAACACATTACATAAATTAATCCATGAGGCCATCCCAAGTTATCCCACACAGTGTTATCACTGTTTTGACTTCTCTTAGCTCTGTCACCTGACTTAATCTGTTTTATTCCCTCTGTGTCCATGTTGAATATGAAGAACCTGTCTGTTTTCAACAACTTAGTCTCCCTTTTTTTGCCCTCTTTGTCTCCTTTCCCAAGTTTTAAAGACCATGATGATGAGGTTTTCAGAGCTGTTGTCTTTGGGCATTTTATCTATGTTTATTCTTTTGTTTCTATTTTGGCAGTTTCCTTTCTCCAAATAAATGAAGATTTTTTAATATATTTTTTATTTCAGAATGGGAAACTAAAGCCCAAGCATGTACTCCAGTGGAGGATATGTCTAAACTCACAAAGGAAGAAACCCATACCATCAAATTAGAAGACTCATATGACTACGATGATAGACTAGAGAGGCGAGGAAAAGGTGGCTTCTGGAAAATTCACACTGATGAAAGAGGTTTCAGTTTGAAGTCAGTCCTTTCACAAGAATATGATCCTACAGAAGAATGTCTTAGTAAATATGATATATATAGAAATAATTTTGAAAAGCATTCAAACCTAATTGTACAGTTTGATACCCAATTAGATAATAAAACTTCTGTGTATAATGAAGGCAGGGCAACCTTCAATCATGTCTCATATGGTATTGTACATAGGAAAATACTTCCTGGAGAGAAGCCTTACAAGTGTAATGTGTGTGGGAAAAAATTTAGGAAATACCCATCCCTCCTGAAACACCAAAGTACCCATGCCAAAGAGAAATCGTATGAATGTGAAGAATGTGGGAAAGAGTTTAGGCATATCTCATCCCTTATTGCACATCAGAGAATGCACACTGGAGAAAAACCATATGAATGCCACCAGTGTGGTAAAGCCTTCAGCCAGCGTGCACACCTTACTATACATCAGAGAATTCATACTGGAGAGAAACCCTATAAGTGTGATGACTGTGGGAAAGACTTCAGTCAGCGTGCACACCTTACCATCCATCAAAGGACACATACTGGAGAGAAACCATATAAATGCTTGGAATGTGGTAAAACCTTCAGTCATAGTTCATCACTGATTAATCATCAGAGAGTTCATACTGGAGAAAAACCTTATATATGCAATGAATGTGGGAAGACTTTCAGTCAGAGTACACACCTTCTTCAGCATCAAAAAATACATACTGGGAAGAAACCATATAAATGCAATGAATGTTGGAAAGTGTTTAGTCAGAGTACTTACCTTATTCGACATCAGAGAATTCATTCTGGAGAGAAGTGTTATAAATGTAATGAATGTGGAAAAGCCTTTGCTCATTCCTCAACCCTTATTCAACATCAAACCACTCACACTGGAGAGAAATCCTATATATGTAATATATGTGGGAAAGCCTTCAGCCAGAGTGCAAATCTTACTCAACATCATAGAACACATACTGGAGAGAAACCATATAAATGCAGTGTGTGTGGGAAAGCATTCAGCCAGAGTGTGCACCTTACTCAACATCAGAGGATTCATAATGGAGAAAAACCCTTTAAATGCAATATATGTGGGAAAGCATATAGACAAGGCGCAAATCTTACTCAGCATCAAAGGATTCATACTGGAGAAAAACCCTATAAATGTAATGAATGTGGGAAAGCTTTCATTTATTCCTCATCACTTAATCAACATCAGAGAACTCATACTGGAGAGAGACCCTATAAATGTAATGAATGTGATAAGGATTTTAGCCAGAGAACATGCCTTATTCAACACCAGAGAATTCACACAGGAGAGAAACCCTATGCATGTCGTATATGTGGTAAAACCTTCACCCAGAGTACAAACCTTATTCAGCATCAACGTGTTCATACAGGTGCCAAACATCGTAATTAATGGATAAGGGAAACTTCAATTCGGTTTTACAACTTTGTTTCAATTTTGTTTTGTGCATTCTATGTGTCAGAACATTCAGAAGAAGTCTGAAGAAGTGCAATATGTTAGATACTCAGCAGAAGTATCAGAAGTAGTGGT